>NC_000011.10:102020909-102323939 GCF_000001405.40 Homo sapiens | reverse complement strand
CATATTTCACTGATTCTAAGATGGCTATTTTAAAACTTCTGTTATCAAGAAGTATTTCATAATTAATGACATCATATTTTAATTAGAAGCACTTTTATTTCTTAGAGGTACGTAAAATAATGGTAAGATTTACAACTGAAGACATTTTGAATTCAGTGAAATATGATATATCCCCAATTTTTCTCCAATTAGTCATTTTTTTCTTTCTACAATCCTTCTAATAAGGAGAACAAAACAATCTAAAATTTCTCTCCAAATAAAGAGATTTACTAGTAACAGGACTGGCTAACACATCTTAAAACCTGGTTTCAATATTAATTAAATAATAGTTATTTCCCATAGATCATCAGGAATATGATTGCTTAAGTATAATGATACTATTAGATCTTACACAATTAAATATTCTATTTAAAATAAATAATCAGAGATTAATGTGTTTGTTCATTTGGTCTTTTGGACTCAGTTTCATGCTGTTGAAGCAACTCAATGTTAAGTTTTTTTATTCTAATAGTATACTTGGCTAGAACATGGAAATGTCCTCTGTAATTATGGTAGACAACAGGTGCTGCAAAAAGAGACTCTGCCCAAACTACCAATAACAAAACTGAACTTCATTGCTATATTCAGGTTACTTTTGGAAAAACAGAATCATGATATATATTTCATTCCCTTTGTTAAAAATTTTCTTAAGATAATTTAGATATGGCTGTAAAATAAGACCTTTCAAAGATTTTAAATTTTTTGTCCCCCTCAAAGAACTAACATTGTAGAGTTATTCAACTTATCACCTCCTGAAAACATTTTTGAACTTTTGTTTTTCTAAATGTTTCTGAAGCCAACATCAAATCTACTCTGATAGTGGATTTATTTTTTAAAACAGTCAAAAGTTACCAGATGCCATCTGTAGGCTAAGATGGATAATCAAATTGCATCAATTTAGTTTTGGTCAGAAATTATTTCATGGATAGCATACCTTGAACCAGAATTTATCATGACAAAAAAAATAATAAATTTACCATTTCAACAGCAGAGACCTTGTCAAAATTCAGAATTTCTCAATTATGATTTACTAGCCATTAGTAAAGAGGTTCTGAGTCGATAATACTAGCAATGACCAATAAGCAAGTCACTGTGGCTTTTTTTTTTTTTTTTTTTTTTTTTTACCAGTGGTTTGCAAGCATGGTTTCCTGGATCTCACAGACGTTGGGCTTTTCAACTGCAGACTTCAATGCTTTGTTTCCAGGTGGCAGGAGAAACATCACATCTCATTACCAACAATTATTTCCCTCAAAGGTAAGTAATTGTATCTAACTTCAATATTCCTTTCCCTGGCCAAAAATTTTACACATTGTTATAAAAATCTTCTTTGTATTCATCACTGTCTTTATATTAATTTTCTAAGTTTCTTCATTTCCTAAAATGTAACCTTCAACCATCATTCTCATCCTCATCATTCTCAGCGGTAACAGCCCATTTAAACAAACTTTTGGACGTTTAAAATATCAGTGGCCTTGTAAATAACTGGATAATTTCTTGACCAATCATCACATTTATCTTTTTACTTCCTCTAAATTTGTTGCACATATCAAAAAGCTTTGTTCTTGATTTTTCTTTGTCACTGTAGAAGTATTTTAATGTGTCAAAACTTTCATCTGCATGTTTCTTTAATTTGCAGTGGATTGATTATTAGCTCTTTGTTCCAAATAACTGTCACTCATTTTAAAATCTTTCCCAAACACAGGTACTATTTCTATTCTACATAATGGGAGAATGTGCCAGTAGGAGACTGCCTGGCCAACTCTGAAAAAAATGCTTTAACAATATGCCCCAGCTAGAATCACTTTTCCTTTATTTCCACAAATCAAATTCAAAATCAAACTCATTATGGTATACCTTATATAACTCGATCATGTTTATAAAATTAGCATTCTTTGGATAGTAAAACACCAGTTAATACTTAATTTGTTTACCCATGCACAAAACTACCTCCCGAGATTAGACTAAGTCCCTTTAAGGATTTTAGGTCTCCATTTTGAGATGTTTTGATTTATAGAAGAAACTGAAAAAAAAATCTAGAAGAAGTCGTTTTCCTCCTTTGTAAACCTGTTCAAAAACAAACAAAAAGACAGTTTTAAAACTCAAACGACTCATGGATGGAACACAATGACTTTTTAAAAAATCATTTTCTCCAAAATAGAGTACTAGTAATTACTGATCGTTTACCATGTATCAGGTGCTTTACTAGGCACTGTAGAGGCCAAAAAGAGATAAAAAACAGAGGCCTCTGCCTGGTGCAGTGGCTCACGCCTGTAATCCCAGCATTTTGGGAGGCCAAGACAAGTGGATCACTTGAGGTCAGGAGTTCAAAACCAGCCTGGCCAAAATGGTGAAACCCCATCTCTACTAAAAATACAAAAATTAGCTGGGTGTGGTGGTACGCGCCTGTAATCCCAGCTACTCCGGAGGCTGAGGCAGGAGAATCATGTGAGCCTGGGAGGTGGAGGTTGCAGTGGGCCGAAATAGTGCCACTACACTCCAGCCTGGGTGACACAGCAAGACTCTGTCTCAAAAATAAAATAAAATAAAATAAAACCCAGAGGTTTCAAACTGGAAGACATATTATGTTTGGCTTACATAGAATTGCATTATAGTTCTTTACTAAGTTTTTATTTTTATTTTGAAATTTATTTATACTTAGAGAAAGCTTACAAAAATAATAGTTTCTGCATACTCTGCACTTAGCTTCCCCAAAGCTAACATCTTACCTAATTACAGTGCAATTAAAGAAACCAGAAAATTCACATTGTACCATGCTGTAGATTAATCTGCATGCCTCATTTGAATTTAATCCAGTTTCCAAATCCATTTTTTTCTTGGACCACAGTATTTTTAAATCTTACCATTAATTGCCAACATGTTTAAATGTAAGAGACTTCCCATCACATTCTAGATTCCAAGCTTCTCTTGAAACATCAAAAGATCTAGCAACACTGGGCCTATAGTCCTGCAGGGCAGCAATCAGCTAAAGCTGAGCAGCAGCTGTGCCCTTTAGAGAGGGAACATGTTCTCTTTGATTCCCTGACACTGGGACTGACTGTTCTGGTAGTCTCCACTAACAGTAACAGTCTAGCAATAACAGACTGTTGCTATTTGTCATTGAACTGGCACTATTGTTTTTCTTACAGCAGAATTATGAGAAAGTGAAATCAATGTAACACATGTGTCCATCAAAAGTAACAAAAATGAAAAGTAGAGAAAAAGGACATATGTTTTGAGAAAAATAGGATAATTTTTGTCTTTGTGGAAAGGAAGGATATTCCTTCATATCAAATACGTAAACAGAGTATGCTTTCATTTAAAAGAGACACCCCACAAGGCCTCATGCCATGGCTCACTCCTGTAATCCCAGCACTTTGGGAGGCTGAGGTAGATGGATTGCTTGAGCCCAGGTGTTTGAGACCAGCCTCAAACTGGGTGACTTGGCAAAACACCATCTCTACAAAGAAACTCAAAAATTAGCCAGACATGGTGGCACCTGCCTGTGGTCCCAGCTACTTGAGAGGCTGAGGCAGGAGGTTCACTTGAGCCCATGAGGCAGAGCTTGCAGTGTGAGACTGCATAACTGCACTCCAAACTGGGTGACAGAGCAAGACCCTGTCTCAAAAAAAGAGAGAGAGAGAGAAAGAGAGACACTGAGAGTTTTTCTCATTTATATCACCTCCATTTGAGTTTGCAAACCCCTTACACAAATCTTATCCTAAAGAAGCTTTAGGTCAGGCGTGGTGGCTCACGCCTGTAATCCCAGCACTTTGGGAGGCCAAGGAAAGCAGATAACTTGAGATCAGGAGTTCGAGACCAGGCTGGCCAACATGGTGAAACCCTGTCTCTACTAAAAATCCAAAAAAAAAAACCATCGGGCGTGGTGGCACGCACCTGTATTTCCAGCTACTCAGGAGACTGAAGCAGGAGAATCACTTGAACCCGGGAGGTGAAGGTTGCAGTAAGCCAAGATCACACCACTGCACTCCAGCAAGGCATATATTTGTGGAAATTTAGGCAACAACTATACAATAAATATACACAAATATGCCAAGATGTCAACCCTAGATCACTTCAACCTCTGTCCTAATCATTTCCAACACCTAGATGCAACCCTGCAGACTGGGACCAGCATCACTTAAGACTCCTCTGCCATCCCTTAGCAATAGGCTCAGCTCCCTAGCCCATGCCCTATGCACCTCTTCTAAACCTTCAACACCTTCCTCAAATTTCTCCACTGCACTCCATCTCATTTTCAGTCAATTACTTTGCCTTCTGTTTCTCAAAGAAAAGAGACATCATTGAGCAGGAACCTTCTCACGTTCTCATATCCAAGCCGTTTTGGCTCACAACCTACTTGCTGTCTCAGTTAAAGACTTGCCCCCTTATGGGATCCTACACTGTCCTACTGCCTCAGAAATCTTGTTCTTAATCCCATCCCCTCATTGCTTCAACTCTCATTCCTGTCACTCTCGACTGGCCTTTTTCCTTTCACATAACCATGCTTAAATCTATCTCAACTTTCAAATGAAAGAAATTTTTAAAATTCTCTTTCGGCCGGGTGTGGTGGCTCATGCCTGTAATCCCAGCACTTCAGGAGGCTGAGGCGAGTGGATCACGAGGTCAGGAGACTGAGACCATCCTGGCTAACACGGTGAAACCCCGTCTCTACTAAAAAAAATACAAAAAATTAGCCGGGTGTGGTGGCATGCACCTGTAGTCCCAGCTGCTCAGGAGGCTGAGGCAGGAGAATCGCTTGAACCCGGGAGGTGGAGGTTGCAGTAAGCCGAGACTGCACCACTGCACTCCAGCCTGGGTGACAGAGTGAGACTCTGTCTCAAAAAAAAAAAAAAAAAATCCTCTTTCAACCACACTTTCCACTCTAGCAACTACCCTGTATCACCCCTTCTCTTCACAGCCAAGCAAACTGGACATGTGTGTATGGTTAATGTCTCCATTTTCCCTCTCCCATTTACTCATTAAGTCAGCATCACTTAAAACTGCTTTCGGTGTTAATAACACCAATGGCTTTTTTGCTAAAACCAATGGAAATGTTTGCATCTGACACTGGGACACACTTCCTCTTAGAAATGTCCCATTCCCTGGGCTTCTCTGATACCAAGCTCTTGGGATTCTTCTTTCATTTCTAGTGGTTCCTTCTCAGATTGGCTCAGTCCCCAGCCTCTCCTCTTCTGACTCATTCATTTAACCTACCAAGAAGGCAACCTCCCCAGTCCCAGGGCTGTTGGGCATCCCTACCCTTTGGGCATGCAGCACATCCATTTTTCTGACACTGGAGGGCAAGTGTGCCTTTTCTTTCTGCCTCCCGCTAGACAGTAAGCTCTTTTAGAATGGCAACTATTAATATGTTTCATCTCTGTACCTGCCCTCCCACTCATAGCATCTGCAGAGCTTGGTATATGGGGTAGACACGAAGACTTCCCGTTGAAGAAGTAAATGACTGAGACCTGAGTGACCACAGTACTTCTATCAATTTTATATTAATGACCACAGAGTCAGCTCAGTGATTGATTAGTATCAGGCTTTGGAGTCAGACATCGGGGGTGCCCAATACCAAGCAGTCCGGTAACCAGAAGCATGACCTTGCACAAGTAAATCTCCAAGAGCCTCAGTTTCCTCATTGTCAAATGGAGATAATTATGGTACCTGCTTCTTAAGATTATGATAATTAAACGTGAAAAATACATGTAAAGTCTTCAGAGACAAACCTAGCACATAGCAGGTAGCAGTACTTAATGTTAGCAATAAATAATAGCAAATAAAGTCAATATTTAATATTATTGTTACGTTAGCATCAGGTACATGCCTTCGACAATGTATTGATCAGAGTAAGAGCACTACTAGGTTTCCATGCTGATCACCAGGAAGACAACCAAAAACTGCTGTCTTCCTACCACCGCTTGGAAACATGCGTCCATTTGCTCATTAAACGTTTTACTTCCTTCCTGTGCCAGAGCTCTGCCTTAGGCTCTGTCCTGAAATTTATTTGGCACCTGCAAAGGCCCAGTGATAACTCTTGGCAACCGAATCAAAATGCCACAACTTCACAATTCCACTGGCTCACTCCAAACGTGAAATAGAAATTGAGCACCTGGAACCTATCTAGAGCCTGCTTTTGGGCCCTGGTGTTTGATAACTGCGCCCCACCCACTGACTCTCAACCTCTGCAGCGCCCCGGGCTCTAGCCCTAAGCGCCCCTCGGCCAGCCGCTGGCACATCTCTTACACCAGGGGAGGCGCGCGCGCGCGCACACATACACACACACACACGCACACACACACACACACACACCAGCCTTCCTTGCCCACCTGCTGCCCAGAGGCCGACGACGCATGCACCAGCAAGGACAAGCCCAGTCTTTTCAAGCGACACCTGTCGCCTGGCCTTTTCCGTGCCGGAGGGCGCGAGTCTCACGCTGTCTTTTAAATGCGTCACCCAAATCCCCACCCCTATCTGTACCAGGCGTTCCGCACTCCTCCCAGTGGTTTGCATGTGCACTGGTGCTTTCCTTTTAGGACTTAGGGGAACTCCAGCGGTAATAACCACACACACTTCCTCTTAATCAGTGGCCTGGCAAACCCACTCGGGGATTTCCATGACCCAAAAGCATGACTCTTAACCGTGGCATATCTTCGCGGCATTTACTGAAAGACATTTGCTTCATTGCTCGTGGGTCAGAGGAAATCTTGATAACAACCCATATAGAGAGGACGATCATTGCTTAGCCTGCCTGGAAAAGGTCAATATGCCCTGTTCTCCACCCTCCATCCGCCATACACTTTACACGTAAAAAGGTTAGGTTTTTCAATCTTCTACTATAGCTGCAGAAGTCCAGCATTTAAAAAAAAAAAAATCGAAACTTTGTGAAATATTTCTATTTATTTTTACTTTTTGTTCTGATCAAGAAAGTAAGAGGTGAAAGGAAATGTAGGGGTATGTGAAAAAAATCATGCAGTTCTCCTTTGCAGTTTATTTTACCATTTTAAAGATTGAAATGGCTTGGTAAATTTTCTGTATGGAAATACTTTTGTTTGGTTTGGTGAGTTGTTTTTTTTTTTTTTTTAATAAGTAGGGTGGAGTTGGCTACTTAAAAAAATCCCTCCTTTATAGCCTTTGATCTCACAGGGCAGGTTTCTGAGTTGCAGTGCCATTCTCAGGGAAACCTGACATCTTTGAGTCTAATTGCACTGCCATATTTCCCTCAACGTTCTCTAAGCAGTAAATTTAAGCAACTTTATCTGAGAGCCATCCGTACCAGGGTAACAGATGGATTTGGAGAGCTCATCTGATTTTCTATCTTCCAGTAGATCAAAGACAATTACCAACCAGAGACAGAGCCCATAAAGATTATTGGAGACTTCATCGTTCTGTGGAAACAGCATCCAGTGCATTCTGCACGCAATTGGACTGAGCTGAGGCATCCTCTTGTTTAGGTGGACTTGGCTGTCCATAGCAGCTGAAGTTCCAGTTGGAATTATTTCAGAAAGACTAAGTGTATTTATCATATGGAGATTTTAATCCACATTTGAGTCTGCTTCAATCAAGACTTTCTAAGCCATTTTCAACTCACTCCTGAGATTATTGAAAATAATTTGCAGGCCTTACACATTTTTGATTATGTACTCACCAGAAGAATTTTGAAAAGCTCTGCATTCCCTTGCCCATTTTTAACTTAACATTAAAACATAAAGCTCTTGTACATGTCAAGAATCTACAAAATGTAAACATAGATATTTTCAGAAAAAATTGATAGAGCACTCTTTTAAATGTATTTGATGGATCCTAATACCATAGTAATTTGACATACATGATCATCCATGAAGCAATTATCAGGTCATCTTTAATAACTGAAAATATTTTATCATTGCCTTTTGTCATTGAACATTCCAATTCCCCTACAGAATGTTAATACATGTTTGTACTGAACATCTTTTATCATCTCTCTGTCACATATCTCTGAAACAAATACATATTAGAACTTGAAATCTATTTTTTTCTCTGGGATCATAAGGATCTAAGTGTTAAAAAAAAAAAAAATTCCTCTTTGACCAGGCATGGTGGCTCACGCCTATAATACCAGCACTTTGGGAGGCGAAGGTGGGTGGATCATCTGAGGTCAGGAGTTCAAGACCAGTCTGGCCAACATGGTGAAACCGGTCTCTCCCAAAAATACAAAAATGAGCCAAGTGTGGTGGTGCACGCCTGTAGTCCCAGCTACTTGGGAGGCTGAGGCACAAGAATCACTTGAACCTGGGAGGCAGAGGTTGCAATGAGTCAAGACAGTGCCACTGCACTCCAGCCCTGGAACAGAGTGAGACTGCATCTCAAAAAAAAAAAAAAAAAATCCTCTTTGATTACATTATCATTGATATTGTTTTCATTACTTTTAAAGCATAATTGGTCAATACAATATAAAAATATCGTAAATGTTAATAACTGCATTACAAATACAATTTAAGGGGGTGGCAGCTTGTATTTTAAGCAAGTTTTTCAAGTGTGCAGTCATGAATATTACCTATAGCTATAATATGTTAGGGTTCAGCACAGATTCTGTTCCTTTTTTCATTTCTACAGACATAAATGTTGTAAACCTTATTTCACAGAAGTAAGTAGATAAGTAGATAGGCCCAGAAGAAACATTATTATGGCAATTTTTTCACAATTTAAAAAATATGTTTTATATTCCAAAAATCATTTAGTGATCTCTAATCAAAATATGTAATTACTTATCAGTAGACAACTCAATTTTGTTGAAATTGGTGGTTTAGAAACCACTGAACTTTTGGTATCCAGATACAGTTGACAGAGTTAGCAAATTAAAACAGAGAACACCTAGTTAAATTTTGGTTTAATATAAACAATGAATGCATTTCCAGTATAAGAATGTATTGTGCAATATTTGGCACCTAGCTATACTAATAAGTTATTCATTAGTTATCTGAAATTTAGATTCAGTTTGGTGTTCTGTATTTTACCTGGCAACCCTATATCCAGATATTAGAGTCATTCATTTTCTCAACACTAATACAGATCGATTATTTCAAATCATCCAGGAGGTTTCTACACCCAGAGAAATATACGATTTTAAAACTCATGATAGGTGAGAGGTGAGCCTGTCTTTTAAGGGAAGACAGAGAACCATTGTGAAAAGGGAGATGAGAAGACAGAACAACCCTGGCAACCTTCACAGTTCTTGTTTTCAAGCAGATCAGTTTTGGGAGAAGCTACATATGGAAGTTGAGAGTGAGACTATTAATTCCTTAAAACTATTTGAGCTCCCACCTCCCTGTTGGTAAGTCTTTGTAAACACCCAGGGGCACACTTACCCCAGTTTAAAAACTATGGCTGGCCAGGCACATTGGCTCACACCTGTAATCCCAGCACTTTGGGAGGCTGAGGTGTGTGGATCACCGGAGGTCAGGAGTTCGAGACCAGCCTGGTCAACATGGCAAAACCCCATTTCTACTAAAAATACAAAGATAAGCGGGTCATGGTGGCAGGTGCCTGTAATCCCAGCTACTTGGGAGGCTGAGGCAGGAGAATTGCTTGAACCCGGGGAGGCAGAGGTTACAGTGAGCTGAGATCTCGCTACTGCACTCCAGCCTGGGAGAGAGAGCAAGAATCCATTGCCAAAAAAGTAAATAAATAAAAATAAATAAAGACCATGGCTTAAGAAATCCCTGAATTGACTGAGTCTCGCGTTTTTCAAACTGGTCATGAGAGCTAGGGTCAGGCCTAGTAGGTTGGAAGCAAATTAACATGTCTGCTTTGCAACATTTTGCACAATTAAAAAAAAAATGGTTTCCCTAGATAAATGTGTATGGGCAAGCACTGTATATATTTGTTCACTGCATTATTCTAGTACTAGTAGAGTGTCTGCTCAAAGGTGCTCAGTAAACCTTTGTTTACTGACTAACAAAAATAGAGCCAATCTATCCAAACTATCCACTTGGGCTTTCTCTATTCTAAACCTGCATCCACATCTTTAATGGTGTAACCTACCTTGCATTTTCTTTCTAACTCTTTGTATATCTCACATACTTTATTAAAAAAACTCCTCTTTTCCTTTCAACATCCAGCTGTTATCCTTGTGCAGGGGGCATGCTAATCTTCTTGGTAGGGTTCCAATTTTAGTATATGTGCTGCCAAAGCAAGCACAGCCTAAATATATTTTCTCTCCAAATACTCTTATTTTCTTCCAAGCCAGTGAATTCCAAGCTCCAAATACTCTTTTCACGACAGAAATACACAAGGAAACCTTTGAGGAAAGTGAAAGCTAGACACAAACTGTATAGCCATTACTATCTTCAGTTTTCTAGGTTTGTTTGTGGTTTTTTTGTTGTTGTTTTCTCATTTTTATTTTTTTGAGACAGAGCCTTGTTCTCAGGCTGAAATGTCACCCAGGCTGAAATGCGGTGGCACAATCTCAGCTCACTATAACCTCAACCTACTGGGCTCAATCAATCCTCCCATCTCAGCCTCCTGAGTAGTTCTGACTACAGTCACGGGCTACCATGCTTGGCTAATTTTTGTATTTTTTATAGAGACAGAGCCTTGCGATGTTGCCCTGGCTGGCCTCTTGGGCTCAAGTCATCTATCTGCCTTGACCTCCCAAAGTGCTGGGATTATAGACATGAGCCACCACACTTGGCCTCTTGGTTTTCCAGTTTTTTTCTACTGTCAGTGTATGAGCAAGGTATGAATGACAGAGTTTTTCATCCCATTCCTGGCTCAGAACTCTGACAATTCCTGAGAGCGGTATGCTCTCAATATCCTATTATCAAATAATCAATTTAAAAGTATTTTTCCCTTGGGGGAATTATTATTAAAAATATTTTTTCTCTGGAGGGAATTTCGCATAATGTTGTAACAACTTTAGTTGTAGCCTAATGCTTTTTCACTGTAAGTTTTTAGATTTTTATGTATAAAGAAACCCAGGAATCTAGAACTGAAAGTGAAAGTGAAATCTTACAGGGAACATACTGTTCTAATTCCAAAGCAAATCTGAGAGTCCTTGTAAATGTTGACAATTTCCTGGTCTGTTGATAACTTTCTAACATCTTGCAAATAAAATACAATTACACCAGCCTTGAATAAGTGCTAACGAAGATCAAATTTACAAAGAAACCTCCTCTAATGTAAAGCTTTAGTCAAGATAATGAAGTTTACCCCTCATAAATGGTGGCTTACTTTATTTTATACTGATAGTACTCTAATAAAATATAATTTATATCATGTAAAGTACACAGATATTAAAAGCGTATAGCTTTATGATTTTGACAAATGAATGTACTCAGTTAACTATCAACCAGATCAAGATCAAGAACACCTTCCATTACCTCAGAAAATTCTTTCATGCTCTTTTGCAGTCAGTACCAAGCTATAATGCCCCCACCACCCCTCCCCCTCCCACAATCACTATTATGATTTATCACCCTAGATCTCATTTGTTTGTCCTTGAACTTCATACAAATGAAATCATATGATGTGTACTCATACTGGCTTCCTTCACTCAACATATTTCTTAGTTTCATCAATATTGTAACATGTATCAGTAATTTGTTCTTTTTATTGCATAGTAGTATTCCACTGTATAAATATACCATAGTTTCTTTTATTTTGAGACTGAGTTTTGCTCTTGTTGGCTAGGCTGAAGTGCAGTGGCGAGATCTCAGCTCACTGCAACTTCCACCTCCCGGGTTCAAGCGATTCTCCTGCCTCAGCCTCTTGAGTTGCTGGGATTACAGGTGTGCACCACCACGCCCAGCTAATTTTTTGTATTTTTAATAGAGATGGGGTTTCATCATGTTGGCCAGGCTAGTCTTGAACTCCTGACCCCAGGTGATCCACCTGCCTTGGCCTCCCAAAGTGCAGGGATTACAGGCATGAGCCACCGCGCCTGGCCTACCATAGTTTCTTTTTCTGTTTTCCTGCTAATGTACATTTGTGTTGTTGCCTGGTTCAATCCCTTGTGAAAAGAACTTATAAACTTTTTTTTTTTGAGACAGAGTCTCACTTTTTTGCCCAAGGTAGAGTGCAGTGGTGCCATCTCAGCTCACTGCAACCTCCACCTCCCAGGTTCAAGTGATTCTCGTGCCTCAGCCTCCTCGGTAGCTGGGACTACAGGCTCGAGTCACCATGCCCAGCTAATTTTTTGTACTTTTAGTAGAGATGGGGTTTCACCATGTTGCCCAGGCTGGTCTTAAAGTCCTGAGCTCAGGTGACCTGCCCGCCTTGGCCTCCAAAAGTGCTAGGATTACAGGCATGAGCTACCATGCCCAGCCCAGAACCTATAAACATTTTAGATTTTTTTTTCTTTAATAATATAGATGAGGTCTCACTATGTTGTCCAGGCTGGTCTCAAACTTCTGAGCTCAAGCTCAAGTGATCCGCCCAACTCAGCCTCCCAAAGTACTAGGATTACAGGTGTGCCCAGCCATTGTGCCCAGCCCATTTTAGTTTTTCTTTTGGTGAACCTATGAATTCTTCCTGTTGGCTAAATACCTGGATACGGAATTGCCATTGGGTAGGTGTATGTTTTATTTTTATTAGAAATTGCCGAAAGTTTTACAAAGTCTTTGCACCATTTTACACTCTCACCAGCAGTGTATAAGAGTTCTAGTTGCTACACATCTTTCCCAAGGCTTAGTATTGTGAGCCTTTTTAAGTTTAGCTCTTCTTTTGGGTATGTGGTGGCATCCCATTATGCTTTTTTCTATCCCTGTTGATTAATGATGTTGACTATATTTCCATATGCTTCTCGACACTTTAGATATCATATTTTGTGAGGTGCCTGTTCAAATCTTCCTCCAATTTTTAAATTGAATTGATTGACTTCAGGGAATTCCTTATATACCCTGGGTTGAGTCCTGTCATTGACATGTGCACTGTGAACAGTTTCTCCCCATTTGTAGCTTGTCTTTACGCTTCATTAATAGTTTCTTTTGATAAGTAGAATATTTTAATTCCATGAAGTCCAACTTATAATATTTTTAAGTTCAGTGTGTTTTATATCATGTTTAAGAACGCTTTGCCTATCCCAAGATTATGAAGATTTTCTTCTATATTTTCTTTTAGAAGCTTTGTGATATTCACTTTTCTATTTAGGACTATTGAAATGTAAAAAGGGCTGGGCGCGGTGGTTCATGCCCGTAATCCCAGCACTTTGGGAGCCCAAGGCAGGTGGATCACGAGGTCAGGAGTTGGAGACCAGCCTGGCCAATATGGTGAAACCCCGTCTCTACTAAAAATACAAAAATTAGCCAGACGTGGTGGCGTGCGCCTGTAGTCCCAGCTACTCGGGAGGCTGAGGCAGAAGAATCGCTTGAACCCGGGAGGTGGAGGTTGCAGTGAGCTGAGATCGCCCCACTACACCCCAGCCTGGGTGACAGAGCGAGATTCCGTCTCAAAAATAAATAAATACATAAATAAAATAAATGGAAAAAGTTCCCTTGTCCCCCTCGCAGGGCTTGCGACAGACGGAATGGCTCACTTCTTCAGTGCCCTGCTGCTCAAACCTCTAGGGGGCGCATGCAGACGGGCAGGCTGTGGGGCTCTGACACCACTGCAGTGTCTAGGGGTGAATGTTCAAGCTGAAGGCCCAGTGGGCGTGTGTTACAGGGTGCTCTTTTAGTTTAGCCATCCATAGGCGGCTTACGTTAGCTCAATTAGACCCCTGGCTTATCGCAAAGACAGAGGGCTTTCTGTATCTCAGGGTTCTTGCTTTGGTGTTCCAGAAGAATAGGATTACACGTGGGTTTGGAGAATGAGTGCAAGGGTTTATTGACTGGAAATAGCTCTCAGCAGATGGGGGAGCCAGAAGAAAAATGGTTTTCCTGTGGAGTCGGGCAGCTCGGCGGACCTGGGCTCTCCTTTGACTGTCCCAGACAAACTTCGTGTTGTTCAGCGGTCAATGGCCTGCCTGCCTGCTGGTGTGCTCCTACGCCGTTGAGTTCCCCTTGATGTCCAGCCACCTGTGTGCCTGCCTGCTAGGGTCTTGGGCAAACATTGGAAAACAACACAAGATCATTCAAGTCAGTGTCTTCTACTTCTTTCCGCAATTCCGTAAACTGGCACCGATCCATAGCATTTGCATGCATATGTTGCGCAACTTTCATAACTGTATCCACTACGCTTTCCATGAGCCTGATTCAGAACACTGAGCACAAATGTTTTCAGTATGTATTTATGATGAAAGAAAGAAAGGGACACATCAATCTTTTGTTTTAAAATTTCCTAAATTCATATCTAGCTGAAACTCTTCTTTGACAATATTAAAGGTTCAAATATTTCTATACCATGAGTTTGACCTTTTAGTTTTACATGTTGGCAACATTTCATAAATTTGGAAGTTCTTTGAGATGAAACATATCCAAAATATTAATTGGGCATGACTTATCTAAAGGTAAAGTACTTGCAATTTTTCAAAATTTTAATCAATTATCTTTGATATTCTTAAAAGGGGCTTGTAGGCTATGGGCAACTGTTTGGTGGCATAATTTAAAATATTTTACTTTTTGTGAAATATCATTTTTACTGTTTTCCTAATAATTTTCTAACTAAATTTCCATAACTACAATAATAATGTATTTTACCATGTCACCATGGGTTTTTTTTGTATGCCAGAATCCAAGCCATTTAATCACCACCTAAAGTTACAAGCCCAGATCCTGTTAAGCATAATTTAAAAAAAAATTGGGGGGCTGGCCATGGTGGCTCATGCCTGTAATCCCAGCACTTTGGGAGGCCAAGGCGGATGGATCACCTGAGGTCAGGAGATGGAGACCATCCTGGCCAACATGGTGGAAACCCCGTCTCTACTAAAAATACAAAAATTAGCCAGGCATGGTGGCGTACGCCTGTAATCCCAGCTACTCGGGAGGCTGAGGCAGGAGAATTGCTTGAACCCCGGAGGCGGAGATTGCAGTGAGCTGAGATCGTCCCACTGCACTCAAGCCTGGGCGACAGAGTGGGACTCCGTCTCAGGAGAAAAAAAAAAAAAAAATTGAAACAAGGGTATGTGAAGCGAAGTTGCACCAAGCCAGCAACTGCAGTTGCCGCTGTTCTAGCTTCAGTTTCGCGATGCTTCCCTTGGCCAAAAACACACTAAATCACTTTCTAGTTTGAAGCATTTAGCAATTAACAACAAAGCATAGCCACCAGAAACATACACCTGATTGCTATGACAAATACAGTAATGCTGTGTTAGCTAGTAGAGCTAATTTCTGTATCACTGTGTGGACATAACAGCAACATAAATTGGAAGATAATGGAACCTGCCCCCCTGTTGCTAGAATCTCACTCTAAATGAATGGAGAGATAAAAAATCATCCCAGCTGGTATAATACTGAATTGTTTCAAAACCAACTCAATTTATGCCAAGTAAAAGGACTGTGAACCCATTAAAATATGGCAGTATTGAAAAAATAAAGTACATTTGAAACCTTCAAAAATATTTTTTGTTAGAGATTTATTTCAGATTTCAGGTGACTAAATCTATTCTTTTCAATTATTTTTTGACTGTTGAAAGGAAACATCAAATTTGCTATGTAGTGTCTGAAAATATCTCTAATATTGTCTACTTTAATATCTTTTAAAAGTTTGTATACAACAAGCAAACAGCTTTTTTGTTTCGCTCTGCCACAACAAATTGCAATTTCCATTCATTGCAAAATTCAAGACATATCTTCTTCCAGTCTTTTTTTTTTTCTTTTCTGTTCTAGTTGTAGTACTGGTAGGCTCTGCATCACCATTTTATTCTACATCACTAGTATATCTTAGCTTTAAACTTAAATTTTTTCCCATACTTGCTTTTAAAATTAGAACAAAATATAATTCTGTTATAATATAAGCATTTTTACTTAATTACCAATTACAATGTATATAGGTATCAATTTAACTAGTGCAACCTGCATAAAACATTCAAATAATCATGTTACAATGTTACATGGGTGCATAGGAAAAATCACTTAAATAATTTTGTGGACACCAACTAGACTGGTAAGTGTTTATATGATATGACACATGTGTGCATAATGCACAGAACAATGTCACAATGACATTTTACATGATGCAACAGTAAAAGTGAAATGTAGCCCTATCAAACCAATGGAGTTGTATTAATGCAAAAATATCTTACATTGGTTCAATTTTAATTTAAATATAAATAAAAATTAAACTGAAATTAAAAATTTATTTTCTCAGTGGTGCTAGCCACATTTCAAGTGCTGAAACACCCATGTGGCTAGTAGCTATCATATTTAATACAACAGCTTTGTACCATACATGACTGGTCCTGGCTTGCTTTTGAATCCTGACTTTTATCTTCTCACTGTTTGCTGTGAATTGACTCTCGACCCTTCTGGTGGACGTTAGCTCAGACTCATTGACCCTCACTGTTCTCAATTAAATCAGACTATCGTGTTCTGGCTTCAGCTTTTTTGGTTCCTTCCTCTAGCAGCAGCTACTTGGTTAGTGCTTCTCCTAGACCAGCGTGACTCCTCTGCAAGGTTGGGGGAGTAGGATGGGGCAAACATTAGTAAGGAGGAAACAGAGGTCAAGATTAAGGAGGAGGCTATTACAAAGCAAATGGCAGTTCTAGGTAATTCTTTCTTGTCTTGGACAAAGACTTTCAAAAACATTGCAGAAGATATTACTTAAGCACAGACGTTATTATTTTTGAAAATCCCACAAGATAGTGGAAGAACTGAAAATGAGCCAATATTCTAATTTTCAAAAAGGAGAAGAAAGAAGATTCTGCAGACAATTTAGACTGAATGCATTTGATAACCATCTTAAGCAAGATCCTAGTATGAATTTGTCAGAGTGCCATGTGAACTTTTAGATAACGAAGTAGGGATTGCCAGGTGATAACTTGCATTCAAATGAAATAATTTGGGCCCGACACACCCACTTCCTGTTTTGATAAGCCGATGAGACTGGTGGTAAGGCTGCAGATGTTTGAATTTCATTAAAACACTTGGCAAGTCTCTCACAATATTTTTGTGGTAAAATAGACACAAACACGTTGAATGATAGTATCACATTGCATCTGATGTTCAATCCAACTTGATATTTGTTAAACAGATTCTTTTCTCCCTGCAGAAGATTTGGACAATGTCTCTGAAGACGTGATGCCTCAGGGCCTGATATCAAATCTCTCCTTAATGTTTAGTAATATGATTAAGAGTAGATTGGCTGAGGACACTGGGCATCATTTTTATAGGTAGCAGAAATCTGGGCTTCATAGCCAGTAAATTGGATAATAGTCTCAGAATTCAAGCAGATCCCAACAGTTGAGATTTGTGGTTTAAATGCATCTCATCAGGGCATCAAATAGCTCAAGAATAGAATTGCAGAGATGTGATTCATAGTATAATTTGTGTTTACCTGAAGTCATACCAGCTTGGGGTGGGGCAGGGTACGCGGAGTACAGAGTGCGTACAGTTCCATTACTGGCCATCTACCTCTTCCCACTCCCTCCCCCCACTCCTCCCCCCTTTCCCCAGGGCACACTGAGTGGCTCTCAGTGAACAGTTTGAGTTGGATTTGAAACAATTGTTTCAGCATTCAAACAATTCAGTATTATACCAGCTGGGATGATTACTAATTTCACCATTCATTTGGGGTGGGACTCAGCCAACAGGGGGCAGGTTCCATTCTCTTCCAACTTCTGTTGCTGTTTATGTCCACACAGTGATACAGAAATTAGCTCCAGTAGCTAATACAGCATTACAATGTTTGTCATGGCAATCGGGTGTATGTTTCTGGTCTCATCTGCCACTAGCACTGATCTGGCGTTGCTGCCTTGTAGTCTCTGCCCTGCCAGTGCCTGCAGGTTGTTGCTGTTGCTGCCACTTCTACCTGGGAAAGCTCCAGCAGATCCTCAGTCCCACTGCCACTTTATCACACTTAAGTTGTAAGAAGGAAGTGCTTAACTGATCCCACCACAGTTAAGAAGTGCTCAGTTTCCACTATGCAACGCGGAATGGTGATCTTCAAAGGAAAAAACTGATTTTTTGCTGAAGAAGCATTTCTACTCTAGAGGACAGAAATGGAAGTTGGAATTTGCAGCTGTCTGGCTGCTTTTCTAGTCCCCCTACATTGCCCCGAATATTGATAGTGGAGTGCCCTGGGGCTTTTCTCATTGCCATTTATACTCAGCATCTGAAGAAAATTATAAGCTGGATGCTTATAAATTTATGTCTTTAGTCCATATTTCTACACTGAGACTTATTTATTTTCCTTCTTAGTATTTGCTGGTACAGTATAGCTAGGTGTATTTCAGTGTAAACATCTGGCATCATAGTTATCTTTTATTCATCTAGAATTTGTACCCACTAGAAGATAAGTCTGATAAGAGCAAGGACTTTGTATCCTCAGAACATAAAATAGTGCCTGCCACTTAGTAGACACTTAATACATATTTAATGAAAAGTTTAGTTCAATGTGAAGAAATTCCTAACCACAGAAGTATTCACAAATGGAAAGGACTTTCCCCCAATGGCATTGAGTTTCTTATAACTGAATGTTACTTGCCAGGGATATTGAGCAGTACATGCAACTACCAACCAGAAGCAGGGAGGGAACTAAAAGAGATTCTATATTTTATTTGCATGAAATGTGACTATTATAGGATTAAAGGTAAAAATGTAGTTGAATTTTTCATAAGCATAACTGATTTCTCTCTCCATCCTCCAATTCTTTTTCTTCCCCATATGTGCTCTCTCTTTCTCCCCAACACACACACACACACACACACACACACACATACACACATACACACACACATATTTTTACATAACCTGGATGCTGCTACTTGGAGACCATCTTGCCCCTTGAGGTCTTGGTTGCCTTGGGCTCAAGTTGCATGACGTGGAATGCCCAAGATTTCTATGAATTACTGAAAATGTATGTGGTCCATAATCCCCTGCGCCTCAAGAATCTTCATCTATGCTATCGCTGACCAACCAGCACCAACATAGATGTGAAATGCAGCCTTTGCATAATTTTCCACCAGCCAAAGTACGTAGACTCTACAGAATCAGTGGGTTGATCATATCACTTACTGCCCACAATAACTTGCACATTTCTAGGAAGTCCTTTGTTGACTCTCTTCCTCCAGTGCTCCATCCAACTTCTTTCTTCTTCCTCTTCCCCCTCTCCCTTCTCACCTCCTCTACTGTCCCCTTTTGTCCCCCCTCCTCCTCTTTTATCCTCTTATCTTTTCCTCCCCTTCCCTTACCTCAACTCTCCTTTTCTCATCTTTCATTGAAGAACAGTAATTTTTTTTCCTCTGTAAAGCACTGTCCCAATCTACACCCAGGCTTTGGTATCCACCATTTATCAGACATTTACCTATCAAATGCCTCTGTTCCAAACAAAGATTATTCTTCACCCACAAACAACTGTGGTGCAAAGTATCAGTATGATTTTTTAATTGCCAATTGTTACATCAATAACACATTTTGACATCAGTACATATATGTCAGTCTTTACTCCTGTTTAATTGTTACTCTTTAGCCTGAATTAACACTAAGAAACCTAATACTGGAATTAATCCATATATGGTGATGTGGTTTAGATGTTTGTTGCCTCCAATCTCATGTTGAAATGTAATTCCCAATGTTGGAGGTGGAACCTAATGGGAGGTATTGGATCATGGGACAGATCCTTCATGAATGGCTTAGCACCATCTCCTTCATAATGAATAGGTTCTCACTCTGTCAGTCACCTGAGCTCTGGTTGTTTAAAAGAGCATGGAACTTCCTTCCACTCTCTCTTTCTCCTCTTCTCTCCATGTGACATGCTGGCTCCCATCACCTTCTGCCATGATTGTAAGCTTCTTGAGGCCTCATCAGAAGCAGATACCAGTGCCATGCTTCTGGTAAAGCCTGCAGGATTGTGAGCCAATTAAACCTTTTTTTCTTTATAAATTACCCAGCCTTGGGTATTTTTATATAGCAATGCAAGAATGGACTAACATAGAAAATTGGTACTGGGGAGGAAGGCATTGCTATAAAGATACCTGAAAATGTGAAATTGGCTTTGCAACTGAGTAACAAACAGAGGCTGAAAGAGTTTGGAGGGGTCAGAAGAAGACAGGAAGATGAGGGAAAGTTTGAATGGTTGTGACCAAAATGCTGATAGAAATATGGAAAGTGAGAGCAAAGCTGACAAGGTCTTAGATGGAAATGAGGAAGTTATTGGGAACTGGAGCAAAGGCCACCCTTGTTACACCCTAGCAAAAAAACTTGGCTGTATTGTGTCCATGCTCTAGGAAATTGCAGAAGTTTGAACTTAAGAATGATGATGTAGGGTATCTGGCAGAAGAAATTTCTAAGCAGCAAATTATTCAAGATGTAGCATGGGCCAGGCGCGGTGGCTCACGCCTGTAATCCCAGCACTTTGGGAGGCCAAGGCGGGTGGATCACGAGGTCAGGAGATCGAGACCATCCTGGCTAACACGGTGAAACCCCGTCTCTACTAAAACTACAAAAAATTAGCCAGGCGTGGTGGCGGGCGCCTGTAGTCCCAGCTACTCGGGAGGCTGAGGCAGGAGAATGGCATGAACCTGGGAGGCAGAGCTTGCAGTGAGCCAAGATAGCACCACTGCACTCTAGCCTGGGCAACAGAGCAAAACTCTGTCTAAAAAAAAAAAAAAAAAAAAGATGTAGCATGGCTGCTTCTAAGAGCCTATATCAGATGAAGGAGCAAAGAAATGACTTAAATAAGTTGGAACTTATATATAAAAGGGAAGCAGAGCATAAAAGTTTGGAAAATTTTCTGCCTGGCTCTGTGGTAGAGAAAGAATCCAAGCAGGCTGTGGACCAACCACTTGCTAAAGAGACTGGCATAACTAAAAGGGAGCCAGGTGCTAATATCCATGACAATGGGAAGAAGGACTTAAAGACATTTCAGAAATCTTTGAGGCAGCCCCTCTCATTACAGGTCAGAGGCCTAGGAGGAAAGAATTATTTCAGGGGCCAGGCACAGGGCATTGCTTCCCTGCTCAGTCTTAGGACCCCACTCTCTGCATCCTGGCCACTCCAGCTCCACCCATGGCTCACAGGGCCATAGGTACAGCTCAAGCTGCCACTTTGGAAAGTGCAAACCACTGTAAGCCTTGGCAGCTTCCACATGGTGTTAAGGCTGCAGGTGTACAAAATGCAAGAGTAAAGGAGGCTTGGCAACTCCCACCTAGATTCCAGAGGATATATGGAAAAGCCTAGATGCCCAGGCAGAAGCCTGCAGTAGGGACAGAGTCCCTACAGAGAAATGCTACTAGGGCAGTACTGAGAGGAAATGTGGGGTTTGAGACCCTACAGAGTCCCCAGCAGGACACTGCCTAGTGGAGCTGTAGGAAGAGGGCCACGAACCTCCAGACCTGAGAATGGTAAAGCCACAGCAGCTTGCAAGCTCAGCATGAAAAAGCCACAGGAACTTAACTCCAGCCCATTAGAGCAGCCACAAATTGCATTCTGTAAAGCCATAAGGGCAAAGCTGCCCAAGGCTTTGGGAACCCACATCTTGCACCAGTATGCCCAGGATACAGGACATGGAGGCAAGGGAAATTATTTTGGAATTTAAAGTTTAATGCCTACCCTGCTGGGTTTCAGACTTGCATGGGGCCAATTGCCTCTTTCTTTTGGCTGATTTCTCCCTTTTGGAATAGAGTGTCTACTCAATGCCTCTACCACCATTGTATCTTGGGTGTAAATAACTTGTTTTGACTTCACAGGTTTGTAGGTAAAAAGAACTCAACTTGAGACTCAGATGTGACTTTGGACTTTTGATTGAATTGATGCTGGAATGAGGTAAGGCTTTGGGGGACTGTTAGAAAGGATGAATGTATTTTATAATGTGAGAAGGACATGAGATTTGAGGGGCCAGAAGGGGAATGATATGGTTTGGGTGTTTGACTCCTCCTAATCTCATGTTGAAATGTAATCCTCAATCTTGGAGGTGGGGCCAAGTGGGAGATATTGGATCATGGGGGCAGATCTTTGATGAATGGCATCACCTTCATGATGAGTGGGTTCTCACTCTGTTAGTTCACCTGAGATCTGGTTATTTTTAAAAGGGCATGGCATTTCCTCCCTCTCTTTCTTGCTCTTGTTCTCTCCATGTGACATGCTGGATCCCGATTGCCTTCCAACATGATTGTAACCTTTCTGAGGCCTCACCAGAAGCAGATGCCAGCACTATGCTTCCTTAAAGCCTGCCAAACCATGAGACAATTAAATCTCTTTTCATTGTAAATCACCCAGCCTCGGGGATTTCTTTATAGCAATGTAAGAATAGACTAATGCATATGTTAAGTGAATTCTTATTTAGAATAGATTAAAAAAATTAGACATTAAAACCATCTGACTAAGACTTGTTTTCCAAGGTGGCTGAATAAGAAGAGCTCCGGTCTGCAGCTCCCAGCATGATCGATGCAGAAGATGGGTGATTTCTGCATTTCCAACTGAGGTACCTGGTTCATCTAATTGGGACTGGTTGGACAGTGGGTGCAGCCCACGGAGGGCGAGCCAAAGCAGGGTGGGGCATTGCCTCACCCGGGAAGCACGAGAGATTGGGGGATTTCCTTTCCCTAGCCAAGGGAAGCCAGGACAGAATGTACCTGGAAAAACAGGACACTCCCGCCCAAATACTGCACTTTTCCCAAGGTCTTAGCAACTGGCAGACAAGGAGATTCTCTCCTGTGCCTGGCTCAGTGGGTCTCATGCCCATGGAGCCTTGCTCACTGCTAGCACAGCAGACTGAGATCAAACAGTGAGGTGGCAGCCTGGCTGGGGGAGGGGCATCTGCCATTGCTGAGGCTTGAGTAGGTAAACAAACTAGCCAAGAAGCTCGAACTGGGTGGAGCCCACTGTAGATCAGCAAGGTCTACTGCCTCTATAGACTCCACATCTGTGGGCAGGGCATAGCTGAACAAAAGACAGCAGACAGCTTCTGCAGACTTAAATGTCCCTGTCTGACAGTTCTGAAGAGAGTGGTGATTCTCCTAGCATGGTGTTTGAGCTCTGAGAAAGCACAGACTACCTCCTCAAGTGGGTCCCTGTGTAGCCTAACTGGGAGGCACCTCCCAGTAGGGGACAATAGACACCTCATATAGGTGGGTGCCCCTCTGGGATGAAGCTTCCAGAGGAAGGATCAGGGAGCAACATTTGCTATTCTCCAATATTTGCTGTTCTGCAGCCTCCGCTGGTGATACCCAGGCAAACAGGGTGTGGAGTGGACCTCCAGCAAACTCCAACAGACCTGCAGCTGAGGGACCTGACTATTAGAAGGAAAACTAACACACAGAAAGGAATAGCACCAACATCAACAAAAAGGACATCTACACCAAAACCCCATCTGTAGATCACCAACATCAAAGACCAAAGGTAAAGGGATGGAGGAAGATCTACCATGCAAATGGAAAACAAAAAAAGCAGGGGTTGCAATCCTAGTCTCTGAAACAACAGACTTTAAAGCAACAAAGATCAAAAGAGACAAAGAAGGCCATTACATAATGGTAAAGGGATGAATTCAACAAGAAGAGCTAACTATCCTAAACATATATGCACCCAATACAGGAGCACCCAGATCCATAAAGCAAATCCTTAGAGACCTACAAAGAGACTTAGACTCCCCACACAATAATAATGGGAGACTTTAACACCCCACTGTCAACATTAGAAAGCTCCATGAGACAGAAAGTTAACAAGGATATCCAGGAAGTGAACTCAGCTCTGCACCAGGCAGACCTAATAGACATCAACAGGACTCTCCACCCCAGATCAACAGAATATACATTCTTCTCAGCACCACATCACACTTATTGAAAACTGACTGCGCAGTTGGAAGTAAAGCACTCCTCAGCAAATGTAAAAGAACAGAAATTATAAACTGTCTCTCAGACCACAGTGCAATCAAACTAGAACTCAGGATTAAGAAACTCACTCAAAACCACTCAAACTACATGGAAACTGAACAACCTGCTCCTGAATGACTACTGGGTACATAACAAAATGAAGGCAGAAATAAAGATGTTCTTTGAAACCAAAGAGAACAAAGACACAACATACCAGAATCTCTGGGACACATTTAAAGCAGTGTGTAGAGGGAAATTTATAGCACTAAATGCCCACAAGAGAAAGCAGGAAAGATCTAAAATTGACACCCTAACATCACAGTTAAAAGAACTAGAGAAGGAAGAGAAAACACATTCAAAAGCTAGCAGAAGGCAAGAAATAACTAAGATCAGAGCAGAACTGAAGGAGATAGAGACACAAAAAAACCTTCAAAAAAATCAATGAATCCAGGAGCTGGTTTTTTGAAAATATCAACAAAATTGATAGACCACTAGCAAGACTAATAAAGAAGAAAAGAGAGAAGAATCAAATAGATGCAATAAAAAATGATAAAGGGGATATCACCACCGATCCCACAGAAATACAAACTACCATCAGAGAATACTATAAACACTTCTACACGAATAAACTAGAAAATCTAGAAGAAATGGATAATACACCCTCCCAAGACTAAACCAGGAAGAACTGGAATCCCTGAATAGACCAATATCAGGCTCTGAAATTGAGGCAATAATTAATAGCCTACCAACCAAAAAAATCCAGGACCAGACGGATTCACAGCCGAATTCTACCAGAGGTACAAAGAGGAGCTGGTAGCACTCCTTCTGAAACCATTCCAATCAATAGAAAAAGAGGCAATCCTCCCTAACTCATTTTATGAGGCCAGCATCATCCTAATACCAAAGCCAGGCAGAGATACAACAAAAAAAGAGAATTGTAGACCAATATCCCTGATGATCATTGATCCAAAAATCCTCAATAAAATACTGGCAAACTGAATCCAGCAGCACATCAAAAAGCTCATCCACCACGATCAAGATAGCTTCATCCCTGGGATGCAAGACTGGTTCAACACATGCAAATCAATAAACATAATCCATCATATAAACAGAACCAATGACAAAAACCACGATTATCTGAATAGATGCAGAAAAGGCCTTCGACAAAATTCAACAGCCCTTCATGCTAAACACTCTCAATAAACTAGGTATTGATGGAACGTATCTCAAAATAATAAGAGCTATTTATGACAAACCCACAGCCAATATCATACTGAACGGGCAAAAACTGGCAGCATTCCCTTTGAAAACTGGCACAAGACAGGGATGCCCTCTCTCACCGCTCCTATTCAACATAGTGTTGAAAGTTCTGGCCAGGGCAATCAGGCAAGAGAAAGAAATAAAGGGTATTCAATTAGGAAAAGAGGAAGTCAAATTGTCCCTGTTTGCAGATGACATGACTGTATATTTTGAAAACCCCATCGTCTCAGCCCCAAATCTCCTTAAGCTGATAAGCAACTTCAGCAAAGTCTCAGGACACAAAATCAATGTGCAAAAATCACAAGCATTCCTATACACCAGTAACAGACAGAGAGCCAAATCATGAGTGAAGTCCCATTCACAATTGCTTCAAAGTGAATAAAATACCTAGGAATCCAACTTACAAGGCATGTGAAGGACCTCTTCAAGGAGAACTACAAACCACTGCTCAATGAAATAAAAGAGGATACAAACAAATGGAAGAACATTCCATGCTCATGGACAGAAAGAATCAATATCATGAAAATGGCCATGCTCCCCAAGGTAATTTATAGATTTAATGCCATCCCCATCAAGCTACCAATGACTTTCTTCACAGAATTGGAAAAAACTACTTTCAAGTTCATATGGAACCAAAAAAGAGCCCGCATTGCCAAGACAATCCTAAGCCAAAGAACAAAGCTGGAGGCCTCATGCTACCTGACTTCAAACTATACTACTAGGCTACAGTAACCAAAACAGAATGGTACTGGTACTAAAACAGAGATATAGACCAATGGAACAGAACAGAGTCCTCAGAAATAATACCACACATCTACAACCATCTGATCTTTGACAAACCTGACAAAAACAAGAAATGGGGAAAGGATTCCCTATTTAATAAGTGGTGTTGGGAAAACTGGCTAGCCATAAGTAGAAAGCTGAAACTGGATCCCTTCCTTACACCTTATACAAAAATCAATTCAAGATGGATTAAAGACTTAAATGTTAGACCTAAAACCATAAAAACCCTAGAAGAAAACCGAGGCAATACCATTCAGGACATAGGCATGGGCAAGGACTTCATGACTAAAACACCAAAAGCAATGGCAACAAAAGCCAAAATAGACAAATGGGATCTAATTAAACTAAAGAGCTTCTGCATAGCAAAAGAAACCATCAGAGTGAACAGGCAACCTACAGAATGGGAGAAAATTTTTGCAATCTATTCATCTGACAAAGGGCTAATATCCAGAATCTACAAAGAACCCAAACAAATTTACAAGAAAAAAACAAACAACCCCATCAAAAAGTGGGCAAAGGATATGAACAGACACTTCTCAAAAGAAGATATTTATGCAGCCAACAGACACATGAAAAAATGCTCACCATCACTGGTCATCAGAGAAATGCAAATCAAAACCACAGTGAGATACCATCTCATACCAGTTAGAATGGCAATCATTAAAAAGTCAGGAAACAACAGATGCTGGAGAGGATGTGGAGAAATAGGAACGCTTTTACACTGTTGGGAGTGTAAATTAGTTCAACCATTGTGGAAGACAGTGTGGTGATTCCTCAAGGATCTAGAACTAGAATACCATTTGGACCAGTGATCCCATTACTAGGTATATACTGAAAGGATTATAAATCATGCTACTATAAAGACACATGTATATGTATGTTTATTGCGGCGCTATTCACAATAGCAAAGAATTGGAACCAACCCAAATGTCCAACAATGATAGACTGGATTAAGAAAATGTGGCACATATACATCGTGGAATACTATGCAGCCATAAAAAAGGATGAGTTTCTGTCCTTTGCAGGGACATGGATGAAGCTGGAAACCATCATTCTCAGCAAACTATCACAAAGACAGAAAACCAAACACCACATGTTCTCACTTGTAGATGGGAATTGAACAATGAGAATACTTGGACACAGGTCAGGGAACATCACACACCAGGGCCTGTCGGGGGACTGGGGGGTGGGGGAGGAATAGCATTAGGAGAAATACCTAATGTAAATGACGAGTTGATGGGTGCAGCAAACCAACATGGCACACATATACCTATAATAAAGTATAATAATAATTTTTTAAAAAGCATCTGACTATTTTAACTTTTTGGGTAAATGGGAATTAAGTGACTTACTATTCTTTTTTCTTTTTCTTTTTTTTTTTTTTTTGGAGACAGAGTTATGCTCTTGTTGCCCAGGCTGGAGTGCAGTGACGTGATCTCACTCACTGCAACCTCCATCTCCCAGGTTCAAGCAATTCTCCTGCCTCAGCCTCCCAAGTAGCTGGGATTACATTCGCATGCCACCACGCCCGGCTACTTTTTGTATTTTTAGTAGAGATGGGGTTTCGCCATGTTGGCCAGGCTGCTCTTGAACTCCTGACCTCAGGTGATCCATCTGCCTTGGCCTCCCAAAGTGCTGGGATTACAGGCGTGAGCCACCGCACCCGGCCACTATTCTTATAGATAGGAATGAATTTATTTCCCTCCTCCTCTGTGAGAGCTATCTTTTTGAAAAAAGTAGTTTATTGTCTTTACTGGTTATAAAAATAACACATACACCATCATAAAATTAGAAAATATGGACAATTAGGATAATGAGTATGATAGCTAATAGTTTTTTAGTATGTGTGATGTGTTCAGTGCTCTTCTAAATGCTTTACATATGTAAATATGTTAAATTCCTCATATTAGCCATGAGGTAGGAAATATTATTGCCACCATTTTGCTGATGATGAAACTGAGAGGTACGGAGGGGCTAAGTTTTTTTTTCAGGGTCACACAACCAGATAATAAGGATCACAAATAATCACACTGTCTAGAGACAATCATCATTTCAGTGAATATGTTCCGTGCTTTTCTTTATCATATCTTTATTTAAATGAGATATTAAATGACAATTCGTAACCTGCATTTTTTTTAGTCTGTCTTATTTATTTGTTACTCAAAAAATCTTATTTTTGACTAGATTCAGACTTGGAAGTAGAAACTCACAGAGAGGACAGTCTGCGTCTCTTGGCAATCTGTTCTTGATGCTTCTCTTTAGCCTCCTTCATTCTCTTGGCCAAAAGTTTAGCATATTCTGCAGCTACTTCCTTATTTTCCTTAATTCTCTGTTTCTTCAGAGCAATATGCCACCATTCGTGCTGCAGAACATGTGGAGTAACAAGATACTTAGTCGTGGGTGCTTTGGTCCTAGGTTTCTTACCTTCTTTGTTTAAAGCCTTTCTTACAACACACTGGTGGACATCATCATCTTCAGAGAGACTGAAAAGTTTGCAGATTCTGCTAGCTCTTTTGGGCCCGAGATGACAAGGCACCATAGTATCAGTCAGTCCAGGAATATCCTTCTCTCCTTTTTTTACAATAACCAAGTTGAGAATGCTCAGATTGGCATCCACAATGCAACCACGTGCAGATTTTTGCTTTCTTTTTCCAGTTCTTCTTGGTCTGTAACAGGCATGCCTTTTATTCAGCAGCAGGTGGACATGGCCATGGGTCAAGACACCCTGATTCATAGGGAAACCTTGTTTGTCGTTCCCACTGTTGATTCAGACCACATAACCCTTCCATTCTTTACCCAGAGCATCAGCAGCAACTTCTGTGGCCATACACTTCTCATAAA
This sequence comes from Homo sapiens, assembly GCF_000001405.40. Taxonomy (NCBI): domain Eukaryota; kingdom Metazoa; phylum Chordata; class Mammalia; order Primates; family Hominidae; genus Homo; species Homo sapiens. The sequence continues at coordinate 102,295,135 of NC_000011.10, read as the reverse complement.
AAGTATGAAGTTTGTGTTCATTGTCCACTTCAATGAGTTTCTGGCAGGCAGTGGCCAGGAAGATGTTCAGCTTCATCTTGAAGCAGCTGATCGCCTTCGAGCCACCATGAAAAAGAGCTGTAGCCTGCATTTTTAACTTAATAATATTGCATCAGCTGGACATGGTAGCACATGCCTATAGTCTCAGCTACTCAGGAGGCTGAGGCGGGAGGATTGCTTGAGCCCAGGAGTTTGAGACCAGCCTAGGCAATATAGTGAGACCCTATCACTGAAAAATTTTTATAATTATCAGGGCATGGTGGAGCATGCTGTAGTCCCAGCTACTCGGGAGGCTGAGGTGGGAGGATTGCTTGAGTCCAGGAGTTAAACGCTGTAGTTAGCTATGATCACACCAGTGTGCTCCAGCCTGGGCAACACAGCAAGATCACATCTCTATTTAAAATAATAACAACAATAATATTGCATGGATAGCTTTCCATGGCAATAAACACAATCTTCACCATCATTTTTATGGCCGCAGTGTTCCACTGTATGAAGTTATGTAACATAGCCATTATATAGTACTTTAAACAATGTTGAGATGAACATCTTATCCATTCATTTTTTGTTCACCCCTCTGATATTTTATCTTGGTACAAATTTCGAGAAGCATTGTCACTAAATCCAAGAGAATGCATCAGTTTATTTTGTATACTTGAATCTAGAGATAATTGTATTTTTTATGCATTCTTTTTATCACTTTTCTAGATTGAATATTAATAACAAAATGGATAATTAGGTGCCTTCCCATTAGAGAGGAAACAGATTGCTATATGTTATTGTTTCAAATCAAACTACTCTCAGTAAATTTGCCAAAAATAAACAGATGAATATATTTCCCCATGAGCTCGCTGGGCTTCTTACAGTTTGTCACACTGGAAACATGTAATGGTGTTGTTAGCACCTTCTAGTGGTGAGAAAGCAAAATCTGACAGTGAAGCCTAGATTTGTACGTGTTGTGTTAAAGTAAAAAATCCAAACAGGAACAGAAAACCAAACACCGCATGTTCTCACTCATAAGTGGGAGCTGAAAAATGAGAACACATGGACACAGGGAGGGGAACATCATACACCAGGGCCTGTCGGAGGGTGGAGGTCAAGGGGAGGGAGAGCATTAGGACAAATACCTAATGCATGCGGGGCTTAAAACCTAGATGACAGGTGCAGCAAACCACCATGGCACATGTATACCTATGTAACAAACCTGCACATTCTGCATATGTATCCTGGAACTTGAAGTAAAATTTAAAAAAATAAAATTAAAGAATACAAAAAAAAAGTAATCTATAGCTTCGTGGTATTTTTACTTTTACTTTTTACTTTTCTTTCGTTTTGTTAATATGACTGCAAAGACTAGGAAAGTCCAAAAAACAAACCAGATATTTTGATGTTAATATGAGCATAATTTCATCTTAAGTGTGAAACCATGTATTGTAGTTCAGCTCTAAAAGGTCAAGATATTTCAGGGAATGTTAGGTGTTTTTTTTAAAAAAGGTCAACTTTTCCCACCGTCTCAGACTTGTAAACACCTACGTAAACTGTAATTGTCTTTGTGGTTAATTACTTCTTTTTGTTTTTTTGGATACGGAGTCTCACTCTGTCACCCAGGCTGGAGTTCAGTGGCCGATCTCTGCTCACTGCAACATCCGCCTCCTGGGTTCAAGCAATTCTCCTGCCTCAGCCTCCCAAGTAACTGGGATTACAGGTGCCCACCATGCCCAGTTAATGTTTGTGTTTTTAGTAGAGACGGGGTTTCGCCATGTTGGCCACTGGTCTCAAACTCCTGAACTCAGGTGATCCGCCCACCTTGGCCTCCCAAAGTGCTGGGATTACAGGCATGAGACACTGTGTCCTCCCAAAGTGCTGGGATTACAGGCTTGAGCCATCGTGCCCGGCCTGTGGTTAATTACTTTTTATTTAACTTCCAGCTCAGCATAATACCACTGACTCATATTTACATAGAAATGCTAACAGGATAGTATTGTGCTAGATCACATTCATCTGGCAACAAGAATAGAAGATGTGACATTGTACATTTAGTAACAAAAGAAAATGCGGCCCTATTAAGACTAGAAAGTACTGAAGAAGAATTATCCTCCTATTTTTTCCAATTGCATAGCCTGCACTGAACGGTACAGCGGATCTCTGTCCTCATCTTATGGTGAGAAAATTTAAAACGCCACTATGAAGATTATCTGTTTGACATGATTCAGAACTGTGAACATCATTCATTTGGCTCTTCCCTTATATGACAAGTCTTCCTAAGTTTTTCTTAGTTTCTAAGGACATTAAGAATGTCCTAAGAGTGTTTCATAGTTCTGAGACTTAGACCTAAGATTATAATAGAGTTATGACCAAGAGTATAAGATCAGTTGTAACTCCTTCTATCTGTGTCCTTCTGTTTCCAGAATATTCCTCCCCACCGGAAGCTTGGGTAGCCTCACTCACTGCTGTTGGCACCACACCTTCTGTAAGAATAACAAGGTGGTGTGCTGAGGAGGCAGTGAGATACCACAGGACACATGAGAAATTCATCCAGGTTGGGCTCAAAATAAGCCCTTCCTGGCCAGGCGTGGTGGCTCACACCTGTAATCCCAGCACTTTGGGAGGCCGAGGCAGGTGGATCACCTGAGGTCAGGAGTTTAAGACCAGCCTGGCCAACATGACGAAACCCCGTCTCTACTCAAAATACAAAAATTAGCCAGGTGTGGTGGGCACCTGTAATCCCAGCTACTTGGGAGACTGAGGCAGGAGAATCGCTTAAACCCAGGAGACGGAGGTTACAGTGAGCTGAGATCGTGCCACTGCGCTCCAGCCTGGGCGACACTGCGAGACTCCATCTCAAATTAAATTAAATTAAATTAAATTAAATTAAATTAAATTAAGTTAAATTAAAATTTTAAAAAAGCCCTTCCTAGCAGAGAAGATGGTAGCAGCATTTACTGGAGAAAATTGGACAATCTGCCCCTTCCTTTCTGAAAGCAGCTTTTTAGAGGGTGGACAGTTGTTGCTGCACAGAGGTTGCTCATCCTTATTACTGCTGCTGTGTACCTTTCTCTGTGTTCTGGAACTCTTCACTCAACAGTCTTTACCAGAGGCCCTATTCTAGGGGCTGCGGATGCCATGAACAAGACAGGCAAAGTCCTGTCCTTGGTAAGCAGACATTGTAGTTGGGGAGACAGTGCACAAGTGGATAGTGGATATGCTCCAAAAGAAAAGACAGTGGGATAGGAAGGAGACAGCAGTGATGATTCTAGAGAGATGCTCAGGAAAGCCCATCTGGGCTTTCTGTAAACCAGGAAGATTTCATATTTGAGCTGAGATCTGAAATAAGTGAGCCATGTGGGAAGGTCTAGGGGCAGAGAGAACAGCAAGTGTGGAGCCCTGGAGGGGACTGAGCCTAGTGCTCGTGAGGAACAGGAGCACTGCCAGGGTAGCCAGGGGGAGTGCAGGAGGTGGGTGGGCAGGTGGGCAAGAAAGGCCATCGCAATAATGAGGTGTTCTCCACGGCAAAGCAAATATTATAAGACAGTCTCTGAAAACATGCTGATGGCCAAAAATTTGGATAATCAGTAATAAAATAAATGATAAGTGCCACACTGTAACTAAACTGCAATGAAATTTCCCTCTAAATGCATCTGGAATTTAGCTTCCCCAAACCAAGGCATTTTCTGGAAAATGTTATTAATTCACTCAAGTATGTTTTCAGCACATAGAATATGCTTAGCACCTACTAATGGATGGACATATAGTGTGTGGAGTTCATAGTATAGCAAGAAAGAAGCACGGCAAAGTTCAAATAAATCTGGATTTGTGAATCATGGTGAGTGTCATGGAGAAAGATATCAGGGGGATGGGAGCGAAGATAACAGGAGAGGTTGGGAGGAACATGCCTTGAACAGATTGCCAGCCTCCTGTCTGGGGAAGTTGCATCTGAGCTGAGACCTGAACATGAGAGGTGCGGTGGGAAGACAAGCCAGCTTCCAGAGAGTGGGAACATGTGTCGAGGCCTGCACTGAGCTAGCGGCTGGAGTGGAGTGAATAAGGAGAGAGAAGCAATAGGAGGGGAGGGAGCTGGGCTTCTCAGCCTTGGCACTGCTGATATTTTGGGCTGGACGATTATTTGTCGAGGGCTGTCCCGTGCATTGTAGGATGTTAAGCAGCATCCCTGGCCTGTATCGCTAGATGCCAGTAACACCTTCCTTTGCTCCATCCCAAGCTGTGACTACCAAAAAAGGCCCCAGACATTGCCAAATGTCCCCCGGGGGGCAAGAGAAGCACTGGGTTAGAGGCTCAGGCAAGGCCAGGACAAGCAGAGCCTTGAAGGCCATGATAAGGCACTTTATTCTGAGTCTGATGGTGTTATAGAGGAAAGTTATGCTCCCCAAAATTCATATGTTGAAGGCCTAACCACCACTGTGATGGTATCAGGAGGTGGGGCCTTTGGGAGGTGATTAGGTCTTGAGGGTAGAGCCCTCATGAATGGGAATTAGTGGCCTTATAAGAAAATACAGGAGAGAGTTTGCTTCCTCTCTCCCTGCTTTCTGCCATGTGAGGATACAAATCAGATAGATATCTGTAAACCAGGAAGCTGGCCCTCACCAAGTTCCACACCTGCCAGTGCCTCCATCTTGGACTTCCTGGCCTGCAAAGCTGTGAGAAACAGGTGTTTGTTGTTTAAGCCACTGAGCCTATGGCAATTTGTTAGAGCAGCCTGATGTGACTAAGACAAATGGAAAGCCATGGAAAATTCCAAGTAAGGGAAATACGTGATCCCAATTACACCATAGGTAATTGAACCATGTATTATTATCTTTGAAAGTTCTCTTTCAAGAGTATTGAACCATCAGGGTCACTACTATTTTGACTAGAACCTGTCAGTTCCAGTTTACCTTCAGCTTGTGTCTCCCTGCATCCAAATCTTGTGTTAGGTTCACTCCCTGGAGTAACTTCTGCTGGTTCAGACAACCACCACCACTGACGTTGTTTTAAGCAGGCCACTGGGGAAGAGCATGGACTGAAACACACTTTGCCTATCTGAAACGTGGGGATCTTATCCATCTGAAAGAGCTGTTGCAAGAATAAATGAAAAAAGTGCCTGGCACAGCATCTGGACATACTGGCACTCTGTAAGTCTTAGAAGGAGGTAGAACAAAATACTGTGGCAGACACAGAGGTGTGCCCCTCAGATCTCTTTTCAAGAAAAAATTTTGCTGCTCAACTGCCAAGAATGCAGTGAGCTGGCAGCCTCTGCTGTTACTACCTCCAGAATCTGCCACTTTTTAGCTAAGGTCATGTTCTTCCTGGAGGGGAACCAGGGCCTGGATATTTCTGCAAAATGCAGGACTCCTCTAACAGGCACTATTGCTCCAGAGCTCTCTGTTGGGTGGGTGGAGACTCAGATCTGCAACGTTGTCTGAGCTTTTCCACCCAACACCGCCTCTCCAGTCTCTTTCATTTTTCGTGGCATTACTTCCCACTAAGCCTCTTGCACTAACTCTGTCTCAGATCTGCTTCCCGGAGGACCCAGCTGATGCATCTCTCTATTTACTTTGCCCCCTGCCTACAACTTTCTTCTTTTTCTGTGCTTCAGATTGCAGAGTTTTCAGGAAACTCTTACAACCTTCCTCCTCTGTGTTCCCACAAAATTTTGTTTATACCTTTATTATAGAGAAGGAGAAGGGAACAGTACTTATTGAACACCTGTTGTAGGCCAAGAGCTGTACTGAGGAAATTTTGTTTATATATCCACACTCACTCTTGAGTTTTCATACTAGCCTGGGAGGTAGAGTTTATCATTCTTATATTGTAGATGAAAACTCAGAGTTGCAGTGGTCTGTATTGCAGAACAATATTTCATTTCAGTCTGATAAAGGACGCTGCTATTTATTTTCATTAGACTACTAAGCATTTAATGTACTTGATTGTACTTTATCTGATTGCATGTCTACTTTTGGGGAGTGGAAATGCCTTATTTGTTTTTATAAACAATGACCGAACCCGGTTCTATGTAATATACATGTAGTGAATGCTTACTGAATGAGTGAATGAATTATGGCTAGATTGGACTTGGACTTACTCTTCTTCTATGTGAAAAGGTGCATTTTGAATAATTGCTAAAATGCATGATAATGAGACTACCACAGGCCCGGATATAGCAGAGCTGCCCAGTTGCTGTTAAATGCTGGGATTAGATAAAATCAAAACCGCAGGATTCTATAGAGGCAGTAATGGGATTTGCAACTAGAATGTTTCAGATTTTAAAAAACTGTCACTTATGATGAGGAAAACAAGGCCAGGTCAGCTGGGCCTGAGGCCAAATGGAGAAGGAGGTCAGGTTTAAGGATGAAAATGGCAGACCTAGTCGATTTGCAGAAAGCAAGGGATCCTTACAGCTTATCGGGGAGTGAAACGTAAATATTAGATGTAAGTCTAGGGAAGGACCTTCTGGGTCTGCTACAACAGATGGAGGTCGGGGGAGGTTGGGGGAGTAGGGGCATGGTAACTGCAGGGGCTGGATCATGGTGGGCGCAGGATGCAGGTGTTAAGTCCGCTGCAGGAAATTCTTGTTTTTTGGTTTTTGTTTTTTTCTGAATGAACACATAGCTCAGCATATTATCGTTATTTTTGGCTCCTAAGTTTGAGACATCTGAACTAAATCAATTGCTGACAGCTACACTCCCACTGCAGTGTTTCACGGCTTGCCCCCCATTTTGTTAGCCTGAAAATTTGGGGAGTTGCAATAGAATAGATAATATCTGAGATTATTTCCAAGGAGAAAATTTCATGATTCTCAACCCCCTCGAGGGCTGGTGGGGGATGAAGGAGCAGCCATAACGGGGCAGGATCAGGGGAGTTCAGACATACGTGGCTGACGTGATCCCGAAGAATAGCCACCACCTTCCCCTGGACTGTTGAGATGCCTGTGAAAATTTGCAACACAGATCCAAATAAACAGTGCCATCTAGTGGCAACTCTCTTGAACTCATCCATCCATTTATCCACCAGCCATCCATTTAATATTTGCAACATGTCTACTATGTGCCCGCTACTATTTAACAGTAACAAGAGAGATTCTGAAGTCTCTTCCCTAGTGAAACATTCTAACCAGGGACAGACAAGTCCCAAGCCCCATAGCGGTAGTGTAGACCTCATTAATTGACAGTTCAGATGTTTCAAACTTGGAGGCCAAAATTAAATATAATACACAAAGCTACTTGTTCCCTTTTTTAAGTGAAAATTATCTTTTAATGTAGAAAAGATGAATCCAGGAGTTCCAAAATTAGCCTGGGCAACATAGATTCCATTTCAAAGAAAGAGAAAAAAAGTAAACAGGGGCCGGGCGCGGTGGCTCACCCCTGTAATCCCAGCACTTTGGGAGGCCGAGGCGGGCGGATCACGAGGTCAGGAGATCGAGACCACGGTGAAACCCCGTCTCTACTAAAAATACAAAAAAAATTAGCCGGCTGCGGTGGCGGGCGCCTGTAGTCCCAGCTACTCGGGAGGCTGAGGCCAGAGAATGGTGTGAACCCGGGAGGCGGGGCTTGCAGTGAGCCGAGATCGCGCCACGGCACTCCAGCCTGGGTGACAGAACGAGACTCCGTCTCAAAAAAAAAAAAAAAAAAAAAAAGTAAACAGGAGGTTTTTAAACTCTTTTATTCTCATAGTCTGACTCCATTTTTGATGTTTGCTGACAGTTTTCAAGCCCCCCCTCCCCCTCCGCCAACTTCCTTCTCCTTGCCCCACCTCTGGGCGGGGTGATAAGAAATCCTGAGTGCTTCCTCCTTTGGCACTGAAAGTGAGTTCAAACCATGCAAGCCTTGGCCAAGTAAGAACCCTACCCTCTAATCACAAGTAAAAGCAGAGTCAGTCTCCTTTCCCTGCTCTCTCAAGCCATGCTTGGACCTGCTTGGGAGCCACCTGTTCTCCCCAGAAAGACTCCATCATGTGATTAATAAAATTAATAACTCCCCTTTTTTTTTTTTTTTGAGACAGAGTCTCGCCCTGTCGCCCAGGCTGGAGTGCAATGGCGCGATCTCGGCTCACTGCAACTTCTGCCTCCCGGGTTCAAGCACTTCTCCTGCCTCAGCCTCCCAAGTAGCTGGGATTACAGGTGCCCACCACCTTGCCCGGCTAATTTTTTATATTTTTAGTAGAGATGGGGTTTCACTATGTTGGCCAGGCTGGTCTCCAACACCTGACCTCAGGCGATCCACCGGCCTTGGCCTCCCAAAGTGCTGGGATTACAGGCATGAGCCACCATGTCCGGCCCATAATTGCTATTCTTACATACGATAATGGAGGTAGTCCTATCTGTTTGCATGCCATTTCCAAATTGTTTGTCTCACCCTTCATAAGGATCACGGCCAAAACTCTTATAACAAAAGACAGATTAGCAAGAGAAAAGCATAACAAATTTATTTAATCAAAGTATTTTGTGATGACACAGGAGCCTTCAGAAATGAAGACCCAAAGACCCAGAAAAAACTTTCTATTTTTATTCTTAGGTTTGATGAAGAATGGACAACCACGTAGAAATGTGATTGGATGAAAGTCAGAGACTGGGGAGCGAAACCCAGCAAGTCCTGTCCGTTCAGATTCTTCTTGGCCTCTCTGTGCAGCATTCTTTCCTCTCTGGTATGAGGCAGCACCCCTCCTGAATGAGGGTGTTCAAGGGAGAAGGGAGAGAGTAACCTTTCTAGATGTTATGGCTCACTTTGCAGGGAGAGGGATTCTAATTTCTATGACCCAAAGTTGGGAAGAGGAATTATGGTTCTATGACTCACTTCAGGGAAGGAAGGTGGATGGGAAACAGACAGGTGGGAGAAGGTCAGAGAAAGACTTTGCTTCTTTGTTTTGGGGAGTTTTTTGTTTGTTTTTGAGACAGGGTCTGGCTCTGTCTCCCAGGCTGGAGCTCAGTGGTGCGATGAGGGCTTACTGCAGCCTCAGCCTCTTGGGCTCAAGAGATCCTTCGAGAGCCTCAGCCTCCCAAGTAGCTGGGACTACAGGCATGTGCCACCCCATTCAGCTATTTTTAAAAATTTTTGTAGAGATGTGGTCTTCCTATGTTCCTCAGTCTGGTCTTGAACTCCTAGGCTCAAGCGATCCTTCTCCCTCGGCCTCCCAAAGTGCTGGGATTACAGGCGTGAGCCCCTGAGACTTTGCTCCTTAAACTGCCTCTGAGGCTTTCCAATCTCCTTTAGTTCAAACTACTCAGAATACAAAAATTAGCTGGGTGTGGTGGTGGGCACCTGTAACACCAGCTACTCGGGAGGCCAAGGCAGGAGAATCACTTGAACCTGGGAGGTGGACGTTGCAGTAAGCCGAGATCACACCACTGCACTTCAGCCTGGGCGACAGAGTGAGACTCCATCTCAAAAAAACAAACAAAAAAAATCAAAGTACTCAGGAGGCCAAAGTGCCATATTTGGGGTATTGTTTCCTGAGCCCCAAGAGATGCATTCTCAAGAACATTAGAAGGTGAAAAAGAACTCCCATTCCTCATCTCTCCCCATGCCAGAATTTTCTCAGATCGTCTTCCCCTCACTCCACTCTCCAAGATACCAGAACAAAATAGGTTGCCAAAATACAAACTGCCTTTAATTCCATTTTACTAAAAATACAACCAACAAATATCATATTAAACAATTTGAATAAGTCAAAATGCAGTGACAAATATTTTAAATACATATGTTCAGAAAAAAAATACCTTGTGTGGCTTTTTCTTCTTTAATTTACTTTTCTCTATTTGCAAATAGAGAAAGTGTCAACCCAATCCCCTTGGAATAGATTTTTTACTATAAAAACTGGCCATCTTAGCTTCCATTCTGTTTTGTCTTTCTTATAGTCTGGGCCCTAGATTTTTCAAGCCAAATAATAGATAGTAAAGGAACATGCAGAACTGAATAGAAATCCTAACGGCTGTGCCAGCTTCATTGGCATCTTTCTGGCTATTTAGCTCCATATTCCTGGAGTTCAGAACAGCCCAAGTCTTGCTATTTAAAGGTCCACTGACCCTCTTAGGAAGATTGGGTCCCGTTGGCAGTTTTTTTTTTTTTTTTTTTTTTTTTTTTTTTGAGACAGAGTCTTGCTCTGTTGCCCAGGCTGGAGTACAGTGATACAATCTTAGCTCATTGCAACCTCCGCCTCCTCGGTTTAAGCAATTCTCCTGCCTCAGCCTCCCAATTAGCTGGGACTATAGGCCTGCACCACCACGCCTGGCTAATTTTTGTATTTTTAGTAGAGATGCGATTTCACCATGTTGGCCAGGCTGGTCTCCAACTCCTGACCTCAAATGATCCGCCCGCCTTGGCCTCCCAAAGTGCTGGGATTACAGGCGTGAGCCACCACATCTAGTCCCCTACTGGCACATTTTAATGTGCTAATGTTTATCCATAAAATGAAAGGTTGCTTTAAAATCAGGTTTGTGCCATTAGTCAACGATTTCAAGATCAAAAAAATTAAATAGAAAACATATGAAAGTAGATATATCTGTTTACTATTCTTTGTGTGTTGGGTTTACTATCCTGTAACTTCAGTATTTTACAAATTAAGGCTCTCTGAGTTGCAGAAAATGACCTGTGCCAGCTTCAGCAAACCCCGAAGCACAAATTAATCAGAAGGATGTAGGTTTCCCTTGGAGTAAGCAGGAAGCAGAAACAGGAGGCTGCATCAAATAGCCTTAGGCCCCGTAACCCCCTATTTACATCTGTAGTTCAAAATTCCAGTCTCTTTTAAAAAAATTGATCTGATAGGCCAGGATGAGGATTCATCCATAGACCAATCACCTATGGCCTCTGGGCAGTCTGCTAGGAGTATCCCAGCTGCTGGCAGTTCCTAGAAAGGGAGGAATGACTCTGAGCAGGGCGTGCAACCCAAAATGCACCTGCCACATGCACTTTGACTCATTTTCCTAACATTCCTCCTCACGGTACAGATGAATGATGTTGCTTAAGTCCAACACCTACTTTTCTCCAAAGGTAATCCTCAGGCTTCACTCAGTTAATGGAACTAAATGCCTATGATATGTGCAAGAAGCTACATATAAACAAGTATAAAAAGGCAGAAAAAGGTATCCCCATTTCATGCTATAACTTCCAAAAAGAGTTTTGTGATTTACATGTAGTTTCATACTGATTTCTGAGTAAAAAAAGATCTATTTTCCTCATATGACAGACTATGCCAGCACTTTATACCCAGAATCTTTGATTATCATAATAACTCTATGTAGTACGCTGAATAGTATCCCACAGAAAGTCACGTCTACCTGGAATCGCAGCATGTGACTGTGTTTGGAAATAGGGTTATTGCAGATGCGATTAAGGTAAGAATGGAGAGATCATACTGGAGGGGGGTGGGCCTCAACTCCAAGGAAATTGTCACTATAAGAGACAGAAGAACACACAGAGACACAGAGAAGATGAGGCAGATTGGAGTGAAGGGCCTATGAGCTAAGGAAGGTCAAGGACTGCCAGAAACCCCTAGAGACCCAGAGAGGCCTGGAGTGGTTTCTCTCTCAGAGCCTCTGGCAAGGAAGCAACCAAGCTGATTCCTTGATTTTGGATTTCTGGCCTCCTAAACTGTGAGAGAATAAATTTCTATTATTTTAAACTACGCAATTTGTAGTAATTTGCCATGGCAGCCCTGGAAATCTAATACAATCCACAAGGTAGATATCATTAAGTAATTTGCCCAAGTTAGGCAGCTACTATGTCAGTGCCTACTAGTCATCTACCTATTAATAGCCACCCTTTCCTTTTTTCTTACCAACAGAGAAAAGTTTTATTTGGGTTGGCAATATGCTCACCCTAATTACTACATTTTTCAGCCTACTCATAGTCACTGAGAGAGAAGCAGAAGTCACTGGGAAGACTAAATAGAGGAAACTGAGTTTTTTCTCCCACCCCAACACAGACATCATGACTGAGCTCCCATAGTCAGGAAAAAACTTGAGAATGGAAACCATATTCTATTTTTTTTTCATACAAGGTCTCACTGTCATCCAGGCTGGAGTGCAGTGGCATGATCACAGCTCACTGCAGCTTTGACCACCTGGGCTCAGGCAATCCCCCACCTGAGCCTTCCGAGTACCTAGGACTACAGGCTTGCGTCATCACTACTGGCTACTTTTTTTCTTTTTTTTTTTTTTGAGACGGAGTTTCACTCTTGAGCAATGGCGCGATCTCGGCTCACTGCAACCTCCGCCTCCCAGGTTCAAACGGTTATTCTGCCTCAGCCTCCCAAGTAGCTGGGATTACAGGTGCCCGTCACCAAGCCCAGCTAATTTTTCATATTTTCAGTAGAGACAGGTTTTCACCATGTTGGCCAGGCTGGTCTCGAACTCCTGACCTCAGGTGATCCACCTGCCTCAGCCTCCCAAAGTGCTGGGATTACAGGTGTGAGCCAATGTGCCCGGCCTAATTTTCTTTTTAATTTTGTAGAGATGGGGTCTTGCTATGTTGTCCAGGCTGGTCCTGAACTCCCAGGCTCAAGCAATCCTCTAGCCTCAGCCTCCCACTGCTGGGATTACAGGCGTGAGCCACCATGCCTGGCCATTGGAAACCATATACTAAGGGGTGTGGAACAAGCTTGGGTCCCTGATGACTGTGGAGTTGCTCTATCAATGCTGGACCTCTTTATCACAAAAGAATAATAAGAATAAACATTTTCCTTGTTTATATCACCGATATCTGGGTGAAATCTACTCCAAATTGCAACAGTTACTAAAGGCTGGGATTAGAATCTGAACCCAAACACATATGATGTTAAAGTCTCACATTCATTCCATTACCTTGCCAGCTTCCCTGACCATGGAAGCAGGTCTGCAACAAGCCCTGGCTCAGCCACTAACACACACAACAAACAAGTACCGACTACAATATATAGGAGTCATATGCTCTTCTAGGTTCCAGCATACAACAGTAAACAAAGACAAAAATCCCTGGGATTTAATTAATATTCTAATAAGGAATGATATACAATTTTTTAAAAATATGTAAAATGTAGGCTGTGTTAATGATAAATACTATAAAGCTAAATAATGCAGAAAATGTAGATAGGGAATGCTAGGAAGAAGGGTTTCAGGATTTGTTGATTTGTTTTTATTGTTTTTGTTTTGTTTTGTTTTTGAGATGGAGTCTTGCTCTGTTGTCCAGTCTGGAGTGCAGTGGTGCGATCTCGGCTAACCACAACTTCCACCTCCCAGGTTCAAGCAATTCTCCTGCCTCAGCCTCCTGAGTAGCTGGGACTACAGGCGTGAGCCATCATGCCCAGCTAATTTTTGTGTTTGTATCAGAGATGTAGTTTCACTATGTTGGCCAGGCTAGTCTCGAACTCCTGACCTCATGATCCACCCTCCTTGGCCTCCCAAAGTGCTGGGATTATAGGCGTGAGCCACTGCACACGGCCTTGCTAATTTTCTGTATTTTTAGTGGAGACGGGATTTTGCCATGTTGGCCAGGCTGGTCTTGAACTTCTGACCTCAGGTGATCCACACACCTCGGCCTCCCAAAGTACTGGGATTACAGGTGTGAGCCACCACACCCAGCCCCTGAAATTTGAATTGAAGACAATTTTTAACATGTCATGAAATGTTATCCTTTTGATTTTTTTTTTTTGCAGCCATTTAAAAATGTATCTTAACATTCTAGTCAAAAACAAAAACAAAAACAAAAACAAAACAGGCAGTAGACTGGATTTGACCTGCAGGCTGTACTCTGCTAACCCCTGCTTTAGACAGATGTACATTTATTCAATTTTTTTCTTAACTTGGTACATTTTTTTAAATGCATGCTAATGATGAACTTCTTAAAGTTACAGTGCTGGTATCTTGACCCACCAAAAAAAAGTGGTTGCAAATCATAGATCCAAAATGTATTTGAGGCAGAAGATTGTTCAGAACAAAAATCACTGAAAAGATACATTTTTAGACATAGCTCCTTTACAATTACTTCTTGATAGACAATGGAATTTAACTCTGCACTTACATTCTAATTCTACTTTGACAACGGAACCATTGGAAAAATGTTGGCGTATATTTCTCCAGTTTTGGTTTTATATTTTCTTTATAACTTAAAAAATCTAATTATCATTCTTTTTTGAGAAGGCACTCAATAAATGCTTTTTGAATGAATGATCCAGTCTGTTAAAACTGAAACATTTGCATTCACCCTGGCTTAGGCAAAATTGTAATGAAAGTTATCTTGAACATGCACAGTCTGCGTTTTTCTCTCTATACGGTATGTCTTCTATTAATGTTGTTTTTAAACAACCTTTTCCCTTTCCTTCTCTTGCTGAGATCTCAATACCCTTGCGATCCCTTCCACTTTTTATTAAAACCTGTGCTTAGGGTGAATAAGAGCGTTACTCTTAGAATATTGTAAATAACTTCTAGCAGCAAACTGTTTTACTACACTGTTGGGCTCATTTGCATTTTAATAGAATGAATGAAGCTTTGCATCTGGCATGTTAATACTCAGGGAGCCAACAGGTGGGGAAAACATTTCTTCCAGGAACCTCAGGTAAACTTCTGCTTCAGAAATCATGTCCCATAAGAAGTCACCTCCTTCACCTATGAGGAAAGACAACCACGCTGTCACTGGGCGGAATGGTCACAGCTGGCCTGTGGTGGAATCATGCATTGTAACAGGCAAAGGCTCCAATCAAGCCTGTCCTCTACCCTAGATCTGGGGCTGATAGCATTCTGCAAGAACAGCCACAAAATAAGAACAGGAATCATCTGCACTTTGGAAACACCAACACACTGAGACCTGTTTTGGAAAAAAACAGTGTCTGAAATGGAAAGCTTAGGGGAGACACTTCAAACTCAAAGAACTCCCTGCTGAGATTTTAAAGCCCCACCACATAAAGAAAAAACCTTGACGTGTTTGACTAGCAATTGACAATTTATGTAAAATATCAACTTTCATATCACCAATATTTATATCGCCTAACTTTTATAAGGAACATAAAATATACACATGACTATTCGACCTGCCAAGAAATGATAGCTTGGTATACTGTCATTGGCCTTGGATCATCGCTTGAATTGAGCAACATAATTCAGAGCACAGAGTCTCCGACTCACGGGGAATATAAAATTCTTATCCAAGGACAATGTAACCCGCTTGCAAATATAATAGCGCACGTGCAATTCATCGCGTCTCTCTTTCCCCTTTTGTTCATTTGCTCTCCACTAGAGGATGTGATCTCTGAAACTTTGCTCTTTATGCCGATGGTTTGCAGGGGACTGAGTGAGAATGGGAGCTGAAAGAGAAACAAGACCTTCGAGTTCTCACATTACATTATACTTTCCAACCGTTTGAAGTTAGTGTAACCCTTTGCTAAGTACTTGGCAAACTTTAAACTATACATCTGTGAAGCTGGGTTTTTTTTTCCTTCACATTACCTTTCACCTACTTTAAAATAAACCACTCATTGTTCAAGAGGGAAAAATCAAATTTGTTTTTCCAAAGTAATCTATAATGGAGTAAAACATTGTTAGAAGGTTTGCAATTAACTAATTTACTGTGCAATAAATCTCAGAGGGAATGTAAATTAATGAGGAAATCACTTTTTACCTTCAATATTTAGGCTTCTATTTTCTTTATTAACAAAACATAAGCTTTTTTAAATTGGAAAAGTATATGAAGTTGATTTTTAAAATGTTTACACCATGGAGAAACATAAAATTAAAGTGAAAAAGTAATAGCTCATTTTCTTGTATATCTGGGTTTGTTTGGGTATTAAAATAATGAAAGCAAACACATGGAAATAAGAAATTTGTTTGCAAATGTATTAGATTTAACTTTAGTTTTAACTCTATTTCCCCAGATTTTATCACTTAGAGATGACAAAAACTATTTTAAATCAGTTTAGAAAGTGTAAAGAGGAGGCCTACTGTGTTCCAGGCATGATGTTAGGTATCAGAGGTGATATGAAGATGGAATGACCTGGAATCCTTAACTCTGTAATAGACATTTGTATAAAATAAAATGGAAACTTCATACCTTGGCTGGTAAGGGCTTTAATGATCTTCTTTGCCTGGTTCCCACTGCTTTATCATACACACCTTGTCCTACAGCCATACAAAATTATTTTTAATTCTCCAAATATGCCAAACCTTCCCAAGCCTTTATGCCTTTGCAAATACAGTTGTCTCTTGGTATCCATCGGGGTTTCAGGACCCTCTGCAGATACCAAAATCCAAGGATGCTCAAGTCCCTGATATAAAATGGTGTAATATTTGCATATAACCTACATACATCCTCTTGCATACTTTTGTTTGTTTGTTTTTGAGACAGGGTCTCACTCTGTCACGCAGGCTGGAGTGCAGTGGCATGATCTCAGCTCACTGCAACCTCTGCTCCTGGGTTCAAGTGATTCTCGTGCCTCAGCCTCCCAAGTAGCTGTGACTGCAGGTGTGCATCACCACGACTGCTTGCCTCAGCCTCCCAAAGTGCTGAGATTACAGGCGTGAGCCACCATGCCTGGCCTCTCTTGTATACTTTAAACCATTTCTAGATTACTTATAATACATACTACAATTTAAATACTATGTAAATTGCTGCTATACTATTGTTTAAAAAATAATAAAAAGAAAGGCCAGGCGCAGTGGCTCACGCCAGTAAACCCAGCACTTTCGGAGGCCAAGGCAGGTGAATCACTTGAGGTCAGGAGTTCGAGACCAGCCTGGCCAACATGGTGAAACCCCGTCTCTACTAGAAATACAAAAATTAGCCAGGCATGGTAGCACATACCTATAATCCCACCTACTCGGGAAGCTGAGGCAGGAGAATTGCTTGAACCCAGGAGGCAAACTGCACTCCAGCCTGGGCAACAGACCAAGACTCTGTCAAAAAAAAAAAAAAGAATGAGAAAAAAGTCTGTACATGTTCAGTACAGATATGATTTTTTTTCCAAATATTTTCCATATGCAAGTGGTTGAATCCACAGATGCATAACTCATGGATGTGGAGAGCTGACTACTCATCTCTCTACTTGTAAGGCCTTTCCCTTGGAATACTCCATGAAGCTCTGGTCATCCTTCACAAGTCAACTCAAATCACCACCACCTCTTTAATGACTGCGGGTCCCTTAGGTAAGTAAAAGTCCTTGGATCTGCCGCACTCAAGACACGCCTATCCTTTTTTTTTGTTTTGTTTTTGTTTTTGAGGTGGAGTCTCGCTCTGTCGCCCAGGCTGGAGTACAGTGGCGCGATCTCGGCTCACTGCAAGCTCCGCCTCCCGGGTTCACGCCATTCTCCTGCCTCAGCCTCCTGAGTAGCTGGGACCACAGGTGCCCGCCACCATGCCCGGCTAATTTTTTGTATTTTTAGTAGAGACGGGGTTTCACCGTGTTAGCCAGGATTGTCTCGATCTCCTGACCTCGTGATCCGCCCGCCTCGGCCTCCCAAAGTGCTGGGATTACAGGCATAAGCCACTGCGCCCGGCCACGCCCATCTACCATATTTCTCACAATGGTTTCTTTTTCTTTTTTTTCTTTTTCTTTTTCTTTTTTTTTTTTTTTTTAGACAGTCTCACTCTGTCAGCCAGGCTGGAGTGTAGTGGTGTGATCTTGGCTCACTGCAACCTCCACTTCCCAGGTTCAAGCGATTCTCCTGCCTCAGCCTCCAGAGTAGCTGAGATTACAGGCACCCACCACCATGCCCTGCTAACTTTTTATATTTTTAGTAGACACAGGGTTTCGCCATGTTGGCCAGGCTGGTCTTGAACTCCTGACCTCAGGTGATCCACCTGCCTCAACCTCCCAAAGTGCCAGGATTACAGGTGTGAGCCACCATGCGCAGCCCTCACAATGGTTTCTAATTAGCGATTTCTTTTTCTGTCTATGGTGAGCTCCTTGAGAGCAGGCGGTGGGAATTTGTCTCCTTGATATTCCCATTGATTATCCGTCGCACCTAGCACATGGTGGGCAATATTGACAGTGCTGTGGAAGCAGTGGGGAATGAGTGACTTCCTCTTTCTGGCTGTAGGGAAAGACTTCCCAGAGAAGCTGACACATGGCTTTGATCAGGAATTTCTCAGGAAATACCAAGTAAAGAAAACACAATGTGCCGAAGTATGTGAGTCGGTGTGGAAGCAAATGAGGCTCTAAAAGTGGGTTGTGACAGGACGGAGAGGTCATGCCTGACAAGTTCCAGAGTTTGGCAGCAGCATGATGGACACATTGGAAGGTGATGTGATTAGACATAGGGAGAACTGTTAGGAGACTATTCTCATAGTCTAGGTAAGAATAGATCACAGCCTATGTTAAGATCACAGCAATGGGAATGGAGAAAAACATTAAGATTAGAGAAGTGTTCAGGGCATAGAATTGAGAATTGATTTGATGTAGGGCTCTGGGATGCATTTTAAGCACTGAGTCATATGATGAGGCTTATACTTTAGAAAAATCACTGGCAGCTGCTGCGTGGAGAGCAGATGAGATTAGGGGTGCAGGCAGAGGAGGAGGCCATGTAGAATACTACTCCCGCCAGCTCAATTTCAGCCATGTTGTGTGCTAAATAGACTTTGGGGGAACCAGCCAGTTGACTGGACTTTTACTTATTACATCGTTTCCATGGAAAAAGTGATTTGAGTCTTAAACTGATTTTCAACCACGTTTTTGGAACATAGCCCATTTGTAGTTTGGAACTGGCTGTGCTGAGGGATGTGGTATGGTGAGCCAGGGCTTAAAGCAATGTGGGTGCCAGTCTCAGTTAACTTCACAATAAGGACAAACAAGTGATGTTGTGTATCTGAAGAAATTACCACTTTGCTGCATCAAATACAATTTGTACTTTTCCACTCCTATTAAGTGATTACTACCAATTTGCTAGTTAGTAGCAACAGAGATCAACTTTCACAATGTTTTCCTTGCCTGCCAATAAGTCCACAAGCTATCCATTTCTCGTAAATAATAAAAAGTATATGATGACAGGAAACATTCATACATGCAACATTCCTACTGTGAGAACAAATGGCTGATGACATGGGAAATGAAAATCAGGTAGAAACAGGTAAAAGCAGAGGCAACTACTTGAAAGAAAAGTCTTCCATTGCCTTTAGGTTTAAAAAAGGAAAAAAATGTCATCAGTGCACAAAACAGTCTTAGGACAGGGAACTTTAATTATATACACTGCTTATAGTTTAAAACTTCAGTTTTCTCTGGAAGATAGATCTTGGCTCAATCATATGGCAATTAATAGGGATTTTTACATACTGCAAAATACCCTGTCCCACCACAAGATCAGTCCCCACAGAACCTGCTGGCCCCAAGGCTAATAACTAGGTTAAGTCACAATATAACCCAGATGGGGTCATGCCGGGTCTGATAAGGAAGGAAAGGAACTGATACAAAGAGGCTGCAGGTCCCAGCCAGCAAGTACTGGCAGTAGCCAGGAGACTATGCGTGGAATTAGACTAAGGAGAGTGAAACATGAAAGGATAAGGGAAAGGATAGTGGATAAGGGAAAGTTAGAGTTTATCAACTCAGAGCAGAATATAGCATTTAATACCTGGAAAAGACCCCCAGAAGTGTTGCAGACAGGCTGCTAGGATGGGTCCTAGAAGCAGGGAAAAGTGAAAGCCCACACTAAGTGAGGTGGACATGCTGGAAAGCAGAAGGTATTAAAAGGCTCAGAGAGGCCTGGTCCAGTGGCTCATACCTGTAATTCCAGCACTTTGGGAGGCAGAAGCGGGCAGATCACTGGAGGCTAGGAGTTTGAGACCAGCCTGGCCAAGATGGTGAAACCCCATCTCTACCAAAAATACAAAAATTAGCCAGGTATGGTGGTGCACACCTGTAGTTCCAGCTACTCGGGAGGCTGAGGCATGAGAATCACTTGAACCCAGGAGGCAGAGGCTGCAGTGAGCCGAGATTGCACCACTGCACTCCAGCCTGGGTGACACAGCAAAACTCTGTCTCAAAAAAAAAAAAAAAAAAAAAAAAAGCTCAGAGAAATGAGCCTGCAAGTAATGATATAAGGCCAGAAAAAAAAAAAAAAAACCATCAGAGGACTATGTTCCATGGCAGGGCCTTTTACCCAATAAATATATCAATTTCCAAAGCAACAAAGAATGTGCTGATGAGAGTGGTGTCAGTATCGCTGCCATGGTTTGAATGTGTCCCCTCCAGAGTTCTAGTGTTGCCAATGTGGCAGTGTTAAGCAGTGAGGCCTTTAAGAGGTGATTAGGCCATGAGGGCTCCTCCCTCATGAATGGGATTAAGTCTCTAATGAAAGAGGCTTCACACAGCGTTACCTTAGGTTGCTCTTCAGTTCTGCCATGTGAGGTCACAGCGTTCTGCCCCTCTGGAGTGTGCAGCCTCACCAGACACCAAATCTGTTGGCAGCTTGATCTTGGACTTCCCAGCCTCCAGAACTGTGAGAAATAAATGTCTGTTTTTTATAAATTATCCAGTCTTAGGTATTTTTTTGTAGCAGCACAAATGGATTAAGACAATCACCAACAAGATCAGTAGTGGCTTTTCTCTCTAGGCCAGGGCTGCTATCAGGAGGCATCATTACAGAATAGAGGTGATTAACAGCCACAGGGTTTTAGGACCCTAAAGCAGAGGCCAAGTGGAAGAGCTTAGCTATTAAAAGGTGGGTATATGCAATTACAATAATGAATGGCATCATCAGAGGGGCAGCCAGGGAAGATTGACCCAAACAGTTATGGAGATAATTAACAGAACTCAGCCTCCACACAGGCAGCCAACAAGGGGGAACTCAAGCTATACAATCCAAAGAAATCAAAGATGGATAAACAGGAGGCTGACAGCAGTTAGCTCAATAAAAAGTCAAAATGCTTTTCCAAGTTTCTGAACTTTTTTTTTCCTGAGATGGAGTCTCGCTCTGTTTCCCAGGCTGGAGTGCAGTGGTATGATCTTGACTCACTGCAACCTCCGCCTCCCAGGTTCAAGTGATTCTCCTGCCTCAGACCCCTGAGTAGCTGGGATTACAGGTGTGTGCCACCACACCTGGCTAATTTTTGTATTTTTAGGAGAGACAGGGTTTCACCATGTTGGCCAGGCTGGTCTTGAACTCCTGACCTCAGGTCATCCACCCTCCTCAGCCTCCCAAAGTGCTGGGATTAGAGGCGTGAGCCACCATGCCCGGCTCCATTTCTGAACCTTGAGCCAGTTTTTCAACTTTGGAACCCACTGACTAAAAGAGAGGGTATGTCTCCAAGAGGAAGGACCCTGAAACACCATGGCAAGTATATATGGTAAAGATTCTCCCAGCCCAAGAGACCAGTGGCCATGTACTCAAATAGCTGCACACTGGAGAAGGGGCATTTCAAGAACCACTGGATGCCAATCTGATTTGAAATTGATACTCAAAGACTCAAAGCAATATCATGAGTCTCCTTGTAGAGTGAAGCATATGACAATAAAATAATAAATGGAGTTTAACTTAATTAATAAATGGAATGGCTCTGCATTCCAGTGGACATTCCAATGTCCATTTCCCTACTCCCTAAATGTGTTACTAGAATAGACATATTCAGCAGAAACCCACACTGAGTCCTTAGCCAGGGAGGTAAGAACTATCCACTAATGTGGTAGCCTAGGAGAAGCTCCTGAAACTACCCTTCCCTCCTCCCTAGTTAAGATACTAAGCCAAAAACAGTATCTCATACACAAAGAAATGGCATACATTCATGACACTGTTTATGGAAGATGGAAATGAATGCTATGCAGAAGAATAAATCAGGGAAGAGTGACAGACAGTACTTGTAGGAAGAGAGTTGCCATTTAAAACACAGCAAACAGGGCTGGGCTTTGTGGCTCACACCTGTAACCCCAGCACTTTGAGAGGCCGAGGTGGGCAGATCACAAGAGGTCAGGAGTTCGAGACCAGCCTGGCCAACATAGTGAAACCCCGTCTCTACTAAAAATACAAAAATTAGCCAGGTGTAGTGGCATGTGCCTGTAGTCCCAGCTACTCAGGAAGCTGAGGCAGGAGAATCACTTGAACCTGGGAGGCAGAGGTTGCAGTAAGCCAAGATCACACCACTGCCCTCCAGCTTCAGCGACAGAGTGAGACTCCATGTCAAAAAAATAAAAAAATTAAAATAAATTTTAAAAAATACAGCAGACAGGAAGGACTCACAGAGAAGATGACATTTGAGCAAATACTTGAATGTGAGGGCTGGACGTAAAATAAAGAACTTCAAGATCGACTCCAAGGTTTTTGGCTTCAGAATCTAGGAAAGATGGCATTATCATTACTGAAATGTAAAGAAGAGAGGACAAGGCTTTGTAGAGCAGCTAGATATACAAGTCTGTAGTTCAAAGGGGAGTTTTAGGCTGAAGATAAAAGAGGAGATGTCAGCATATACTGGTAGGCGGGGTTTAAAGCCATGAGACTGGGTGATATCAGGAAGAGACTAAGTGTACAAGAGACAAGAGTACTGAACTTCGAGCCTTGGCGATAGGGGAAATGAGGCTGTAACCAAGGGAAAAGAGGATCAACAAGGAATTTTATAATGCTAGAAATAAGATGTCTGCGATGGAAATGTTCCTGTAAAGAGAGGAAATTTGATCATGCAGAAGAGAAAGTGGAAACTGATAGAGTGAAATCCTTAGGCATTTGAAGTGATGGGATCTAGAATACAAGGGGAGGTATTGATTTTAGGAGTGTGAACAGTGCATGCCTAAAAGCACAAGGAAAAGCAGAGCATTTGGGCAAAAAATGCAGGAAGGTGGGTACTCGCGGTATCAGGAGGATATGAACATTCTCTTCTGATTGCTTCTATTCGTTCAGTGAAATAGGAGGAAAGGTTATCAGCCAAGAGGGCAGAGATGTTTAGGCTTTATACTCCGTGGGATAGAGAACCACTGAAGTATTTTGAGCAGGGCTATAACGTGATCAGATATGGGTCTAATGATTTAGGACTCAAGGTAGTAAAGGGCGTGAGATAGTTAGAGCCATCCAGACAGGGGATGATGAAGTGCCTTAATAATGTCAGTGGAATGGAAAGACATGGTATGGAGGCTTTTAGGAGATTAAATTAATATATATAGTCAGGTTTCCTAAAATAGCCCCCCCACTCTTCATCTCCTTACCCTTATTTATTTTCTGTATAGCACTTACCAATATCTGACAATAAAATCTATACTTGTTTGTAGGTTGACTGTGTCCCTCACTAGAATGAGAGAGAATGTGAGTTGTGTTAGGGTGAAGACTTTGTCTGGTTCACCCTTCTATCCTTCCACATACAGAAACAGTGATTGGCACTTACTGGAGCCTTAATAAATACATATCGAAACAATGATTGGATGGAAGGGACAAGGTAGAGGTAAGACTCAAGGATAACTTCAGAGTTCTGGCTGGGGTCATTGGGGAAATGGTGGTTTGAAAACACCCAAATAGCTGGGATTACAGGCACTGGCCACCACACCAGGACTAAATATGCTAGTTTCATCATTACTGTGAAAGATAAGTCTGTAAGTCACTGATAAAGGAAAAGAGGATATATATCTAGACAAAAAAGATAGATGAAAGAAAAAAATTTGCTGGCGGCCAGGCGTGGTGGATCACGCCTATAATCCCAGCACTTTGGGAGGCCAAGGAGGGCGGATCACCTGAGGTCAGGAGTTTGAGACCAGCATGGCCAACATGGCGAAACCCTATCTCTACTAAAAATACAAAAATTAGCCACGTGTGTTGGCGGGTGCCTGTAATCCCAGCTACTCAGGAGGCTGAAGGAGGAGAATTGCTTGAACCCAGGAGGTGGAGCCAAGATCGCACAATTGCACTCCAGCCTGGGCGACAAGAGTGAAACTCCATCTCAAAAGAAGAAGAAAAAAATGCCAATTAATAGGCAAAATATATTTTTAAAATGAGAACCATCAGAGGTATTAAAAGTGGATTTATTTGGCAACAGAGTTTAGAATATACTGGTATTCAACACAGAATGTTAGGCCTCTTAAATCCCTTTTGAAACAAGATTGAAGATTAATAAAGGAAATAGTGATATCCGAAAAAGCCATTTAAAATGGACACAAAGGGGAAAACAAAATTTCATAGAAAAAAGTTTGGATTTCATTTTGAAAAACATAATGAAATTATAAAACAAGTATTATTTATAATTCCAATAAATCAAGTATTTACTGTTTTATCGACATCACTTTTCAGGTATTTTCCATCATGTTTGACTTGCCATTTTTATAAAAATGTAAATAGGCTTCACCAAGTTTTTTCAAAATGTCTCTATTAATCCTTTGCTAATCTAATCATTCTCTTTTGAAGCACTTAGGTTGTCATCATTCTTGTTTATTTTTTTTTTCTTCAGCTTTTAGGTAATCTCCCTAGCAAGACCCCTGTTTGTGCAAAGAACTTGCTCTCTCCATTATTACTTTCATCAGCTTGATGTAATCCTGTATATTTGACAAGATTTGCAGTTTCATTTAGAAATCAATTTGCAATGACAAAGAGACTGCTTGCCAGGCAAAGGTGTAGACCCAGAGGAGCGTTTGAGGATAATTCTTTATAGTTTCACGCTGTACCTTTAAATGTAGGGATTTGATATTGACTGCTCTGATGACCAGAACCCTCCTAGAGCTGGAAGGAAATTTCCAGCATGTTATCAAACTCTTGTTTTATAACTAAGCCTCAAAGAATGGAAGGAGCAATTCCAGATCACTGAACAAATTAGGAGCAACTCAGGGCAAAATTTCAGACCTACCTTCTGCCACACACAAAAAAGGAGTTGGTGCTGACAAGACTCACTCTTTTAGAACCTGCCCACCTGGAGGAACTCTGAGGAGGAGCCAATTAATTCATCCCCACACCAGCTCAGTCACCCATCCTATGCAATGATAGGACTAGACAGAGAGAACCTGAAGCCTGCACTGAGCACATCTGAGATTAAATCACTGTTCACTGGGTTTAAATAGGGATGACAGCACAGTTATTCGCTAACCCTGCAAACTGCTGTTTCAGAAGCAATGTTCAGGGGTGAATCATTAAAATAAGAACATAACCAACTCACATATCACCTAACAGGAAATGATGGGAGAGGAACAACCCAACTAACTTGTTTAGGCTTTTAATCCCCCAAACCAGCCTGCGAGCCTGAGCCTGAAGCCTCAGCCCTGCCCAGCTCCACCTGATTAAGTTCTGTCTCCAGAACATCTTTAAGGAGGGGCTGGTCTTAATGCAAGTCTGATAACACTTTTCATTGCCTCCTGGTTTCTTGATCCCAGAAGCTAGGCACGTGGAGGTGAGTGAGAAAGCAAGTTTACAAAGGGGCAGTTGATTAATGTAGGTATAAAAGTTTTCTTTTTCCAACTGAGTAATAAAATTTGGTTTGAAATCAAGCCTGGTTTATAGAGGGGATATTAAAACCCAACTCAATTCCAGTTATAGAGAAAGAACTAACCAATTCTAGTCATTTTCTAGAATTCAGAATTACATGGCCTGACCTAAAAAATTCCAAATACTTTATTTAGACCCTAGGGGAATTCTTTATGTGACCCTCAAATGAAGCTGCTAATAATGAGCTTAGGAGCTAAATTGTGCCTTGCATCGATGTGATCTCTACCCAGAGGAATCTTTCTAAAATCCAAATCACATCATAGTCTCTTGCTTAAGATACTTCCATGTTTCCTCTCTGCTTCAACATAAAAATCTGTAGCCACTAGAATTTATAATTTAGGAATTCTTTCATGATCTGGCCCCATGATCCAGCTTCACCTTTCCAGAGGGTCTGTACTACTTCCAGCTTCTCCCTGTCCTTGCTCTCATCCTACCTCTCTAACTAGCTGCAACGTGCTCTTCCTCCACAGCCCCCTCTACCTGTCCAACACCCAGCAATTCCACCCTCACAGCACTTCCCACTGCCCGTTTACCTGTTGGTCTTTTCCACTAGACAATAAGCTTCTTGAGGGTTATTTTGCCATTAAATCCCCAGTGACTGGAAACAAGTAGACCCTCGGTAGCTATTTGCTGAATCAGACTGAATTTGGAAAGAAAAAGGAAAGAAACGAGCACTAATGAATAAGTGTCAGTGCTTGGCACATAAACAATATAGATACGTCATTCTTTTAATCCTCAAACAGCTGTGAAATTTAACGATAATCAACCCCATTTTGTGAATAAGGAAATTGAATCTCGAGAGTCCAGTCACTTGAGCAAGGTGTATAGAGGAGGTAGGACAAAATTGTCGCTAAGTCGGGCAACGCCCTCTGCAGCAGCCGAGCGGCGCTGCCTCCTGATTGCCGGGGATGACTGGGGCTGCCGGAGCTCTCTGGGCAGAGATCCAAGCTCCGGGCCCAAGTACAGGCAGGTGTTCGTGCAGAGGCCCCACCCACCCTGGCTGGAGCCCCGCCCCACCCGCATGCCCCGCCTACTCAGCGCTGCCCCGGTGGAGAAAGCAGCGCGGCCGCAGGGCGTGCAGGATTGACAGGGCATGCCCTGGCATTCCGGAAATGCCGTGGAAAACAGCGAAACTTCAGCTCCAGGTGGCCTAGAGGCGTGGCAAACGAGAATGTGGGGGAGGTGTTCACTGCAGAAGGGTGGTCCCAAATCTGGGACCCACCGTTCCCTCCAGCCCCGCAGAAGTCAGTCAGGCCGTGGTGCTGGAAGCTTCTCAGACTTGCCTGTCATTAAAGTCCGAGGGTGGTTATAAACTCCAACTGTCACGGCAAGTTGTGTTTTTGGAGACTCTTCCAACTCCGCCAGGCTGTAAACAATGACTTTGCCTTAGAAGTTGCAGTTGAATAGGAAGAGCTTGGAAGAGCGCTTTGAGTTGAATTGCCAAGTCGGAGCTTTTGAAGCTTCTCCGAAGTTTGCTCGAATTGCAGCCCGAACTACATCTTTTCCACAAGGGCTGGACATATTTCAGGAATCTAGTATTTCCTTGGGGAATGTTTTCCTCCCCCTGCGCTGGAAGCTGCTCTCCATGTTTTCCCCCCCTTTCATTCCCATGGGTTGAAACTGACCCGCCCTGTGTGGAGGAAGTCCTCTGTAGGACTCTGGAGATCCGACCAGGACATCCACCTGGGCATTTTGGACCCCAACGCCTTGCTTCTGTATCTGATCTGCATTTGCCTTTCTGGACACCCTCTTCTGTGCTCCAAGACACCCTATACTTTTCTACCTTGACAGGGAACTTGACATTTTTAAACTTACCTATTTATTTGTCCGTCTCCCCTATTAGATTATGAATTCCTTAGGTCAGAGACATTCTTTCCTTATGTCAGTACCTGACACATTGAACCGTGGTTGTGGAGAGAATAAGTTCCCTCAGCCGTTATGAAGGGAAACCTCCCCAGCTTGTAAACTGTCTCCTTGACTTATGGAGGACTGTTCCAGAATGAGTCAGAGGGGAAGATCCACCCAGATAAGTCGGAGGCATTGGAAACAAGCCGGTAAAACTTTCTTCATTTGATCTTTTATACATTGGAGCTACTCACACAGATAGATTTTTGAAGCAAATAACTGCATTTTGCATCTACCATCCCTTTTCCCCCCACATTTAACCCACACTATGTAGATAAAATTTACTTGGGGAATTCTTGAACAGTTAAATTGTTTATATTCAATTAAGAGATTTTTATCTTTATTAATCCCCTCCTCCTCCACATATTTTCAGGCAAAATAATTATTGAGTAGTATAGGGACTTTGGGATCGTTATAATAATCAAAGAGGCCTGAGTATTCATTCAAAAAATGAAAATGAGATTTTTCATTTTTTGAAGGAAGGAATTCGTGCTTAACTCTGATGTTCATTTAGTTACTGATGATTTTTAAATTTTAACTTGTATATTCAAGTGAGTATTGTCTTTTCTTGTTATATGTTTATTTAACAATGCCATCATTTCTCAAAGCATTTTATTTTACTTACTTTAAGCCATAAGAAAAGCAAGGTGGGCATTGCTTGAGCCCAGGAGTTTGAGACCAGCCTGGGCAACAAAGTGAGATCCCCCGTCTCTCTCTCTCTCTCTTTTTTTTCTTAAATAAGAAGTTAAAAAAGGAAAAAAAAAAAAAAGAAACAAAAGCAAAGCATACTTGTGGTAGGACGCAGTGGCTCACACCCGTAATCCCAGCATTTTGGGAGGGCAAGGTGGAAGGATCCCTTGAGCCCAGGAGTTCGAGACCAGTCTGGGCAACACAGGGAGCCCCTATCTGTTTTTTTTTTTTTTTGAGACAGAGTCTTGCTCTGTCGCTCAGGCTGGAGTACAGTGGCGCGATCTCGGCTTACTGTAAGCTCTGCCTTCCGGGTTGACGCCATTCTCCTGCCTCAGCCTCCCCAGTAGCTGGGACTACAGGCGTCCGCCACCACGCCCGGCTAACTTTTTGTATTTTTTACTAGAGATGGGGTTTCACCGTGTTAGCCAGGATGGTCTCGATCTCCTGACCTCGTGATCCGCCCGCCTCGGCCTCCCAAAGTGCTGGGATTACAGGCATAAGCTACTGCACCCGGCAGAGCCCCTATCTCTAAAAAATAAAATAAAATAAGATATATGTTTTTTGAAGCAGACCTGTATCTTTATAGTAATACCTCATATACCCCAGAATTCTGAAGATAAGACCATCAGGCCAAGTACAGACTTAGGGCCACGCTCCCCCTCCATGTTTTTTAGAGCCCCACAACCCCTTCATGTTTTTTAAATTCACAATTAGTGTTCTTTCAACATGAATAGACTAAAATATCTCAGTTTTCTGAAACAAAAAGGAACATGATTTATTGACCTTATTTAACCAAAGGAAACATATGGTGTCATTTAACACTAACTCTAGATTTGGATCAAATTTTTAGAATGAGCAATGCCTCTGATTTAACTAAGCATCTCCTGCAGGAAAGGAGTCATGCAAAGCTTCATCTGCTCAACTGAGAACAGAACAGGCCAAAGTTTAACTTTATATTCCCTGGGATTCTTCAGGCTATTAAAATATTTGGCTAAATGATTGAATACGCTTTACAAAAGTCACAATATTTTCATATACAACATTTGGAAATGAGCTAATTGCTTTTCATGTGCTTCTCAAATGACAGACAGTACAGCCCCCTCAGAGATTCCCATAGCAATGGCCTATAGACTTTGCAAAATCATAGACTAACAGGGATGCAGTTTTTTTGGAGAATCAATTTTGCTGAATGGTGATTAGCCTAAAATATTTTATATTAAAAACCAAACAGAATGCAACATGTATATGAATTTTTAAGATCAAACAGCAAATTCTAAAGAAATTTTTGTTTGCAGTGCCAGCATCATCTCTCCAACAGCCCTCTCACCCTCAGGATATATATTCCCTTTCGTTTTTTCAGGATTGTTTGGTGGAAGTTTAAGATACTCTCTAACCTAATATGTTGACATTAGTCAGCGTTCACTGACCTTGAGGAAAACTAGCTAACATTGACTTGTGTAATGTATGGTCTTTATCATTCTGGTTCTTCCCTCCACCCGCCATCTGTCTCCCAGGTAGGCTAACTCTAAAACAGGCACAACTAAGGCTTACTTACATTCCCTTTTTTTTTTTTTTTTCCTGAGACAGAGTCTCACTCTGTCACCCAGGCTGGAGTGCAGTGGCACCCTCTTAGCTCACTGCAACTTCCGCCTCCCAGGTTCAAGCGATTCTCGTGCCTCAGCCTCCCGAGAGTAGCAGGGACTACAGGTGCACACCACCACACCCGGCTAATTTTTGTATTTTCGGTAGAGACGGGGTTTCGCCATGTTGGCCAAGCTGGTCTTGAACTCCTTAAGTGATTTGCCCACCTTGGCCTCTCAAAGTGCTAGGATTACAGGCATGAGCCACTGTGTCCAGCCTACATTCCCTTTTAAAGGTTGCCTTTCTTCCTAGGCTGCACTTCAGGACCGCAAGAAGAGTGCTAAACCCTTATGAACTTTTTCTTTCTTTTAAAAAAAATTTGTCTAGAGATACCCAAGTATTGTTCACGAGGCCCATGGTTTTAGACCATGCTGGCTTTCTCATATTAGGGGTCCCTTTCCTGAGAGTGCTAATCCATGGACATACATGCACACTAGTCTCTCCCATTCTGCACCTGTACCCCGACTCACCTGTTCACATGGCTCCATTCCCTCCCTAGCACCTGCAGTTACTTCTTCCAGTTTCTTTCCATGAATACAGACCTGCTTCTCCTGCTGTACTGTAAAGACAGGAGGCAAAGGCAGGAGCCATTTTCTGCTAAAATCTGCTAATGCTGATATGGCATTTCCCACATTAGCTAAAGTTAAACAGAGTTGATGATGCTATTTTATATACTTTGTTTTTTTTTTTGAGACAGAGTCTCGCTTTGTTGCTCAGGCTGGAGTGCAGTGGTGTGATCTCGACTCACTGCAACCTCCACCTCCCGGGTTCAAGCGATTCTCCTGCCTCAGCCTCTGGAGTAGCTGGGACTACAGGTGCACACTACCACACCCAGATCATTTTTGTGTTTTTAGTAGAGACAGGGTTTCGCCATGTTGGCTAGGCTGGTCTTGAACTCCTGACCTCGAGTGATCCACCTGCCTCGGCCTCCCCAAGTGTTGGGATTACAGGCGTGAGCCACTGCACCCAGCATATTTTATATTATTTTATTTTTATTATTTTGAGATGGAGTCTCACTCTGTCGCCCAGGCTGGTGTGCAGTGGCTTGATCTCGGCTCACTGCAAGCTCTGTCTCCTGGGTTCACACCATTCTCCTGCCTCAGCCTCCCGAGTAGCTGGGACTACAGGCGCCCACCACCACGCCTGGCTAATTTTTTGTATTTTTAGTAAACACGGGGTTTCACTGTGTTAGCCAGGATGGTCTCGATCTCCTGACCTCTTGATCCACCCGCCTCGGCCTCCCAAAGTGCTGGGATTACAGGCATGAGCCACTGCGCCCGGCCATTTTATATAATTTTAAAGCTTTGTGTCTTCTTTACTTTTTTCCCCATTATTTCAGCTCCTCCAGTTTTTGCACAAAGCTTGATAAATCTCTAAAATAAAACATTCTATAATCAAAAAACAGGACCATGCTCTAAAATGCCTGGAATATGAATAGAAATGATATTCTAAATGATGGTTGTATGTTAGAGATATTGTCAAAAACCTAACAACCTCCCATCTCTTCCGTAACACAGAATAAGGCAGGACAGAAATGACTATAGGCCACTGAGAGAGAAGATACTTACTTTCCAACTTCTCATTATCCTCTAGTGAATTAAAAGGTAGTGTCCAGGAAGAGAGTAGAACAGGGTGTCCCGCCTCTGGACAGATTTACGGTCCCCTCATCCACTGAAAATGTTATTTATGAGGAGCATGCAGTCAGGCTGGTGGAGAGAATAGAGAATGCATGACTGTGGACTTGACTCTAAACCCCATCATTAACTACCACACAAATCATGTTTCCCATTCAAGCACATAGTAACTTAATGCTGGGTCTTGAGAGGTGTGCAATTAGCTCATACCAGCACTGGGCAGAAGTTTTAAATTAAACAGATGTGATGTATATTAATGGCCTAATGGGACATCAAAGGAGCAGTTTGGAATTATTTTCTTTTTTTCTCTAAATGGGCTTTGATCTGGCTGTCTCACTCTCATATTGCCAGGATTAGTGTGATGGCTAGAGGCTCTGAGTTAGAAATGGACTGCCACTTAAGGACTGTGTGTGGCTGCAGCGGCCCCTCACTGAACCCAATTTCCTGCAAAGAGATGGGACCATCATTGGTTCTACTTAAAGCAAAACAAAACAAACCCAGGAGGGTTTAGTATATTGTACCAACAAATACTAAGAATCAAACTTTTTTTTAAGAGGCTGTTTTTATTATATTCTCTTTGATGACTCTACTATTTTTCAAACATTTTAATATATAAGACATACACTTTTGGATTTAATATGTATAAAATCTAATACTTGAAAATACAATAGGTTCAGCATATCAGTAGAGTACAAAGAAGATATAATTCTCGGTTTTTTTCCTCCTTTTTTTTTTGGAGACAGAGTCTTGCTCTGTCACCCAGGCTAGAGTGCAATGGTATGATCTTGGCTCGCTGCAACCTCCATCTCCTGGATTCAAGTGATTTCTCGTGCCTCAGCCTCCTAATCACCTGGGACTACAGGCATGCACCATCACCCCCAGCTAATTTTTGTATTTTTAGTAGAATCAGGGTTTCGCCATGTTGTCCGGGCTGGTCTTGAACTCCTGGCCTCCAGTGATCTGCCCACCTCAGCCTCCCAAAGGTGTTGGGATCATAGGCATGAGCCTATATCTTTTTTCATTGTTGTTTTGAGAAGGAGTCTCGCTCTGTCCCCCAGGCTGGAGTGCAGTGGCCTAATCTCGGCTCACTGCAACCTCTGCATCATGGGTTCAAGCGATTCTCCTGCCTCAGCCTCCCGAGTAGCTGGGATTACAGGCTCGCGCCACCACGCCCAGCTAGTTTTTGTTTTTTGTTTTTTTAGTAGAGATGGGGTTACACCATGTTGGTCAGGCTGGTCTCAATCTCCTGACCTCAAGTGATCCATCTGCCTCACCTCTCAAAGAGACGGGGTTTCACCATGTTGGCCAGGCCGGTCTCAATCTCCTGCCCTCAAGTGATCTGCCTGCCTCAGCCTCCCAAAGTGCTGGGATTACAGGTATGAGCCACCATTCCCAGGCCAATAAAAATATCTTGAATGCCTCTTTTCAATGATGAGGAGTTGGAGAGAGAAATTTCTTCTTTTGGTGAGTGTCAAGTTATACGACCCTAAGTGGCCATTTGTCA
Source organism: Homo sapiens (assembly GCF_000001405.40). NCBI lineage: Eukaryota > Metazoa > Chordata > Mammalia > Primates > Hominidae > Homo > Homo sapiens. Next base: position 102,262,395 of record NC_000011.10, on the reverse strand, counting down.
TTCTTTTTTGGTTTCTCAGCATTTAAACACTGCTTTCTGTATTTGGAGAGACCCAAACCTCCACTACAGAAGCTGAAAATGCTGGGTATTTGCTTTCCCAAGCTACTTTGCAATCTAGAATAAAGACATTGACATGAAGTTTCCATTCATCAGATGAACTGGAAGCAAGTGATTCAAAAAAGCAGAAACCATACTGACTCTATTCTGGCACACGCAGCCTCCCTCCTACAGCCACTTCCCAGAGGCAGCAGGAACAGACATTTCGTGTCCTTGTCCAAAACTGATGATGTTAGAGGTGCAAGTGGCTGTGTGTGTCTGCCCAGCAGACTCACTCTGTAGCATGAGTTTGGGCACGTGTGATGGTTAATGTTGGGTGTCAGCTGAACTAGATTGAGGAGTGCCTAGATGGGACTAATGAGGCAATTACAAAGTCAGACTAAGGGGAGAGTTTTTGCTACTTTATATTAGAGGAAAAAAATAGGCTACCTAAGGTTTATTCTGAGGGCGCCAGATTAAGTAGGAAAGATGAAAACTTTAGGCTGAAATCATCAATGTGAATGAAATTATCAGAGATTCTGAAATCGCTAGGCTAGATCAAACAGCTGGGAGCAATTCTCATTGTGTGCTCCATTTCTATTTTAAAAGCTGGCCCATTGGCTGGGCGCGGTGGCTCATCTGCAATCCCAGCACTTTGGGAGGCTGAGGTGGGAGGATCATTTGAGGTCAGGAGTTCGAGACCAACCTGGCCAACATAGTGAAAACCCGTCTCTACTAAAAATACAAAAATTAGCCAGGCATGGTGGTGCAGGCCTGGAATCTCAGCTACTTTGGAGGCTAAGACACGAGAATCATTTGAACCTGGGAGGTGGAGGCTGCAGTGAGCCCAGGTGGCATCACTGCACTCCAGCCTGGGCGACAGAGTGAGACTGTGTCTCAAAACAACAACAACAAAATAGCTGGCCCACTGTGGCAAGCTATTGCCCAGACCTGCAACGACAAAGCCTCAAGCAGGCCTGAGGATGCAGAAAGGCATAAAAACAGCAGGAACCAGATTATGTCCCTGCAGTGAGATGAGAAGTTTTCTTTTTTATTTTCTGGAAATAGGTGGGACCCTTGAAATAATGGACAGCCTAAAGTGGTATCAAAGGCAGTCATGTTTCTCAACTCCATTGACCTGATGAATTCATCACTCTGGGAGGGCTGTTGAGACCACCAAACTGAGGGTACACCTCTGTAATTAACGATGGGGATCCTGGCCAGGCGCGATGGCTCAAGCCTGTAATCCCAGCTACTCCAGAGGCTGAGGCAGGAGTACCGCTTGAACCCAGGAGGCCGAGGTTGCGGTGAGCCGAGATCATGCCACTGCATTCCAGCCTGGGTGACAGAGTGAGACTCTTGTCTCCAAAAAAATAAAGTGGGGGATCCCAGCTGGGCACAGTGGCTCACGCCTATAATCCCAGCACTTTGGGAAGCCAAGGCAGGTGGATCATTTGAGGTCGGGAGTTGGAGACCAGCCTGGCCAACATGGTGAAACCCCATCTCTACTTAAAAAAATATGAAAATTATCCGGGCGTGGTGGCAGGCACCTGTAATCCCCTCTACTGGGGAGGCTGAGGCCAGAGAATCGCTTGAACCCAGGGGGCAGAGGTTGCAGTGAGCCGAGAATGTGCCAGTGTACTCCAGCCTGGGCAACAGAGGGAGACTCTGTCTCAAAAAAAAAAAATAATAATAATAATAATAATAAATACATAAGTAATTTTAAAAAGGAGATCCTGAGGTGCTCGTTTACTCACACCAACATGTATTCTTAATCATGTGTGAAGGTTTTGAAGCAATTGTAAAGTCTAGTGAGAGAAGCCTTAGCTAAGTCTGAGCTGTCATTCTCACCAATGTACAAACCTTGGTCTCCTTTGTGGTCTGCCGTAGCTTACCCATGCTAATTGAAGTTGAGGTGCCAGAAATTCCTTAGTATAATACAAAGGAAGTAATTCAAAGGCTTAGGAAAATAGGAATGCTGGAGTGGTTTTTTAATGGGTGAACTGCTCACTCCTCACCAAAATATGTCCCTTAAAGAGCTAGAAGATAGTGTTCACCAATACTTTTTTTTTTTTTTTAAAGATGGAGTCTTGCTCTTGTCACCCAGGCTGGAGTGCAGTGATGAGATTTTGGCTCACTGCAACTTCCACCTCCCGGGTTCAAACAATTCTCCTGCCTCAGTCTCCAGAGTAGCTGGGATTACAGGTGCCTGCCACCATGCCTGGCTAATTTTTTTTGTATTTTTAATAGAGAAGGGGTTTCACCATGTTGGCCAGGCTGGTCTCGAACGCCTGACCTCAGGTGATCCACCCGCCTCAGCCTCCCAAAGTGCTGGGATTACAGGTGTGAGCCACCGTGCCCGGCCAGTGTGCACCAAGACTTTGAGAAACACTGGAAAGGGAAGCACCAGCATCTTTGAATATTGCTATACTGGCCATCAGAAAAATGTCTAAATTGAAATGAGCTTCCTGATTTCTATGGGGAGAAAAAGCATGATCCAGGATGGCGGAGGTTAGGCAAAGGCATGGTGGATGTTCTTACGAAAATAGGCAGCATGGTCGGGGTAATGTTCGGAATAACAGGATCTCTGTTACCTGGCAGTAGGTGATTGATTATGGGTCCCCTATGACCAAATTACAGGGCAGCTCATGCAGGTTCTGCCTGATCTGTATAGTAATTAAAAAACAAGAACGTCTCTACGATAGGGTGAACAGAGGCCTGACTTGAACCACCCTGATGGTGATTTAAAGATTCACAACTGCAGGATGTAGCAGATGACCAACATGGCTTAGTAAGACACTCACCTACATTCCAGGAGGGAAGATAAATCCCACAAAAACACAAGATCCCAACACCACATCATGTTTCTAAGGGTCTAGAGGTCTGGAGCAGATTGAGAGATTTTCTCCTAAGTAAAGGTTAAAATGACTGATAAATGCAACCATTAAAAGGATTTCCAACAACATAACATCCCAAGCAAAGTCAAAACACTAGTGACAAGCTGGAAAACTTTTCTACAACTTCTAATGTCTCATAAAGAACTCCCTTATATTCATGAGAAAAATCTAGCAACCCAACAGTAAAATGAGAAAAAGACCTGAACAGACAATTCTGAGTAAAAGAAATACAGATTGGTGGCCGGGCGTGGTGTCTCACGCCTGTAATCCCAGCACTTTGGGAGGCCGAGGCAGGTGGATCACTGAGGTCAGAAGTTCGAGACCAGCCTGGCCAACATGGTGAAACCCCATCTCTACTAAAAATACAAAAACTGCTGGGCATGGTGGCACGTGCCTGTAATTCCAGCTACTCGGAAGGCTGAAGCTGGAAAATTGCTTGAACCCGGGAGGCAGAGGTTGCAGTGAGCGAGACTCTGTCTCAAAAAATAAAAAATAAATAAATACAGATTGGCCTTAAATATATGAAAGATGCTTAACTTGATTCATCATAAGTGACATACAAATTAAAACTACTGAGATACCGGCTGGGTGCGGTGGCTCATGCCTGTAATCCCAGCACTTTGGGAGGCCGAGGCAGGTAGATTACCTGAGGTCAGGAATTCAAGACCAGCCTGGGCAACATGGTGAAACCCCATCTCTACTAAAAATACAAAAAAATTAGCCGGGTGTGGTGGCGGGCGCCTGTAGTCCCAGCTACTCGGGAGGCTGAGGCAGGAGAATGGTGTGAACTCAGGAGGTGGAGCTTACAGTGAGCCGAGATCCCACCACTGCACTTGAGCCTGGGCGACAGAGCGAGACTCCATATCAAAACAAAACAAAACAAAACTACTGAGATACCATTTGTTACCAATCAAATTGGCAAAATTAAGTAAGATGTCACACTCTATCGATAAGGTTGTAGGGAAACTAAGACTCTCATAAATTACTGACAGGAATACAAAAATAGAACAAACTATATGTCCTAACATTTGTCTATATGCATCAGATTACAAATGCATACATCCTTTAATTCAGCATTCTTGCCTCTGGGACTGTATCCTACAAATATAGGTACTCTTGCACATGTACAAAATGGTATGTGTGTCATGGTTGCAGAATTGTTTTAAATGGCAAAAGACTGGAAATAATACATGCTTCTCAATAAGCTGTCAAATAACATATGGTACAGCTGCACAACACTGTGCAGCTGTTTAAAAAATTGTGAATTTTTTTATGTACTGATACAGGAAATACATATTGTGAAGTGAAAAAGTGAGGTACTGAAAAGTGTATATATGTTATTTGTGTAAGAAAGATAAAAAGGAGAGTTGGGCATGGTGGCTCACACCTGTAATCCCAGTACTTTGGAAGGCCAAGAGGGGTGGATCACTTGAGGTCAGGAGTTTAAGACCAGCCTGACCAACATGGTGAAACCCTGTCTCTACTACAAATACAAAAATTAGCTGGGCGTGGTGGTGCATGTCTGTGATCCCACCTACTTGGGAGGCTGAGGCAGGAGAATTGCATGAATCCAGGAGGCAGAGCTTGCAGTAAGCCGAGATCATGCCACTGCACTCCAGCCTGGGTGACAGAGCAAGACTCCGCCTCAAAAAAAAAAGGAAAAAGAAAAAAAAAAAGGATAAAAAGGATATTTGTTTATATTTGCTTGTATTTCTATAAAGGAACTTCAGAAAGATGCTGAGGATGCCTATATGTGGAGAAGGGACTGTATTAGAGGAGGACATAAAAAAAAGACAAAGAATGAGAGCGATGGGGAGTGGGGACAAAGCTTGGTGGCCCTTTAGCTATTGGAGGTAACACATATTAAATGTGTGATTTGTTCTCCAGTCCATTTGTATTGAATATATTAGTTAAGTTATTGGTTTGGCTGCTAAACAGACGACACTGAAATTATCAATGCATTAGACAAGACAGAAACGTATTTGCCTCTCACAAGACAATCTTGAGGTAAGTGGCCCAAGCCTGGTAGAACAGCTGTGCTCCATAGAACATCCAGGGACCCGAGGTCCTTCAATTATGTGGCTGTGCTATGCCTGGGGTGTTGTACTTATTCACATGCGTCATTTAGCATGATAGACTGGGCATTCATTGCCCAGCTAAAATTCTATTTTAAATTTTAACTTCAGATTTAAAACATAATGGAAAAAAGGGAGAATGGACATTTTGGGTCAACCCACATCAATATCTGACATGCTGAGTGACTTGAAAAGGCTGTCAACTCTAACGGAGCCCAGAGCATCAGAAGAATCTCCAGCTGGTTCAGGTTGGAGCACAAGATAGCTCTGCCACTTGGCCCTTGTGAGCCAGTGGATTTGATGGTGTGCAAAGTGTCTGTGGCCCTTCAGGAAACTGTGATGTCTTTATTGGAGAATCACAGTGAAGATCCCTAACAAAGACACATTTTTAAAGCAAATTACTATTCTTTCTTTTTTCGTTTTGTTTTGTTTTCTTTTCTTTTTTTCTTTTTTTTTTTTTTTTTGAGACAGAGTCTTGCTCTGTTGCCCAGGCTGCGCACTTTCAGCTCACTGCAACCTCCACCTCCCAGGTTCAAGCAATTCTCCTGCCTCAGCCTCCTGAGTAGCTGGGATTACAGACACCTGCCACCACACCTGACTAATTTTTGTGTTTTTAGTAGAGATGGGGTTTCACCATGTTGGCCAGACTGAACTCGAACTCCTGACTTCAGGTGATCTGCCTGCCTCGGCCTCCCAAAGTGCTGGGATTACCGGCGTGAGCCACTGCGCCCAGCCCAAATTACTATTCTTTTGAGAAACAGACCTTGTTTTACTACTGGGTGCTTGTAGCAAATAAATGCCTTATCACAGGACACTGGGAGCATAAGCAGTCTGAGCTGTCTTTCATCAAGTTGATGCTCTCTGACCCTCTAAGCTATATGATTGGGCATGTCCAGGAAGATTCTATCATTAAGATGAAGTAGTCTGTACAAGACCAGACATGAACAGGTCCTGAAGGCACGAGCAAGTTATGTGGGCAGCTGAGTCACACTCCCACCATTCCCGCCCCTGCCACAACTCCTCCCTCAACACGCAGTAGGAGACAGACTAGACAGACACAAAATGAACAAATAGATCTGAAAGGCTGGGATAGGTGCCTGTAAAAGGGAAATTGACATGATTTCCTTTCGGAACTACTGTTAAAGATAGCATCAGGCCGGGCACGGTGGCTCACCCCTGTAATCCCAGCACTTTGGGAGGCCAAGGTAGGCAGATCACTTGAGCCCAGGAGTTTGAGACCAGCCTGGGCAATATGGTGAAAACCCATCTCTACAAAAAATACAAAAAAAATTAGCCAGGTGTGGTGGCACATGCCTATCGTCCCAGCTACTTGGGAGGCTAAGGCAAGAGGATCGCTTGAGAGCCTGGGAGGCAGAGGTTGCTGTGAGCTGAGATGGTACCATTGCATTCCAGCCTGGGTGACAGGAGTGAAACCCTGTCTCAAAAAAAAAAAAAAAGAAAAAAGAAAAAAAAAGGCATCAGACAAGGTAAAGATGTCTTACAGTTACTAAAACAGCAATAATGGTGGACATAAAGAAGTCTAACAGAGAAAGCAGGGTATCCCAGTGCAGTCTAGAATGATTCTCCCAGAGGGGCTAACAACCAGGGAATGATTTAAGGTGGTCTCCTCAAGTTAAAGAAAAAATCCAGAATTATTATAATAGAGACACTGCCCCCTATTTACCGGGACAGCCATACTAAATGGTGGCAGAATTTTAGAGCCAGTGATCAAAATCAGTATAACACCAGTTCACTGATTGACCAGTAATCAGTGAAATTACTGGTAAGTTTCATTGTGCACACAACCATTATAGTGAGTTCAGAGTCATTGTCCTGAGGGACCCTAAGAATCCTTAGGAAAGGCTCTGTAAACGTGAGATTAAAGAGGAGCATGAAGAAAAATGATAACTTGCATCCAGGTCTGAACTGGATGATGGCCTGACAGGGAAACATGTTTCCCAGATGGAATTATTCAACCGAGGGAACTAAAGGTCGACAAGATGTATTTGAACAATGGCTGTTTTTGTAGACCAAGAAGTTATTGATTTTGTATCTCTCACCATAGAATACTTCATGAGACAAAGCTAGATGAATGTGTTAGATAAATAAATACCTAGGCAAAGGGGAGTGCTAGATTCCAGGACCAAAATTTTGCCTGGGATGCTCTAGGGACTGGGGATAGCTTGTTTCTTAAATTGGTTGGATTTGGCCAGGCGCGGTGGCTCATGACTGTAATACTAACGCTTTGGGAGGCCGAGGCGGGCAGATATGTCTTGAGATCAGGAGTTTGAGACCAGCCTGGCCAACATGGCAAAACCGCATCTCTACTAAAAATATAAAAATTAGCCGGACATGGTGGCATGCACCTGTAGTCCCAGCTACTTGGGAGGCAGAGGCGAGAGAACCGCTTGAACGTGGGAGAATCGCTTGAATGTGGGATTTGCAGTGAGCCGAGATCATGCCACTACACTCCAGCCTGGGCGACAGAGCAAGACTGCCTCAAAAAAAAAAAAAAAAAATTGGGGGGATCCAGCACCAGTGTTCTGATTGCCTTGTGTATATGGTAACTCAGGCTCTTTGAAAAGGAAGGTTCATGAAAGACTTGGCACTGAATTAATGCAGCTTCTGAGGCCATGAAGGAATGATATACTTTACAGTAAGAGAAACTTCAGGCTTTCCCTGTTGAAAAAGCTTCAAATCTCACCCAGACTTGAGAAGCGTGTAACTGAGGTTGAGCAGAATGAACAATTGAACATTTAAAGCGCAATTTGTTTCAGGCCTGAAAATTTATTTGGATTTTAATGCCGTTGAACTTTAACATGCAAAGGGACTTAGGTTTTTGGACTTTAAGTTTTCCCTGGGAATTTCGTATTGGGAGGGGGCTTATATTCACATTTGGGACATTTTAAAAAATATTTTGGGCCTTTTATTTTTGGAGTATATCTATGCACAGTACTATCAGAGGACCTTCTTTTCAAGATTTACTGTCATTGTGGAACTTCCAGTATGCTATGTTTGACAACATAGCTGGGTGTCTTGGACTAGGGACTGAACTTGTAGCCTTAGGAACACAGTGGACTTGGACTCATTTGGGCCCTTTTTTTAGTGCCTTCTTGGGAGACATTTATACTGCCCCCTAGTGATTCCAGGAGGACTCCCAAATAAGGAGTAGTAGTTTTGGACGAGCCATCGCACGAAGCTGGAAGTTAATAGCCTCACTTCTGTGAATGCTGAAACAGAAAGTGTTAGAAAAAAAAATCTGGGCCAGGTGCGGTGGCTCACACCTGTGATCCCAGGACTTTGGGAGGCCGAAGTGGGCAGATCACTTGAGTTCAGGAGTTCAAGACCAGCCTGGGCAACACGGTGATATCCCGTCTCTTTGAAAACTAAAAAAATTAGCCAGGTGTGGTGGCGCATGCCTGTAATCCCGGCTACTTGGTGGGGTTGAGGCAGGAGGATCACTGGAGCCTAGGAGGTCAAGGCTGCAGTGAGCCAAGATCACGCCACGGCACTCCAGCCTGGGTGACAAAGTGAGACTCGTTCTCAAAAAACAAACAAAAAACAACAAAAGAAACCAAAATCTGAAAAATTTGGGAAAAGTTAGGCAGAAACACTTTCTCCCTCAATCCTGATTTCCAGGAGGTGGTGGAATTTATCTTATCTACCTATCAGGGAAGCATAAGCTAGGCTCATGGCTTTCTCCTTCCTCTTGAGTGAGAGCTGCAACCCCAGGAGTACTTTTTATCTTTACTTGCATGTCTGAGTCTTACCTTGAGAGGGCCCACCCATCAGGAAACGTGCCCTGATCCAGAGCTGCCTGCAGCTGGGTGTGGAAGTCTGCTTAATTCTAGGCCTCCAGTGTAAGGCCTGTTTGTCTCTCTCTCAAAGCTACAACATCCAACTTAGCCTTTAGCAGAAACAAGGGGATGTTTTGGCTTCCATACAACTTCCTTGTTTTATTTCTCTCTCTCTCTCTTTTTTTTTTTTAATTTTCAAAAAACAATTGGGGAAGAGATGTGCTATTTATTGGCCCTGCTATGGTTTTAATGTGTCCCCCAGAGTTCACGTGTTGGAAACTTAATCTCCAATGCAACAATGTTGAGAGGTGGGCCCTTTAAGAGGTGATTATGTCAGAGGGCCCTGCACTCATAAATCAATTAGTTGTCTCTGGAGCGAGTTCCTGATTAAAGGGTGTGTTCCAACCCCTTGGCTCTGTCTCTCAGCTCTCTTGCCCTTCCACCTTCCACCATGAGATCACACAGAGAAGGCCCTCAGAAGAGGTTGACACCTTAATCTTGGATTTCACAGCTTCCAGAAATGAGAGAAATAAATTTCTTTATAAATTACCCAGTCTGTGGTATTCTGTTATAGCAACGCAAAATGGACTAAGACAGGCCCCCTTGAAAACTGCAAACTATTTCTTTTTCATTCCAGGGTAGCTGGGTACCAGGCAGATTGGGACTGCATAACATTTGTTGATCTTGCTTGAATTCAAAGAAAATGACCAAAAAAGGAGGCAATATACATTGTTTTTGCATAAATGAATAAAAATAACATTTATATTTTAAATCTCTATTTCTTTGGAAATTAGGAAAGACCTTTTTGAAGTTAGCAGGAGCCACCAAGAACTCCCTGGACAACTTCCACTTAACAGCTCATCTTAGTCCTGACATCCCCGGATGATGGTCAGGAGTCAGAAGTAAACAATTCAGTGGCATTTAGTAGAGAAGTAAGAAGGTTGGAAGGGGAAAACAACAGCTGAGTCAGGGTACAAAAGTAAAAATCATTTCCTCCCCCTCCTGTATACAGAGGCAGACAGTGGTTGCGTTTTATTCCTCGGATTTCTCGCTTTCCATTCACTATTCAACCCACTGCAATCTGGCACCCACCCACACTGAAACTGCTTTTGACGACATTTTCAGTGACTTCCTAGCTGCAAAATGCAATGGACAGTTTTCGGCCTTCATGTTGCTGGACCTTTTTGCCTTATTTGAAAATCCTGATTTGCTATTTTCTTTGTCCACATCTTTGACATCAGTTTCTCTTGGTTCTTTTCCTGCCTCCTGACTGCTCCTTCTTAGCCTGCTTCATTCATGTAAGGTCCTATGCTAGGTGCTGGATATAGCAGTAAACACAACAGACACAGTGTCTTCCCTTACAGGGAAAAGCAGACATTAAATCAACAATTATACATCAATATTTTTGTTAGTTTGTTTTGAGACAGTCTCGCTCTGTCGCCAGGCTGGAGTGCAGTGGCACATTCTCAGCTCACTGTAACCTCCACCTCCTGGGTTCAAGCAATTCTCCTGCCTCAGCCTCCGAGTAGCTGAGATGACAGGTGTGTGTCACCACGCCCAGCTAATTTTTGTATTTTTAGTAGAGATGGGGTTTCACCATGTTGGCCAGGATGGTCTCGATCTCTTGACCTTGTGATCTGCTAACCTTGTCCTCCCAAAGGAGGACGAGGGATTACAGGTGTGAGCCACTGCACCCAGCCAATACATCAATTTTTTACTTAGGATTATGAAAAGTACAACAAAGAGGAGTACAAGGGGCTTTGAGAGCACGTGCCAGGGGTCTAGTTTATACCAGAGGCTCAGCGAAGTTTTCCCTAAAGAAATGATATTTGAGCTAAGACCTGAAGGATGAGTGGGGAATTGGGAGAACTGTCCTCCAGGCAGAGGGAACAGAATGAGGAAAGGCTGTGAGATAGAAAAGAGTTTGCAGGTTTCAGGAACAGAGAAGCCAGCATGGCTGGAGAAGAGGAAGTGAAGGGGAGAACTGGAAAGGACAAGATTTTACAAGGCCCTGCAATCATATAGGGTTTGGGACTAAATCTTAAAAGTAATGAGAAGCCACTCAAGTGTATAAGATAGGAAAGTAATATGATTAGATCTGTGATCTAAAGATCTCACCAAGTCTATTGAACTTACCATATCCCTGAATCTGTTTCTCCTCCTGTCTCCCTTATGTGGCACCACCATCCATTAGAAATCCAGCATCATCCTAGATGACTTCATCTCCCTTAGTTTCCACTTCCAATCAATTACAAGTTTGTGAATACCTGCTAATTATTTCTAGATTCAAGCCCTTTCACCATCTCTACTACCATGGACCCACTTAGGTCCTTATTATCACTCTCTTGGCCTATGCAACAGCCTCTTAACTAATCTTCCAGACTTGTCCTTCCTTCAAGCCATCCTCCACATTGTAACCTGTGTGCCTTTGCCTATCTCCAGCCACTGCTGCTTCCAGCCTCTTGCTGGACAGCCCAGAAAAAAAACCATACTGTTTCACTGTACTCAGTCTTTGCTTATATTTCCCTTTTTTTTTTTTTTTTTTTTTTTTTTGAGACAGGGTCTCAGTCTGCCGCCCAGGCTGGAATATGCAGTGGCGTGATCATGGCTCACAGCAGCCTCGACCTCCCTGGCTCAAGTGATCCTCTCACCTCAGCTTCCTGAATAGCTGGGACCACAAGCATGTGATACAATGCTTGGCTAATTTTTGCACTTTTTGGTAGAGACAGGGTTTCACCATGTTGCCCAGGCTGGTCTCAATTTCCTAAGCTCAAGCAATCCTCCCACCTCAGCCTCCCAAAGTGCTGGGATTACAGGTGTGAGCCACTGCACCTGGCCTTATATTTCCCTTCTGCCTAGAATCCCCTTACAATTTTTCTTTCAGTGGCTATCTCTTACTCATCCTTTAAAACTCAACACAGGTGGCTGGGAGGGGTGGCTCACACCTGTAATCTCAGCACTTTGGGAGGCCAAGGCAGGCAGATCATGAGGTCAGGAGATCGAGACCATCCTGGCTAACACGTTGAAACCTCATCTCTAATAAAAATACAAAAAATTTGCTGGGCTTGGTGGCGGGCGCCTGTAGTCCCAGCTAATAGGGAGGCAGAGGCAGGAGAATGGCCTGAACCCGGGAGGTGGAGCTTGCAGTGAGCTGAGATTGCGCCACTGCACTCCAGCCTGGGCGACAGAGTGAGACTCCATCTCGAAAAACAAAACAAAACAAAAACAACAAAAACAAAAAAACCCAACACAGGTGTTAGCGCATCCCTCAGTGGTTTTGGGTCCCTCCTGAATGGTTAACAATTGGAAGTTCTGATAAGCCCCAAACACAGGTCTGTCATGCTTCTGAAGCTAGAGAATATCCACAGGCCAAGAGAATATAAATGGAAGTCTGGGTAGGCCAAGGGGGTATTGACAATGCACCAACAGTACAGTTTCCACCAGAAGTGACATACATCACTTCTGCTCACATTCTGCAGGCCAAAGCAAGTCACATGGCTTCCAGAAAGGCAGAGAAGTCACACCCACCATGTGCTAAAAAAGCAAAGAGCTGAAAATTTTCAAAATAAAATATTGAAAATATTTTATGCTTAGCACTAATGATCACCACCAAGCAATGTCAAAATTAATAAATGATAGGAAGGAAAATATTGGACCAAAACCAATTTTCATCCATACAGTTATTTATCTACTAGCCAGTTTGGGGGCACTTTCTATGTGTCTTGCAGTGTATTAGGCTTATAATATTCAGCTTATATGTTAACCAAGAAGACCAGAATGATTGACTAAATATTGAAATATTATTGTATCAATTGGTAAAAAGTATAACTTCAGTAAGTTATAAAATGAAATAATAATATAAATTCTAATGTAAGCCATTTGTTTAAGCTAATTATTTAGAAAATTGCAATAATAAATCAGTGAGCTCCTGTCCTTGAAACCCCTGAAGAACTCAAGCACTTTACTTTGGAGTTCAGCCTGTGTCAAGGTGGGCACCATGGCACATCCTCTACAAGGTTCTCTGGGTGCTGGTGGGCTCACCAGTTTATAACTATCCTCAAGTGGCACGGTTGTTGTTATTTCTTTTTTTGTTTGTTTGAGATGGAGTCTTGCTCTGTCACCCAGCTCAGAGTGCAGTGGTGCGATCTCAGCTCACTACAACCTCCCCCTCCAGGTTCAAGTGATTATCTTGCCTCAGCCTCCCAAGTAGCTGGGATTACAGGCACCCACCACCACACCCAGCTAATTTTTGTATTTTTAGTAGAGACGGGGTTTCACCATCTTGGCCAGGCTGGTCTGGAACTCCTGACCTTGTGATCCACCCGCCTTGGCCTCCCAAAGTGCTAGGATTACAGGCGTGAGCCACCGCACCCGGCTTCTTTTATTTTTTATTTTTTTTATTTTTATTTTTTTGAGACAGGGTCTTACTCTCTCACCTAGACTGGAGTGCAGTGACGTGATCTCGGCTCACCGCAACCTCCGCCTCCCAGGCTCAAGTGATTCTTCTGCTTTAGCCTCCCAAGTAGCTGGGATTACAGGTGCGTACCACTACTGCCCAGCTAATTTTTGTATTTTTAACACAGACGAGGTTTCACCATGTTGGCCAGACTGGTCTTGAACTCCTGACCTCAAGTGATCCAGCTGCCTTGGCCTCCCAAAGTGCTGGAATTACAGGTGTGAGCCATGCGTCCAGCCTGCTATTTCTTAATAGTGTAGGTTTTGTTCTGGTTTTATTAAGTTGTAATTCTGGTATAAGTAATAAGTATGTTGATAATTAGGATTTTGAGGATTTATAATAAAATGTTAAAAACAAACAGTATGAAGAGAAATGACAAAATGTGGATAAGTTTTTTTATGTTTATTTTAAATGTCATACACACGAATCTTCTGAATCTGTGTAAGAACAAAACAGAAATGATACTAAAATGAATTATACCTTGAGCTGGCTCTTCAAAGAGGGAGGCAACCTTGGGACCACTAAGAGGCTCCAGAGGTGGCAGAGGGGTACCTGCACAACAGCAGGCTGTGATTCCCATAGATCTCGGGGCAATCGTTGTGGCAATGTAGGAGGCAAGAGAAAGGCAGATGTGGGGGCTGGGTGCGGTGGCTCACACCTGTAATCCCTGCACTTTGGGAGGCTGAGGTGGGAGGATCACTTGAGCCCAGGAATTCAAGACCAGCCTGGGCAAGATGATGAGACCTCATCTCTATAAAAAAAATTTTTAAATGAGCCAGATGCAGTGGTATGCACCCACGCTCCCAGCTACTTGGGAGGCTGAGGTGGGAGGAGCGATTGAACCCAGGAATTCAAGGCAGCACTGAGCCATGATCCCGCCACTGCACTCCAGCCTCGGTGACGAAGTGAGACCCTGTCTCTAATAAAAAATATAAAAAATAAGAAAGAAAAATGACCAACACCAGATAAGGAAAATAAGAACTACATATAATTCTGCCAGTAAGAGATAACCTCTGTGATTAGTGCATGTAATTCACTTTTAAAAGTGTATTAAAGTATTTTTCAACAAAAATGGGGATATATTGTTGGGCGTGGTGGCTCATGCCTATAGTCCCAGCACTTTGGGAGGCCGAGGTGGGTGGATTCCTCGAGGCCAGGAGTTTGAGACCAGCCTGGGCAACATGGCGAAACCCCGTCTCTACTAAAAATACAAAAAAAAAAAAAAAAAAAAAAGGCCGGGCGCGGTGGCTCACGCCTGTAATCCCAGCACTTTGGGAGGCCGAGGCGGGCGGATCACGAGGTCAGGAGATCGAGACCATCCCGGCTAAAACGGTGAACCCCCGTCTCTACTAAAAATACAAAAAATTAGCCGGGCGTAGTGGCGGGCGCCTGTAGTCCCAGCTACTCTGGAAGCTGAGGCAGGAGAATGGCGTGAACCCGGGAGGCGGAGCTTGCAGTGAGCCGAGATCCCGCCACTGCACTCCAGCCTGGGCGACAGAGCGAGACTCCGTCTCAAAAAAAAAAAAAAAAAAAAAAAAAAATTAGCTGGGTATGGTGGTGCATGCCTGTAATCCCAGCTATTGGGGAGGCTGAGGCACGTCTCACGCAGGAGGCGGAGGTTTCAGTGAGACAAGATCGTGGCACTGCACTCCACACTCCAGCCTGGGTGACAGAGCAAGACTTGGTCTCAAGAAAACAAAGGGATATATATAATATTATTTTGCTACTCAATAATATTTATTGAGTTGCTGCTTTGTGTTATCCATGAGGTTTTTCCCTAGGGACATGA
Source organism: Homo sapiens (assembly GCF_000001405.40). NCBI lineage: Eukaryota > Metazoa > Chordata > Mammalia > Primates > Hominidae > Homo > Homo sapiens. The sequence continues at coordinate 102,247,345 of NC_000011.10, read as the reverse complement.
TTTTGTACCCTGCCTTTTCATAAAATAGTATACCATATTATAAACATCTTTCCATGCAAATCAACCTGCTTTTTTTTTTTGAGATGAGGCCTCTCTCTGTCACCCAGGCTAGAGTGCAGTGGCATGATCTCAACTCACTGCCCTCTGCCTCCTGGGTTCAAGCCATTCTCGGGCCTCAGCCTCCCGAGTAGCTGGGATTACAGGTGAGCGCCACCATGCCTGGCTCATTTTTGTATTTTTAGTAGAGATTGAGTTTCGTCATGTTGGCCAGGCTGTTCTTGAACTCCTGACCTCAAGTGATCTGCCTGTCTCAGCCTCCCGAAGTTCTGGTATTACAGGCATAAGCCACTGTGCCCAGCCTCAATATGCATTTTAACTTTTTTTTTTTTTTTTGAGACAGAGTTTCACTCTTGTTACCCAGGCTGGAGTGCAGTGGTACGATTTTGGCTCACTGCAAACTCTGCCACCTGGGTTCAAGCGATTCTCCTGTCTCAGTAGCTGGGATTACAGGTGCCTGCCACCATGCCTGGCTAATTTTTGTATTTTTAGTAGAGATGGAGTTTCACCATATTGGTCAGGCTGGTTTTGATCTCCTGACCTCAGGCGATCCACCCGCCTTGGCCTCCCAGAGTGTTGGGACTACAGGTGTGAGCCACCGACCCTGAACTTAACGTTGTTTTTGATAGTTGCATAGTATTTCATTTTGTGGATATAACAATCCAATCAGTTTCCTTTTTTTTTTTTTTTTGAAATCTAGGTTATTCTCAGATTTTTTTGCTATTTTGCTTAATCTTTGTACACACCCTGAATTCTTTTCTTAGGATAATGTTCCAGAAGTGGAACCCACTGGCAAGCTTGTTAGATAACTTCAAATTGGGTGCGCCATTGCTTTCCCCTGTAGATACTGGGACCTCGAGCTCCCTTGCAGTGCTGCAGCAAATGCGCCTGCTAAGCTCTGACCCCTGCCTCGGAGGTCTGTGGATGCTACATTCTGTACCTCCAGGACTACAGACTGCCTCTAGTAAGGCCAAGGGGTCCCATCCACTGTCACTTGTGTGTAGTTTGCTTTCAAAATATTCTAGATGTATTAAGGAAAAGAAAGCTGAACAAATTAATGTTTTAGTCCATTTGCAAAATGTTTTCAAGAACATTTTTAATCTAGCACCCCCTCTCCCATTTTATTGCATGTGTTAAATAATGTTGTAGTATGACACATTGAGGTACTTAAGTCAATTATAGGTTTTAAAATAAATGTGTTTTGTACCCACTTTCTTGATCAGATCTGATTATTACCTTGGATTATAATGTATAGCATACAGCTGTGTTTTCCATCACTGGATTATACTCTAAGAGTTTATTGCCAGTTGGTTGTTTGGAACCTGAATGAATTTAACCATGAAAAGCAATGTTATGAATAGTTCCCAATCTTGGCTGGGCACGGTGGCTCACACTTGTAATCCCAGCCCTTTGGGAGGTCAAGGCAGGTGGATCACCTGAGGTCAGGAGTTTGAGACAAGCCTGGTCAACATGGTGAAACCCCATCTCTACTAAAAATACAAAAATTAGCTGGGTATGGTGGTGGGTACCTGTAGTCCCAGCTATTCAGGAGGCTGAGGCAGGAGAATTGCTTGAACCCGGGAGGCGGTGGTTGCAGTGAGCCAAGATCGTGCCACGGCACTCCAGCCTGGGCAACAGAGTGAGACTCCATCTCAAAAACAAACAAACAAAAAAAAAGAAAGAAAAATGAGCCAGGTGTGGTGGCAAGCACCTGTAATTCCAGCTACTTGGGAGGCTGAGGCAGGCGAATCACTTGAACCCAGGAGGCAGATGTTGTAGTGAGCTGAGATCACACCACCTCACTCTAGCCTGGGCAACAAGAGCGAAACTGTCTCAAAAAAAAAAAAAAAAAAATTCCCAATCTCTAAAGTAGCACATAAAATCCATTTGATGTGTAGTGCACTTGCAATACTAATCAGGGGTCCTGTGGCCAAGACCCCAACCTTTGACCTAAGGATTATACAGAACTATGGAGGCTTATGCCAAGAAGAGGAAGTTTTTCAAACAAGCCAGTTCCCTTCTCCCTGATGTCCAGCCCTGATGAGTCAGTTGCCCTGGGGGACAGAGGCTCTCTGGTTGAACCTCAAACCCAGTCAGAGAACAGGCATCTCCTGTTGGGTGTGGAAACCAATGCCTGGCTTCACGGGGGTACTTCTTAACATCAGGAATGCTAGTTTGACTTTAATTGGCTCAGGGTCCTTAAAACTAAACGTTTCAGCTGGGACAGGGCCAGGTGGGTAGATGTGAGCCAAAGAAACATGGTAGGAACAGAGACTCCCTTACATCATGCCTAGAGTGACCCTCCCTCACTTCTTCCTCTGAGCATCTTCCTGACCCTCAGGGTCTGGGTCAGGTGTCTCATATATGGGCTCCCTTAGCGCAGAGGGGTGACTCAGACTGAGGTACCCTCAGGTGTCACTGCCGCTCGACATGTCTGTCTCCTTTATCCTGGCCTGGTGGTTCTCAGTCCTGGCTGCACACAAAAGTGGTGAGGAGAGCTTTGCAAAAACCCTGATGCTCAGACTCCCCTGATCCCTTGTCCAGTTAAAGCCAAATCTCTGGCAGGTGGAGCCCACACATCAAGGTGTTTAAAAACTTTCCAAGAGATTCTAATATCCAGCCAGGATTTAGAACCACTTCCCTTGACAATGAGCATTTTGAAAGCAAGGAACATGCTTATTCATCATTGGTATTAAATGAGTTAACAAAGCTCTTAGAATAGTGCCTGACATACATTAAGCTCTTAATAGCTTAGCTGCTATTAGTAGTGGTAGGTTTTTTTGTTTTTTTTTTTTTTTGAGACGGAGTCTTACTCTGTCATCCACGCTGGAGTGCAGTGGCACAATCTCAGCTCACTGCAACCTCTGCCTCCCAGGTTTAAGCGATTCTCCTGCCTCAGCCTCCCAAGTAGCTGGGACTACAGGTGGGCACCACCACACCCAGGCTAATTTTTGTATTTTTTAGTAGAGATGAGGCTTCACCGTGTTGGCCAGGCTGGTCTCAAACTCCTGGCCTCAAATGATCTGCCCGCCTCAGCCTCCCAAAGTGCTGGGATTACAGGTGTGAGCCACCACGCTCGGCCATTATTAGTGGTATTAACTCCCCATTGTCCATTCCAGTTCCTGACATATAGCAAGCACCTCACCACCCATTTAACATACATAAATTAAACCATTTATTCTAGAGAAATAAGAGAGAGAGCAAGAGAGAAATAATGTTTTAAAAGCCTGGGCGATTCCACTGACCTTTCCACTCAATAAGCACAGGTTTCAGAGTGAGCCTGAAATGGGCGATCTGGACCTGCTGTTCTTCCATTGCTATTAGCCCTCTAAGTGCCTTTCAGAGTGTGAACCTTTGGACGAACTGTATTACAGGCAAGGTCATGGGAGTTTGAGAGCAATTTTGACTCTGTGGTTTTTACCAATATAGCTATAGGAGAAATTCACTGGGAGTGAAAAGTGTAAGACTCTGTCCCTTGTTAGCTACATGGCTTTGAGCAAGTCACTTTGTCCTTCTGGGCCTCGTTTTTCTCCCTAGAGATCTGCAATTCTTTCTTTTTCTTTGTTTCTTTTTCCTTCTTTCTTTCTTTCTTTCTTTTTCTCTTTCTTCCTTTCTTTCCTTTCTCTTTCTTTCTTCCTTTCTTTCTTCTCTTTCTCTTTTTCTCTTCCTTCCCTTCCTTCTCTTCTTTCTTCCCTTCCCTTCCCCCTTCCCTTCCCCCTTCCCCCTTCTCCCTCCTCCCTGTCTCTCTCTCTCTCTCTGTCTCTCTCTCTCTTTCTTTTTTTGAGATGGAGTCTCATTCTGTCACCCAGGCTGGAGTGCAGTGGTGCAATTTCAGCTCACTGCAACCTCTGTCTCCCAAGTTCAAGCAATTCTCCTGCCTCAGCCTCCCGAGTAGCTGGGATTATAGGCGTCCGCCACCAAGCCCGGCTAATTTTTTCTATTTTTAGTAGAGACGGGGTTTCATCATGTTGGCCAGGCTGGTCTTGAACTTCTGGTCTCAAGTGATCTGCCTGCCCTGGCCTCCCAAAGTGCTGGAATTACAGGCGTGAGCCACCGTGCCTGGCCTGCAATTCTCTCATTTCGAGACCTGGCTGAACTCTGCCTCACACCTCCTTGTGTGCTTTTGTGATCCTGAGGGATCCGGCTCCCGAGTCCTGACCATATGGGGTCACTCCCAACTACCCTGCTCAGGCTGCCCTGGGCAGGGTGTCAAGGGTCTTGACCTACAAATATCATGAAGCACTTGTAACCCTCCCCATGCCTGGGATGGTTCAGGGGAGGCTATCAGTACCAGCCCAAATGGTTCACTAGCTATGTGAATAAGTGGTTTTGGAAACCAGTTGCCATTTATACCTTAGCTCAGAGGGAAAACACTTCACAGTAGCCAAAGAAAAAGAGGGTAGGGCTGTAAAAAGTCTCCTCTTTCATAGATGCTGGTTCTGGGGATTAAAGAGCTCTAGGAGTCTAGCTCAGGCTTTGGGGCATCTCTCCCCACACCCCACCAAAAATAAAAAAGACCATCTGAACGTTCCTTTTTCTTTTTTTTTTTTTTTTGAGACAGTATCACTGTCACCCAGGCTGGAGTGCAGTGGCACCATCTTGGCTCACTGCAACCTCTGCCTTCCGGGCTCAAGCAATCCTCCTGGCTCAGCCTCCTGAGTAGCTGGGACTATAGGCATGTGCCACCACGCCTGACTACATTTTTTATTTTTTGTAGAGACGAGGTCTCACTGTATTGCCCAGGCTGGTCTTGAACTCCTGGGCTCAAGCGATCCACCCACCTCGGCCTCCCAAAGTGCTGGGATTACAGGCGTGAGCCACCAGGCCCAGCCTCAGCTGACTTTTCAGTCAGCCTGGCCTTTGTTCCAGTTATCCCAATCCAGGGAGATTTCTCAGCCTGGCAACTCATCAGGAACAGCTGGACGGATGCCAACAACAGCCAGTTTCTCTAGTGCACTGTAAACAAGGTGTGAAGTGCTAATCAAACACACGCGTGGCATTTTGGTCAGTTTTTCAAAGCACAAAGCCAGTTGGAGAAATGAGGTCAATTCGTGCTAGAGATGAAATAACAGAATTGCCAACATTCTCTTATTGTGCTTATTAGGCAGGGATTTGTATTTTATCCACAGAGAGAAAGGTTCTAATGGGATTCGCCCTGCATTTAAAAATAGCGACGTGACAAATCATTTAAATCCATGTTTTGTATTTGTATTTGGGATGGTTGCATGTTTTGGTTTCTTCTATTTTGCTTGATTTATTTATTTATTTATTTTATTTATTTATTTTTTTGAGATGGAGTCTCACTCTGTCACCCAGGCTGGAGTGCAGTGGCATGATCTTGGCTCACTGCAAGCTCTGCCTCCTGGGTTCAAGTGATTCTCGTGCCTCAGCCTCCTGAGTAGCTGGGATTACAGGTGCACGACATCACTCCTGGCTAATTTTTGTATTTTTAGTAGAGACAGGGTTTCACCATGTTGGTCAGGCTGGTCTCGAACTCCTGACCTTGTGATCCACCTGCCTCAGCCTCCCAAAGTGCTAGGATTACAGGCGCGAGCCACTGCGCCCGGCCTTGCTCTTGATTTTAAAGGGGTTGTGGACTGGTCTTGTTATTTTTGGGGTTTCCTGTGTGTTGTGTTAGAGTTTAATGAGATCAAACACACTCTAGAGTTGCCCATTAAGTTCACCATCTAAATCAGTTGTCCTTTATGGTAACACAGGATTCACAGAGCAGCAATCTCTTTTTGGGTCAGGCAGCAACCTTTATTTGTGCTCTGCACTTCACCCACATGTTTTTGTCTGGGATATTTCCCCGATCCCATTCTTCTGTTGTTTCACACTACTTGTTGTCCTTCTCTCCCACACCTAGGCAGTTCCAAGCCTGAGCCTTTTCTCTCCCACTGCCACAACCACCATCTCCTCACCCCTGCACTGCCACTGTAGTTTCCACTTGGCCCCACCATGCTCACCCCCTCCCTCTAGTTCATGTCACACAGCAGCTAGAAACATCTTTTGAACACACTCACGTGACCACATCATTTCCCTACTCAACACTCTTCAATGACTTCCCATTGCTGGTACTAGTGACTCAGCAACACTCCATGACACTGAGCTCCTCTGCCCATTGCACCTCCTCCTGCAGGCAGGGGGTCTTGGAAATATTCTAGAACAATATGTCTTGACATAGCAGCCTCCCTCTTCAACAGCAGAATTATACTGGTGAGCCTGGTCTCTCTGCTGCCACTGGTATATAGCAACCACACCAGAGCAGGGTTCGACTGAAGAAGTGTCACTTGCTCACACTGGCTCTTGATGTCTGCACGCCAACTGCACATCACTCCCGTGCAAACAACCCACCTCTCCTCCTGGGCAGTGAAGGGTCGAGTGAATCTTTGCATTAGCACATACGGGATTCCTACTGATCCTTGTTGGCATGGCCACACAAAACACATTTTGGACTCTGTGAACTTATGCTTCTATTTTCTGACCACTGGAATGTGCATTTTCCCCCAATGATCATGATACTTTTAATTCCTTAAGGTCTGTTTTCCCACTAGACCATAAGATCATACTTTTCTGGCATTGCATTTCCAGGCCTAGTCCAATGCTTGGCATGTGGTGGGTGCTCAAACGTTTATTGAAAGCACCTAGCAAACAGTGACAGATATGACTAAACAGAAAATCTAGATTGGCCAAAGCATTTCCCTTTTCTGACTTCAGTTTTGTTCAGGCCTTTTAGTTGATCCATTCCTATTCAATGACCCCTAAATGGGCTTGCCATCTTTGGCTTTTGAGTAGCTGCTCTTGATAGCCTCATGATTTTAGATTTTCCATAGTTTTTCTTCAGGTAAGTTTCACAAGTCAGGAATCTGCTCAGACGGCAGCTTCCCTAATTTTTATCTCTGTACAATAAATTCCACAAAATTATTTCCATTCTGCCAGGTGTGGTGGTTCACGCCTGTAATCCCTGCACTTTGGGAGGCCAAGGTGAGTGGATTGCTTGGGCCCAGGAATTTGAGACCAGCCTGGGCAATGTGGTGAGACCCCATCTCTAAAAAAAAAAAAAAAAAAAAAAAAAAAAAAAAAATTAGCCAGGTGTGGTGGTGCATGCCTTTAGTCCCAGCTACTCGGAGACTGACGTAGGAGGATCAGTTGAGCATGGGAGATTGAGGCTGCAGTGAGCCGTGACCGTGCCACTGCACTCCAGCCTGGGCAACAGCAAGAGAGCCTGTCTTAAAAACGAAAACAAAGTTATTTCCATTCTACAGGACCTACCACATGGGCAGATGAATTATCCTATTGGGGAAACGGATTCAGTCATCTTTGAAATCATCACCTCTCCTCCTGTCTTCCATTTGCCAGTTAGAAAAAACCAAAACAGATCCACAGTATTATGGGAGCAAATCAGAGGTACTCTGAGTTCACTGTTAATGTCTGGAAAGGTATATGCAGCTGTGTTTTTTCTCTACTTGTGTGTTCAGCCCATTTTTGTTACCCTTTGGGTAAGTTCAATCATAATTTCCTCAAAATGTGATGTAATAGCCTGGACTTGAAATAATTTTTGCTATTATTGTCCTCTAGTTTGACAGACCTTCAAAGGCCTTCATTCGCATTGGATATTCAGATTTCTCACTCTGGAATTCAAGCAATAGGCAGCACATGGTGGTAATCGGTCAGACTCTGGAGCCAGATTCTTCAAATCCTCTACTCAGATATGTGACCTCTATGTAAGTTTTTTAAAAATTTGTATTATCTTTTAACCAGCAAAACTAGGATACTACCAACCTTATTGGATTGTTGTGGGGATTAAATGAGTTAATAAGAAAGTGCTTGGGAAAGTGCCTGGCATATAATGGGCATTTGAGACATTATCATTACCTGGTTCTGGTCTGCCAAGAATGTAAACCCCAGAAGGGCAGGAATTTTTGTCTATTTTGTTGCTTACTGTATTCCCAGGGCCTAGAATAGTCCCTGGCACATATTAGATACTCAAATTATTTGCTGAATGAGTTAATCCATTATATATTTATTTATAGCTCAGCCAAACTATAATACTCCCTGATATGGTTTGGCTCTGTGTCCCCACCCAAATCTCATCTCAAATTGTAATCCCTATGTGTTGAGGGAGGGACCTGGTGGGAGGTGTTTAAATCATAGGGGCAATTTCCCCCATGCTGTTCTCATGATAGTGAGGGATTTCTCACGAGATCTGATGGATTTAAAAGTGGCAGTTTCCCCTGCACTCTGTCTCTCTCCTGCTGCCATGTAAGATGTACCTTGCTTCCCCTTCACCTTCTGCCATGACTGTAAGTTTCCAATTCCAGAGGCCTCCCCAGCCGTGCAGAACTGTGAGTCAATTAAATCTCTTTTGCTTGTAAATTACCGGTCTCAAGTAGTATCTGTATAGCAGTGTGAGAATGGACTAATACACTTCCCATTCCTCCAACTATTCTTAGTTTTCCTTACCTAGTGCTTTCTCTGCCACTGACCACTTCTGTTGGGTTAGTCATAACCACTCAATGCCCAGCTTAAATAGAACCTGTACAAGCTTTCCCTGATCATCCTAGGAGGAAGTAATCTTCCCATAGACTGTGCTCTCTCACTACATTGTGTGAACTAACTTCAGCACTTAACAGTCTTACCTTTACTCTTGGTAAGCTCCCTGAGGAAGTTACCATGCCACTTATTACTCAAGTTGGAATATGTTCCAAGTGTGTTTGTTGAGCAAATGTACATGATTTTTTAAAATGGATGGAAGATCTAACCTGTTACAGCATTGTCCTATTGTTGTGGCAATTTTCCTAGGATTCCCTCTGTGTGGAGAGCAAAGTCCTACCTGCAGTGGGGCCAGAGGTAGGGAAGCTCATAACTGAGAAGACAATTTTGAGCCCCAGGGAATACGGTTAGCCTTGTATACAGAAAGCATTTTCCAGTTATGGGCTACCCCCTCAACTTCTAGTCATCTCACAGCCATAGTGTGGGATTTAAACCTAGGTTTGAGGCACACAATTAGGAATTGTAATAATTATGTCTTATTTGATCTTGGTATGACCAAACAAGGAGATCATATGTGGGAGCATCTCAGTAATTACAGAATATTAAAATACTGAAAAACAAATAGCATACTTATAAAATTGAAGATGGTGTGCATCTTAATGACAGAACAAGACAGAGCCTCATGTACTTATGCAGATGCCCTGGGTAGACCTACTCAAGTTTGAAGGACTATTTTGAATTATTCAATAATACTATGTCTTTAAACAAGATGATATTGAGAAAAGGTCATAGTGATTTTAAAATACAGTATCACTTTTAAGGAATGTTAACGGTTTACCAGTTGCTTTTATAACACTTTGATCTTCTTTATCAGTGTCTTGAGATAGTGCAAATTGTAGTACGTTCACTTTACCCCTGATGGAGAAAAAGTCTGAGAGACTCCAAATCCCACAGTAAGTGATGGCAGTGGGACACCAACTTAATTGGAATAATCTGCCTTTCAAATTTGTCATAGTGACCAGGATAGAACAACAAAACTATGAGAACACTGGAGATGTTCAGGTATTGAGAATTTTTCTTCAGTGATTTTGGAAGACTGATAGGGATTTAGTCAAAGTTTTAGCTCAAATCAGTGGAAAATTTCCTCAGCAACATCCTGAATTTGGGGTAGGGTTTGCCACTGCATTCCAGATAAAGATGTGGCCTCGAAGGTGAGCTGTGAGTTGGCTGTTAAGCACCCGTCACCCCCATCCCCGCCCGCTGCCCCTCAATGAAGCATCAGCTGTTTTCTGAATGACACTAAATGGGCTTAGGCTGGTTTTCTGAAACTCCCATAGCAGAATTCCACAGAAATTCCTTTGGCCTAGAATACAGAAAAGCTATGCTGTCTTTCAATGATTTGGACTGTAAAAGAACAACTAAATCTCAAGTCCACATTCTTCACTGGGCAGTCCCATTTGGGATTATTTTACAGGGCTCAACAGACTTACTAGTGCTCAGAGACAAAACACCTCAGCAAATGGCCTCCTTTTGGAAGATGATGCACATGTGGTTTTTGTGGTGTGACTTCAAATTACCTAACAGTCTGGCTGTCCCTGAATATGAGCCATTGTATCTCTTATAAAATCTAAGGTCTTAATTCACGGTCATCCAAGTGATCAGTCTTATCTAGTTGTGATCCTAGTATCATTTAGAATCCACTGGGCTACAGCCCATGAGGCAGATGCCTCTGCTGAACTCTGCCTGCAGATGTGTTTACCTCCTCTTCCTTTTTTTTTTTTCCCCCTGAGACAGAGTCTCGCTCTGTTGCCCAGGCTGGAATGCAGTGGCGCGATCTCAGCTCACTGCAACCTCCGCCTCCTGGGTTCAAGCAATTCTCCGTGCCTCAGCCTCCCCAGTTGCTGGAATTACAGCTGCCTGCCACCGCAGCCAACGAATTTTTGTATTTTTAGTAGATACGGGGTCTCACCATGTTGTCCAGGCTGGTCCTGAACTCCTGACCTCAGGTAACCTGCCTGCCTTGGCCTCCCAAATTGCTGGGATTACAGGCGTGAGCCACCGTGCCAGGCTTTACCTCTTATTCAGTAGAAAAAAGTGCCAAATACAAGTTGCTGAGAGGTTCCCTGAAGGAGGAGGAAGTGTCTTTAGCTAGGTTTCCCAATGGCTGCATCACTAGTGAAGCTCAGCTTTGAGTAGCTGGCTTCAGTAGCTCTTGGTGATAGCACTGATAGACAGGAGATTTTCTCTCAGATCCTGCCATTTAATCCAGATCCTTGAGAAAATTAGTTCAAGTTTGCCAGATATGCTATCATTTTAATTGTGTAAATCCACTGTAACATAAAAACCCGATTTGAAACAGAACAAATGCTTTAAAAGGAACTGAGATGTGGGGCACGGCGTGGTGGCTCAGGCCTGTAATCCCAGCACTTTGGAAGGTGGAGGTGGGCAGATTGATTACTTGAGCTCAGGAGTTTGAGACCAGCCTGGACAACATGGTGAAACCCCACGTCTCTACAAAAAATACAAAAATTAGCTGGGTGGGTGGCGCAAGCTGCTTGGGAGGCTGAGGCACGAGAACTGCTTGAGCCCAGGAAGTGGAGGTTGCTGTGAGCTGACATTGCGGCACTGCACTCCAGCCTGGGTGACAGAGCGAGACCCCGTCTCAAAAAAAGAAAAAAAAAAAAAAAAAGAACTGAGATGTGGCTTCTAATAATATCCCAAGTAAAATTACAACCAAATGTGAAGTTTAACTCATATTTTATATAGATTCTATGAAGGTCGTGGGAACTATAATTCCACAAAAATATACCTGGGACAAGATGTAAGGAAACGTGGGGAAAGGTATGTCACAACCCTAAGAAGTTTTTACAAGTTCCTTTTACAAAAAAATCAAGCCCTGTCCACTAACTGAGTGCAAACCAATACCAATTTCACAAAGTTACAGTACCTCTAGTTCTTGTTTCTTTAACAGTTAAAGTTTGTTTTTAAGTTAACTAGACTAGGTGTTCAAAAATTTTACAGAAGTAGACCCTTTGCTAAGAGGTCTCCAAATAATTGCTTTCAGTGGCAAAGATACTAGGTTTTTTGTTTCTAACAGGATCATAGCAGCTTGTAAGTCAGGTCACTTTGGGAGTTTTGTTTTTTGTTAAAATACGGCAGACTTTAATTCAGAATACCTTTTCAGTGTCATTTTGTTTTGCTCATGTCTTGATTCTGCAACTGTTTTCATTTGTGGCAGTATTAAGGCTATGTTTATGGTTAAGAAATTATCCATTTTACCTATGTCAGAGCTTTTTGTGTTCAAGGTAGCAAAACATATTTTATGTGTGACTTGGAAAAACTGTAGTACTAAATGTCACCGACTTCTCATCTGAATTTTAATTTAGTAGTTAAGCTTTAAATCAAAAAAGATTTATCACAAAGTTCTCATGGCTAAAAAAGACTAAGTGCCAACAGTTTAAAGTTGAATAGGGATGACATGGCAGACATCCTGCCAGAGCTACTGTTGATTCCAACAGCGTTAGCACATGTGGAACCCCGGAGCCAGGAATTTACCCGCAATAAAGCCAGGTTTTCTGTCAGTAAAACTGATGATTACAGAAGCAGGGAGAGTCTGGCTGCCATTAGAGAAGGTAAGAAAACATCATCAGCTCCTTGGGGCTGCCTTTCTTTTGTAACCTCAGCTGTCAAGAAATGGAAATCGGGGTTGGGGAATTAAACAAAACCCCCAGTCTACCGATCACTTCTGCAGTAGTCACCTAGGTTTCCTTTCACTAGTAGTTACTGATCTCTCTCCCCCTCCCCCTCCCTCTGGAAGACTGTTTTCTTGCTTATTGCAGCTGAGCAATTCACTTACTGAGCTGTTGAACTTTAATTTGGGGTCTAAGAAAAACATTATGTAAATCATGTTTTAAGTATGACTACTATACTTCTCAAGTATTTGGAATGTTCCTCCTTGTTCTCGTTAGAGGCTATTCCCAAATCTAAATACATTTTTCTGAGTATTCTGTTAAACTCAGAGTTAACTAAAGATGGTACAATTCTGGTTCAGAGATCCAGAATGAAGGCAGATTCACATTACTGGGCTTCACACCATCTGACAAAAAGTGTACCACCGTGGAGCAACAAGCACAGTGTCTACAGACACAAGGTATGGTTTTGAGCCAAGATGTACCACCACTATATCTGAACTACAAAAAGGAAATAATCAATTTCAAGCTACACGAAATTAGTGTTCTAACATAAAGAAATTATATATTGTAAAATATGAAGCATTTTCAGATTTGCCTCACCAAAATAGATGTGTCAATAATTGAAGCTATTATACACGCAAACACAGAAATCAATCTTTTTTTTTTTTTTTTCTGAGATGGAGTCTCGCTCTGTCACGCAGGCTGGAGTGTAGTGGCGTGGTCTTGGCTTACCGCAGCCTCTGCCTTACGGGTTCAAGTGATCCTCCCACCTCAGCCTCTCAAGTAGCTGGGATTGCAAGCATGCACCACCATGCCCAGCTAATTTTTGTATTTTTAGTACAGATGGGGTTTCACCATGTTGACTAGGCTGCTGTCGAACTCCTGACCTCGGGTGATCTGTCCGCCTCAGCCTCCGCCCACAATGCTGAAATTACAGGCGTGAGCCACCACGTCCAGCCATCTTTAAAGATACTCAAATCTACTTCTTATTCAAAGGTCAGGACCTACCACTTCAATTTGTGAATGTTTTTATTTATAAGCCAGTAAGTAATGCTTTTTACTAATATATAATATTCTCTCATGACCTCCAAAATAGAACAGAATATATATATATTCTCAGCCTCCCGAGTAGCTGGGATTACAGGCATGCGACACCACGCCCAGCTAATTTTGTATTTTTAGTAGAGACGGGGTTTCTCCATGTTGGTCAGGCTGGTCTTGAACTCCCAACCTCAGGTAATCCGCCTGCCTTGGCTTCCCAAAGTGCTGGGATTACAGGCGTGAGCCACCACGCCTGGCCTGAGAGAATATATTAAAGAAGTAAAACCAAAGGCCATTCTGAAAGACAGTGCCATGTTCTTATGTTCTCAGTGTCCTCTGTGCCGTCACATGTAGTGAAGTCATTTAAGAATCAAGCAGACGCAGTTCTGCTTAGACACTACCACGGATGAGGATGGTGTATGTGAAGAGTAAGAACACAAAGTTAAAAGAATTATATATCCATACTTCAAAAGTTCCAAATGTCAAGCCTAACTTAAAGCACAACGAAACTTAAGTTTAACTTGTCTTCCCAGTTACTACTGTAATCACCTTTTATTGCCAGTTCTTGTTCTATTGGAAGACCAGTAAGAAGCCAAAAAAAAAAAAAGTTTCAAATATCAATTGTTAAAAACAACAAAGAAGAGTTTAAGGAAAGAATATATTTGAACCACATAAACAAACAAAAAGGTATTACATAAGAAAAAATAATGTAACAATTTATGTAAGTACCTAACATATGAGCATGCTCTTACATCTAAAACAAAAAATAAAAAGGTAACATTGGTACTATATATATATATTTGACAAGTGTGCATTAAAGAATTCTCTAATATAAAACATTTAAAATGTGGAGAATACTTTTTCAAGATACAGAAAACAATTGTTATGATAGGCACACCCACAATTCTTATAACAACATGCTTGCGAGGATAAAATCCACCTGAGCACTCATTTCTCAGATGTACCAACGCTAGAAAAGTGTTAAGCACTGAATATTGCCACCCACTTTTGCAATGTTTGAGTTTCAACACTGATTGGTATGAATTCTGAATTACACAATTAATTACTGTTATTTTTCAGTCTTTCTGCCATGTTCCATATAGAAGGCATGTATTTAATATGAATACTTAACACAGCAACATTATTTGTAGCAAAGTCACTTCCCTGTGTTCATTTTTCCTTTAAAGGCACTACATTTAGAAAAGTTATTACAACAAATAGTGCTTTGGAAGATCTGAAACTCCAAATCAATGTGCTCCATCAACCATAAGTAGATCTAAGAAGCCCTGACTGAAAATAACACAAATGTAAAAAGTTGATAAATTTAAAGATTATAAAATTGGTTTATTGTAAAAGCAATTCAAGAATACCCAGTTAAAATCTTATCCCAATGCTACCCAATACAACCAAGAAGCAGTTAAGCACTTTTACATTAGGAACAAGGACATAAAACAAGAGACCACATCAAGGCTATGATTCAAACTCAAAAAGGGAAAGGACTCTTAGGTCTCCTTCAGGTCAGTACAGAGGGCATCGTAAGATCAAAGCACTGTGCCAGGTATCACAGTACTGCTACAACACTGAGGTATAACTGGGCAAATTAAAGTTGAGGGGTAAAGGAAGATCTCCATATTCATATTGTTTTGTGGGTGTACTTAGGTGACTGAAACTCTAGAACAGCTGCCTTTAATGGCAGCACGGTGTAAGACAAGTCTTTATTAAAGAGAAAGAAGTTTATAAAGTTCTCTATCAAGGTCCCCCTAAATCTTCACAACCCCCCCCCCAAACTTTCCCACCCTCCCCCTAAGCTAAAGCTAATCTGCTGATATATAAGATATAATCTTAATCTGTGGCTACTGGCAAATTATAGGCACTCCTTCCAAGTAGCTTTGATCTTCTGCACATTAAAAAAAATCCCAACAACATGCTATGTAATTC
Organism: Homo sapiens; assembly: GCF_000001405.40. Taxonomy (NCBI): domain Eukaryota; kingdom Metazoa; phylum Chordata; class Mammalia; order Primates; family Hominidae; genus Homo; species Homo sapiens. The sequence continues at coordinate 102,232,124 of NC_000011.10, read as the reverse complement.
ATATACCCAATTTTGCATTCTAGGTAGAATTTCATTACTACTCTAAAACTCCATCTGCAGTGGCCATTTCCCCCCAGACTTAATTCAAGATTTAATCTTTCTGCTGTTTTCTTAATAAAAGCCTTAGAGTCAATTATTATGAGTGATCAACCTATGAACTATTATATACAACACAGTGATTGCATTTTTTTGAGCACTGAAAGTACTTAAAATAAAACTTCTTACTTCCAACTTTTGCCCTCCTCCAAATTGAAGGGCCAAAATACTTAGATTTTGTAATTGGGGGGAAAAAAATCTATCTTCCCAAGCTGAGGCTTTTCATAGCAGCTTTTGCCAGGAGAAGAGATTTTATGCCTGTTATGAACCCTTGAAAATAAGGGCTTATTCTAGAAACATTGAAAGACCCTTAAAACACAGAGGTGCTAGCTGGTGCCACTTTAATTCACAACCAACTATTACTTCATAGCTTATATTGAAGAGTTAATTCATGCTCGTTTTGTTCCTTTAAAAAATACTCTTTGGAAACCATTATTACTCCTGTAGACACATACTCTAGTTACATCATCTCTTCCTGTAAAAATAAAGGTATAATCATGATTATCTCTATTTCTTTGCTAAATTCAACTACCAATATACATTTATTAATCTGATCACTTTTCCAGCTAACTCAAAACCTTATAGTATTCTATCCAGGGTCAATTTTCAGCATAGAAGTAGGAGCAAGTCTTGTAAGTAAGAACAATCTTGAAGGCAATATTTTAATCTAGTCGTTAATGTGTTCATTACAAATGAGAACTACAAACTAGAATTTACTTCCAAAACTAAGGCAAAGAAAACTTCCAAAGCTAAATGAAGGTAAACCACTATAAAGCTTATTTCTGTCATGCACATTATGAACCTACTCACTGAATTCCAATCGAGACTTAAAAATTAGTCCAAGGGAGAAAATAAAGCCATTTCTGGTTTGCTCCTTTCCAATTCATCAGATAATATCTACCGTATGCCCAGAGGGCGTGGAGCACTCCCCTAGGCACTATCCACAGTAATAGCTCTTTCTAGAACACTAAACTACTTCAAACATCTGCAGACTGCCCCAACCAGATTTAAACTACCAGTGAAATATAAACTACTAGTCATGTATTCTAAATGCATACAAAGCGCTACCATTTTAAAAATTAACTGGAAAGCAGGGAAACCTAAAAAAGGATACATTCCACTACCACACTATTATAAATGTTATGTTTGGGTGTGTGTATGTATATAAAAGAGAGAGCAGATAATCGAGATTTAAATAAGGTGGTAAAAAAAACCAGGAAATGAAGATTTTACCAAAACAACTACAATAACCATCCCAAGCTACAACTATTAACAGATTCACTAATATGGTCATTTGCCTAGGTTCCGACAAAACCAACCAACCAACCAACCCCCCCACCGACCCTGCCAAAAACAAAAAAAACAAAAAACCCAACAAAACAGAACAAAATGCACACCCACAAAATTATCCACCAAAATCTATATTAGAGTATGTGGCAATAATTAATATATTTATATGGAAATTGTCTCATGCCTTATAAGCTCCTAAAATAAAATCAAGGTCATTATGTGACTAATGATAGCACTAGGAGGAAAAGAAAATACTGAAAGTAAAACAGTCTTCAGCCTTGGTTTCAGCTATCTCTTCAAATCAGCATTAAGTATTTAATATCAGATATAACATTTTTGGCTTGTCAGACCAGTAAATCATGTTTTTCCACTGGACAAAGGAAGCTGAAGAAACAACTGTTGAACAAACTAAATGCTGTGACATGAAGCATCTGACTTCTAAGTCTGAGTATTTAGTTAAAATGATTGGTGAACATTTAACTGGGCAAAAGGAATGGCATCCATCATCCAAACAGGCTCACTTCCCCCAGCCCCCAAAATGAACAGTAGTTTTAATAGCAAAAGAAATAAAAAGTTTTTTTCTTTTGATTCTTTAGAGCCAACTGTGAAAGAGGTCAGCAATACATTAACAGCAGCAATGGACAAGGAAGAGCAAAATAGAGGATTAAAGTATCTTGCTGGACGTTTGTTCATCTTTTTCTGTATTAGCCTGAAAACTGCAACTGGCTTATGGAAATTTCCGGTGCATGTGTCTCCTTAGATCCTTCACAGATTTAGAATTCAGTCTGCCTGAGGGCTCTATAACCATGTAAGAAAGCTTTCTTTATCTAGCTTGGTGGCAGCCAAAACAGACTCCATGTCATTAAGGATGTCAGAACTCAAAGCTTCCTGCAGACTTGGCATCAGCTCCTCTCCTTCTATGTTCATTCCATCTCCTTCCAGTGTTCCAAGGTCCACATTTGTCCCAGGAATGGCTTCAAGGTAGTCTGGGAAACGGTTCTGCTGTGAGGGCAGGGTGCTTTGGTTGATAGTATCACCTAGTGGAAACACACAGAGATAACAAAGTCCTTTTTGAAAAGCTAACATCAGGGCTGTATCATATGAGCACAGAGAAATGCACAGGGAAAGAAAAGCGCTCCTGACTGACCTAAACTGATACCTAGAATTTATATCAGGTCAAACAACTCACAGATAACAAAATAACAATGCCAAGTTTACTTTTGCTTCAACATTGTTCAGATATCCAATAACAGCTTGATTGCTATTATGTGCTGAGCACTAAAGGAGTCATGAAAAAAATAAAAAAGCCCTTGAAAAATTATATGCAGCAGCGGGAGAAAGAACAAGTACACAACACGACAGCATCACTACCCTGTCTTCCAGATAAGCACCACCATAATAAGACTAAACATAAACATGAGTGGTATAGACCTACCTTGGCCTTAAATATACTTTGGGAAACACTAAAATAGAAAGACTGCAAGAATACTTTATTCTACCCTTAGGAGATGCACCTTCCTAACAGCAAAACAAGCCTTCCCAGAGGGCTTTGAATAAATCCATCTTCCTAGCCTTGCTTCTAGGTTTCCCAAACTTACTTGGCCACAGAGCCTTTTTTGCATATGACAACATTAACACTCCTCAGAGCTTCAATAGAACATACTTTCAGAAAAACTAACATAAACCATTAAGTGCTACAGGGGTCTGGAGAAGAGAGCAATACAGATTAGAGGAGTAAGTAAAGGTGTTGTGTGTGAAATGGGTTTGAAGTGGCTCCTAAGGATGATTTAACATCTAGATAATCAGAGAGGAGGGGTAGTGTGGATTCTAGAAAGCATCAAAGCCAGGAGCTGGATGAATACAGGCACAAAAGCCTTGCTAAACACTTTCAGAATAGAAGCAGTTAGTGAAAGAGTTGGTAGCTAAAGAACAGCTTCATTTCCCTGCCAATTCATGCACTCTGGCAGTTGTCAACTCTAGGGCAATGGTTGCCAGGTAAGCCACAGGAGAAATGCTTCCGTAATTACCCCTGTGAGGCAGGTATTTCTTAGCTCCTGCAAGACCCCTGCAACTATTCTTTTTTTTTTTTTTTTTTTTTTTTTTTGAGACGGAGTCTTGCTCTGTCACCCAGGCTGGAGTGCAGTGGTGTGATCTTGGCTCACTGCAACCTCCGCCTCCCGGGTTCAAATGATTCTCCTGCCTCAGTCTCCCGAGTAGCTGGGATTACAGGTGCATACCACCACATGTGGCTAATTTTTATATTTTTAGTAGAGACAGGGTTTCACCATGTTGGCCAGGCTGGTCTTGAACTTATGACCTCACGTGATCTGGCTACCTCGGCCTCCCAAAGTGCTGGGATTACAGGTTTAAGCCACCGCACCTGGCCTTCTGCAACTATTCTAACAAAGTAAGTGAGCCCCACCTCCTAGTCTTTCCCACCTGGTTTCCTGAGCCCCATAACACTTAAGGTGGACCAAAAACTCTTAGAGAAAAGATGAAGACAAACACTGAATTACATGTAGACATCTCTCAAAATTAAGGACACTAATCTATAAGGAGAGAGATGTTCTAACAGGGTTGTCAGTTTGTCCTGCCAATTAAGATCAACATGCTAACATAAGTCATGTTATCAGAGTTTTATTCAAATAGAGCTAATATATCCAATTTATGATTTTTTTTTTTTTTTTTTGAGAAGAGGTCTCATTCTGTCACCCAAACTGGAGTGCAGTGGTGTGATCACCGGGGCTCAATCCATCCTCCCACCTCAGCCTCCTGAGTAGCTGGGACTACAGGCATGTACCATGACAGCTGACTTATTTTTGTATGTTTTTTTATAGAGATGGGGTTTCACCATGTTGCCCAGACTGGTCTTGAACTCCTGGGCTCAAACAATACACCCACTTTGGCCTCCCAAAATGCTGGAATTAGAGGCATGAGCCACTGCACCCGGCCAATCCATGATATATATTTTTTTAAACTAGGAAAAGACAAGTTACAAATCACCGTATAGAGACAAAGCAGGATCAATTTAATTCAAATTTACAGGATTTTAATTGGTTTTCTTCTGAATCATCTTTGCTTACAATACCTTATGAGACCTGGTGATAACATATCCCACTGTTAAGTCAGGTTACTAAGAGGAATAAAGAATACCAACCTGTATCCATCTCATCCACACTGTTCAGGAAGTCATCTGGGGTTCGAGGGACACTGTAGCTGCTCATGCTTAGTCCACTGTCTGTACTCTCATCTCGAGAGTGATAGGTGCCACTACATAAACATGACAGTTAAAGACCAACACAAAAAATTTTAAAAATCAATTCAAGGTAAAAATAAACACCTGCTGAGCAGCAACATAATTCTCAAAGAGGATTAGTGAAAATTCCTGTCCTGCAATGTCTGAAACAAGCACCCTCCCTCAGGGCCATAGACAGGGCTTGTGCTATGAAGTGAAATAGACAAGTTAATCCTAATTGAAGCTGGCAGCTCTAAGGAACCAAGATTTCTCCTAAGGTTCTGTGCTTGGTGACAATAAGGGACAAAAAAAGATACCCCCAGTTAGTTTTCCTGGCTGACAGAAAATTCTCTGCATCAGTATTCTCCTCTCTGTAATATCATTTGAATCTGGGGGTGCGGAGGAACCCATACAACTTACTTGTCCCAAGGCCTCAATTCTCCAGGTGGTGGTGGCACAGAGACGTCACAACACAAACTCCAGGTGGGCGAGGAGACAGGTCTGCACTAGACTCAAGTTAAATTCCTAGCTATTGTGCAGAGAACATAAGCCAAGGAAAAATCAACCCCAAATAAACCACCAGAATTCCTTTTAGGACTGAGCCAAAATAGGTGAGTCACTGCCAATAAGATAAGAATACTCGTGGCTTGATCTCCTTGCTTCTGTGTTTGGGCGGGGGAGGAAAAAGCCTCAAACACTTCAGTACGAAACGAAACGGGAAATCATATAGCTCCAGTTAAAGAAAAGAGCAAAACAAAAAACTGCAAGGCACATCCCTTGAAAATAAAATGACCCAACACAGATTTTCACTTTAGACTAAGTAAGGTTTCCCAGATTTACATTAAAAGTATGGTAAATATCCATTACCCTGAGAAATAGAACACTTTCCTAAGCTAGTAGCATCTAGACATCAGCTGGCATTCCCTGAGTTCTACTAACTCTACAAAATCTTAGAGAAACGCATAAAATCAAGGCAGCTGTTATTCTTCAATGGTCTGTGTGAGTGTGAACTTCAACTTTCTCTACGGCTTGTACATTTAATAAGCAGCTATTTAACTTACATAAAAGTTAAAAAATAAAAACAAGTTTAACAATTGCTCAAGGCTAAAAGCTCAGTCAATACCCCAACTGCCTTCCCTAAATGATGCAATGCATTTGCCTTGTTCTCTCTCTCCCCTCATTCTATATACTGCCATCACTGGTTTACTCTAATGCTTCTGCCAGATTTTGCCAAGGCTCAAAAGCCTCACACAGATCCAAGAAAACACACATTTGCCTCTGAGACCATTGGTATACAATGCAGCCATATATGAGAAGGCCTCAGGATGTGGTTTGTTTGTATTTTGCCTGCCCTGATCTGGGACAAGAGCCTGGTCCTAGTCATCACTCTATTCGGCTGCTAAGCATGGGACACACATCAGACATTTTAGTCTATTACTGAATAACTGAACTTACAGAGTTGCGCAGAGTTCATTCCAAACCACAGGGGAAGCACATGGGCATTCCTGAGGACAGAGTTTACAGGGCCATTTTCCTGGTGAGGAACTGCTCCCTGCAGAACCCCACTTCCTACAGGCCCCACTCATTCAGTAAACATTCACTGAGCATCTGCTACTACATGACAGGCATTAGACTAGGCTTTGAGGATAAAGAGGTTAACAATCACCACCACCTACAAACAATGTTTTGTGAGAGGCTCACAACTTCAAGGAGGGAAATGAACAAATATACTAATGAATCATATTTAGGGGCTATATGAACTCAGATGTAAGCACAGTGCTTTCAGAACAAACAGGGAGCTTAGAAGTAAAGGGTAAAAGTTTCATGGAGGGGGACATCTGAGTGAGCTTTGAGGGTAAAAGTAAAAGGGAACTAAGGGAACTCAGCATTACTACTAAGAGTCAATGCCAAGGCAAGTTGGGGCAAAAAGTATTTAGAGCTTAAGGAATATACATAAATCAAATAGTAAACAAGGGAAAAACCATCAAGAGGTTTTTTTGTTTGTCTTTTTGTTTTTTGAGACCAAGTTTCACTCTTGTTGCCCAGGCTGGAGTGCAACGGCATGATCTCGGCTCACCGCAACCTCTGCCTCCCGGGTTCAAGCGATTCTCCTGCCTCAGCCTCCCGAGTAGCTGGGATTATAGGCATGCGTGACCATGCCCAACTAATTTTGTATTTTTAGTAAAGATGGGGTTTCGCCATGTTGGTCAGGCTGGTCTCGAACTCTTACCCCAGGTGGTGGTCCACTTGCCTTGGCCTCCCAAAGTGCTGGGATTACAGGCATGAGCCATCATGCCCAGCCAAGAGTTGTTTTTTTTTTTAAAGAAAAAAAAAGTCAAAGTCAGATGTATGTTATTATTAGAAACTGGGGGTACTGCAGAGAATGCATATACAATTCTGCCCTTAGATTAGTAACACTGATTATCTGCCACTCTGATCTTCCCAGAAAATAGAATCTCAAATTGTAGCCCAGCTCTCATCAAAAGTTTTAAGAAAAAAAATCTTCATAAGTGACTGTCAGAAGGATATGCAGCCTATCCATTTTTAAAATGGTCTAATTTTTATCCCTGGGATTAATATAGCCCCTTCAACAAGACAGGTACTGGAATTACATGGATATGAAATTTTCCTTGTTGGAAAAAAAGTTCTGAGGCTATGCCTCTCTTAATTAGCCTCAGTTTAAGTCTAGAACTATAATCTTATATAAATACACTTACTTTTAGAACTTTAAAGTGTATGTCAGAAGAGTAAATACAAACTTAAAATACATTTTAGATGGTCTTCAAAATCAAACCTTCCAACTAGGCCACCAGTACTAATCTTAAAAACTGAGTAAATGGTGAATTCTATTGCACTAAATACTTTTAGCAGGATAAGATATTTTCTCTTGGAATTACTAAGTTTCCAATTCAATTGGTGAGAACTGAAAAGGTGGTGTAATAGTTTTCCTAGTGCAAAATACCTTTGAGTATTTAAGAAAGTGTGTTATTTAAATCAGTTAGAAAAGGAATCCAAAGCGTAAACTAATCCCATATTTTAAAAAGTTTGAAACTCCACAACCTAGAAGAAGGAATTTTAGTTAAATCTTAATCTTAAATGACTTCCTAGGCAAAGAATATGACCTGTTTCAGCTTACAGACTTCAAAATGGCAGTTTATGTAATATTGCAATCTGTCTGAAACCCAGGATTTGTGGTAACTCACTAAGAAGCATCCCTAAGCTATGTTATTTTCAAATACTGCCGTTAATCTTAGTGCATTTTTGAAAGAGGCACAACCTTACATTTTATCTCCTTGGACTATAGCCCTTAAGAACATGAGGCCTTACAGTGCTGCTGGGTGAAACGTTTTAGCTTGAATAGCTATGTGGAAAATTCCTTCCAGTGATCCTTATAATGCAATCCTAAGTAGGTTTAACATGAAATTCATTTGCTTTCACAGAAAGGCATTCACATGTTCCTTCATGATTCTGTAATTTTAAGTAACTGTTAGTCAACAGTATAGGCAGAAGCAAACACGTCATGACTTTGAATAAGTATCCCTTGTACAAGTCTGAACAGTTCACTTCCTCTCACAGGAGACAACTTTTAATCCTCAACTCTGCATGTACTTGCCATTTACAGAGAGATTCATTTACAGCTATGGTTTTTGGCCCACACAGATGTTCCAAATAGCCTATTACAAGCACTAAGCAGAATGATTTTAAAGCAATGATCCTTTTCAGATATTCACCAGTAGCAACTTTCACCAACCTGTTAAGGAAAGGATCTGAGCTATTGGTCGTCATTGTTCTCAATTCCTGAGACATCCCGGGAGAAGACACTGGATTTTGAGTCCCACCATCCTGCTCCAGTGTTGGTAACTGGCTACGCAGGGCTAACTCCTAATTAAAAATAAAGCCAAAGAGAATCAATCTACTGATTAACACATTTAATGTTAGGTTTAAAGAAATAAAACGTTCATCAGAGTAACCGTGCAGATAGATTAAAAACATCTACTTTAAAGTTAATACATTTCCCAATCAGAATGACCTAATTCTATCCATTTCAAATGACTAAAAATTAAGTTACATATATTTAAAGTCTGTCTAGTCATATTAACCACCCCCCACCCTATATACATTTTGCTACTTTGTTTTCTTTTTGTTATTTTCCTTACTCTGGAAGATACTCCCAAATCCTCCTTTGGGTTATTATAGAATGGCAAGTCTGGTCTTTAAAAAAAAATTCTTCTTTTTTTTTTTTTTTTTTTGTTCTTCAAGACGGAGTCTCACTCTGTCACCAGGCTGGAGTGCAGTGGTGCAATCTTGGCTCACTGCAACCTCCGCCTCCTGGGTTCAAGTGATTCTCCTGCCTCAGCCTCCCGAGTAGCTGGGACTACAGGCACGCACCACCACGCCCAGCTAATTTTTTGTATTTTTTTTAGTAGAGACGGGGTTTCACCATGTTACCCAGGATGGTCTCGATCTCTTGACCTCGTGATCCACCCGCCTTGGCCCCCCAAAAGTGCTGGGATTACAGACGTGAGCCACCGCGCCCGGCCCTAAAAAAATAATTCTTAAAGTTTGCTTTTACTCGACAACTCTTATATGGTTTTGTGTGTTTGGAACCCCCCGACCCCCTCCCCCGCCAAAAAAAAAGAAGTAGGAAGAATAGCATCTGATGATTTTACTATAAGACACCAATCCTTCCCCAACCCCCAACACTATTTCACACTTTGCTATTAAATGTCTCATTTTGACTTTAGGTTTTTCTATCCTGAGCTGGATAGAATATGTTCCATCCTCTAGCAGGGAGAGAGGAGGAAAATGAAAAAAAGACATCAGAAGTTAAAACACAAACCCAAGGCTTCTCCACCACAAACATAATATTTAAAATGGGGTAAAATTTCTTCAGGGTCATCCAACAATTTCTCAGCAGGATTCTCCCTGTAAACCTGAGCAAAGGCTGTAGGTTGCTACTCTGATGGTTGCAGAAGGCCTGCCTTCAAGGGCTTCCAAACCTCCCAGGTTTCAGCCTGTATTTGCCCAGGACCTCAAAAACAGTTCATCTCACTGTGACCCATCCGTAGCACACTCATTACTACTCTGTCCTTTTTCTCTCCTTTATCTGTTCACTGTTTCTTACCCTCCTAAGAATTTTCACTGTGCCTCTCCACCTATCGTAAACATCATCTCTACTAGACCATCAGCTTTCTTTCCCTCTACTTTTTGGGTTTGATTTGAAATACATACAGTTTCTTATCACAAAGGATACTGGCCTGACTCCGTCATCCTTCCACACAGCTTTCTGAGCCAAGTCTGCTCACTGAGGCACGGCCCCACCATCTCCAGCCCTCACCTCCACAATCGCCATGGGGTCCTGAAGTATGGAAAGCTTCTCCTAGCTCTACGCTGCCACTTCTAAACTACAATTCTCCTGCATGCAAATACCACTTATTTTTCTTTAGGTTTATGCCTTCTGGATATACCATCCTTTAAACCAGAGTTTCTTAACCAGCGGACCATGACAGAATTCAGAGAGTCTCTGAACTTCAATGGGGTAAAAAAAAAAAAATTACACATTAACTTTCGCTAAATTTGTCAACATTTTCTCCAATGTAGTATGCACCATTAGTATTCACTGTACCTAACTTTTCACCAATAGAACATATAAATGTTTTCATATCACATTGTAGTTGTTGCAAATATTTTAAAATACCATTTATGATCATTGCTATTTCAATGCTACAGTAGTTACGTTATAAGATGTGCTTCTAGATTTTTTTTTTTTTTAATCTTTTTGAGACAGGGTCTCACTCTGTCACCCAATCTGGAATGCAGTGATGCAATTATAGCTCACTGCAGCCTTGACCTTCTAGGCTCAAGTGATCCTCCTGCCTCAGCCTCATGAGTAGCTGCAGCCACAGAGGCACACCACCATACCCAGCTAATTTTTTGTATTTTTGTAGAGACAGGGTTTTGCCATGTTGCCCAGCTGGTCTCAATCTCCCAGGCTCAGATGATCTACCCTCCTTGGCCGCCCAAAGTGCTGGCATTACAAGCATAGGCCACTGCACCCAGCCTTAGATCTTGTTATTTATACATTAAAAAGAAGCACGTTATATCACAAGTTTCTATTTAATATTTTCTTAACTGTATCAATGAAATTCCTTTTCTTTTCAATCCTGTACTTTAAAAAAAAACAAACACCAATGTCCTGAGAGGGAACCTAGGGACTTGGCCAAATGCCAAAATTGTTTGCCTGTCTTCCCTGCAAGGTAAACTGCTTCTTGTACTCAAATTTACTGATCTCTTCGTTACTCCATCTTATATACGGGAAAATTCTGGAGTCTGGTCAAAGCCTCTTGCCACTCCAAGTATTCTCCATGCCTCTTAACATGCTTCAGTATTAAATGGACAATTCACTTAACCTGACAGCTTCCTGAACCTTCTGGATTCCAGTGACCTTCATCTCCACTCCACTCAAACACCCATTGCACAGCCACTAAGATCCTGTTATTTGAAACCAAACCAACTCTAAAATCTTAAGTCATGTTTTGAGACGATGATCAGTGTTTCTCTTCATTCCAACTGCATTCATCACATTGGAATTATGACCTCCATGCATAAAACCCATATAATAACCCATTGTTGAAATGCCGGGATCGCCTTTACACCGAAATGATACTGACCACTTCATCACTGTATTTCAATCATTAATTCCCTCAGTCATACCCAAGAACTGGCTTAGAAACTTCTCTCCCCAAAATCTTACATGCACTTATTTTACTTTCTCACATTTTTTTCTAACCAGTTCCTGCATAGACTCATGTCCACTCTACCAGCCCTCCAACCTCAGAGACTCCAGACCCATCTCTCCTTACTAGTCTAGTCTATTGGCTGTCTTTTGGTATCTTATTTTTTTTTCTCCTTCCCTACAAGCTTAAATTCATGACTGATCATTCAAAACAGCATAAGCACCTTTTAGATTCCTGATGTACATATAATTTTATCTCAGCCCAGCAAATCCCAACCCCAAAGCAATGCCAAAGTGTATTTGTTCCATTTTCATTCTGAGATTGCTGAGAAATGCTAAGGGAAAAGAAAAAAAAGAAATCACATAACTATCCAGAATGTTATCATTACAAATTAAAGGTCTTTGGTTTTGGATGGACCCTAGTACCACTTATTGGTTTTTTTGTTTTGTTTTGTTCTTGGTCAGTTGTTTTTCACATCCTCATGGTCACTACTCCAAATATGGCATACTATCTCAAGCCCCTATTCAGGGAAGTCCATTTCTTTTCTTTTCTCTTCCTCCAAATTTTTTTGTAGAGACAAGGTCTCACTATATGTCGCCCAGGCTGGTCTTAACACCTGAGCTCAAGCGATTGGCCTCCCAAAGTGTTAGGATTACAGGCGTGAGCCACCATGCCCAGCCAGTGAAGTCCATGTCTATTTCTTTTCCATCTACATTAGAACACTGAGGCCATTGGCTGGGTGTGGTGGCTCACGCCTGTAATCCCAGCACTTTGGGAGGCTGAGGTGGGCGGATCATTTGAGGTCAGGAGTTGGAGACCAGCCTGACCAACATGGTGAAACCCCGTCTCTACTGAAAATATAAAAAAATTAGCCAGGCGTGGTGGCGTATGCCTGTAGTCCCAGCTACTCAGGAAGCTGAGGTTGCAGTGAGCTGAGATTGCGCCACTGCACTCCAGCCTAGGTGACAGAGCGAGACTCTGTCTCAAAACAAAAAACAAAAAACAAAACAAACAAAAAAAACCAGGTCATCAGGTATAATCTTTGATTTTTCTGGCCCCTCTTGCCACCTCTTCCTGCTTGCCTCAAAAGTAACTTCATTTATACTCATCATCTTTTTAACTTTTCTTGCAGTCTTATGGGGATCCCTCTTATTTCTTTTCTATCTTCTACTTTTGACTCCTCCCATGCTCATCTTACAAAGTGAGAAGTGACTTTAAAACAGTGATACTACACTCATTGTAGTCTGTCTGTGGGAGGACACATCCTCTCAATACCATGCCTTTCTTCCGTATTATTTAAGACCTGGTGAAGGCACTACCTTTTTGAAGAAACTCTCCGTGGTGATCCCATCTCGATCTTGAGATTGGATTAGACACAGACATGTCATGTCTTTAACATCCTGAACACAGCACTTATCACAAAATATCGTAATTATTTTTGCTGTACCCCCTAAGGCCAGAGTGAATGAATTACTCTGGAGCATAAAACAACTTAAAATTCCTTGAAGAATTTATTTTGCTCTTAAAATATGAGGATGTATTTAACAATAAACTTTAAAATGAATAAAATTATAGACTCCAGAAAAGGCTGATGCCTAGGGTTCTGTGACAAACATGGGAGTATTGGAGAATATTCTAAAGACTCTCATTTGCTTTTTATCAAAGAAGGTATGCTCCTGTTTGTAGCACAAAACAAATATATAACACTAAACTGTAAGTCATAACTAAAATAACTGAATTGGCTATAATTTTCATATTATTTTTACAACTTTTTATTTTAGCCTTTTAAATAAAATTCCTACTTTTTATTAGGTTAAAACTAGTATCATGTGCAGACTAGACTCTCCATGTTCTTGCTGCTTTGAATTTGGCCACTATGTTTGTTAAAAGCCGTGAAATTTTTACTTTTTACTTCATTTAACAACTGAATTTCTATGTCAGCAGACACTGCAGAACCAACTATGCAGATTTATAAAGAAAGATAACTTAGAGATGTCAGTAAGCAGGGAAATCATTCCAAGTTACCTAAGGAGATATCCGACCCCTTGAAGGGCTATGGAAACACTCTTCTCATTAAACCTATATTTGAGCCATGACTAACAGTAACTAACCTAAGGATTCACCTAAATTAGACTTGAAAGAATCAATGAAAAAAAGACACTTTACTTACTGGTGGCAGGAGTGTATTATTAATCAAATAGGGAAGAATTTGGCATGAAAACAAATATAGTTAGCCTTTCATATCCGTAAGGCAACCAAGTATGGATCGAAATATTCGAGAAGAAAAATGGAAGGCTGTGTCTGTACTTAACATATATAGACTATTTTTCTTGCCATTATTCCCAATACAGAATGACAACACAGTTATAACAGTGTAACAGCTCTTTACATAGCATTTCCATTGTATTATAAGTAATCTAGAAATGATTTAAGGTATACAGGAGGATGTGTGTAGGTTATATGCAAATAGCATGCCATTTTATATAAGGGACTTGCTGGAACCAATCCCCCAAGGGATGACTCTAATGTAACAAGGCCAATGATACAAATAACATATATGCAGATTATGGATAGCATACTAAAGGTATAAATACTCAGCTGAGTTTTGAAACTTTTAGTTACAGGTGATTAGATATTCCAAGTAAATTTTGAAAAGCTTTTTGATATATAACGGATATACAATAAATTATAAAGTGCATAAATTGATGAGTTTTGACATGTGTGTACACCTGTGAAGCTGCCACTACAATCAAGATAATCATCCTCAGCCGGGTGCAGTGGCTCACACCTGTAATCCCAGCACTTTGGGAGGGTGAGGTGGGCAGATCACCTGAGGTTGGGAGTTCGAGACCAGCCTGACCAACATGGAGAAACCCCGTCTCTACTAAAAATACAAAAAATTAGCTGGGTGTGATGGCAGGTGCCTGTAATTCAAGCTACTCGGGAGGACTTGGGAGGCTGGGGCAGGAGAATCGCTTGAACCCGGGAGGCAGAGGTTCTGGTAGCTGAGATTGCGCCATTGCACTCCAACCTGGGCAATAAGAACGAACCTCCATCTCAAAAAAAAAAGATAATCATCCTCAAAATTTTCTCCCACTACTTCTCACCTCCCCTACTTCAACCTTCAGAAGCTAATCATCTGCTTTTTGTCATTGTAGATTATTCGGTATTTTCTAGAATTTTCTAAAATAAAATCATACAGCATGTACTTTTTCACTTAGTGTGATAATCTTGGGATTCATTCATGTTATATCCACAGTTCATTCCTTTTTATTGCTAACTAGTATTCCACTGTAGGAATATATTACATTTGTTTATTCATCTGTTGATAGGCATTTGGGTTATTTCTACATTTTGGCTTTGTGTAGAAACATGCTTTCGTTTCTCTTGGATACTCTAAAAATTTAAAAAAACCTTAAAAATATTCTAAGTGTTTCCAGACTTCTGACTACTTTTACTGCCTTTCTCATTATTTTTCTAAATGATGTGGACTAAGGCATCATTTTATGTAAGGCCAACATACCTTAACTTTCAAAACTACATAATCTTAGCATCTTTTTTGACTTCTGGGAAATTATATTGCTATTTACATGAGAGGAGAGAAATGTAGTAAGAAGGGCCAATGGCTTATGGCTAGGTCTTGGTTCCATAAAAGTCCACTAAATAAAGCAGGCAAACTCATGTTTTCTTTTATGAACCACCCTGCAAAGTTTCCTCCAGAACAAACTGGGACCCTTAGTTTTACTTACAGCGTAGATAGCTCTGACTCCAAATGTGTCCCACATTAGCTAAGATTTACAAGCTCAATGGGAAAAGCTACCACATTTTTGTATTATTACAGAAGAAAATGGCTAAAAATACTTGCTTCAGTTAGAAAAAAACTATTTGACCTTTGAAATACAGAACAGAAGCATGATTATGTTTTGGCTAAATTTCCTGTAACTTATTTCCCCAGTTTTGAAAGTCTGTCAAACTATTTATCCTAGTTACCTTTGGGAAAACAGAAGTTTAACAAACTTGTATTTTTAGTCCAGTATTCTAATTTTAGGCATTGTGTTCAGGATAAAATAATCCAAAAACTTCTTAGAGATAGACGTAACTTTCAACATGAAATGTTTCAACTGAAATCAGTTTTGTAGACAATCCAATTATGTCCCAAGGCTTATGGCTCAGGACATAATTGGACTGTCTACAAAAGAGCTATGCCAGATTTACCCAATTATGAAATAATGTTGATATTCACTGAAAATGTGTTTTGATAAAATTACATTATTGAAATATAATTGGCATTTTTTAACACAGGTATAAGACATATACAGGCTTATTTTTAAATGTAATATAATGGAGAATTTATATAAAATATATTTTTGATTAAACATTCGGATTAATTTGACTTCATGCTTACCCATATTAAGATTTTTTTTTAAAGTAGCAAAATGTCTAGATAACCCTGAAACAAATTTTCACTATTTTACATCTAAAATTCTTAGTTTCCTATGGTAACTTCACTTTCACATTTACAATCCTTTGCTAAGAATACAAGGAATTATAAAACTTACTCACGATGGAAACACATGATTTAACTGTTCCTCCCCAGAAGCAGGACACCTTATAGGAGAAAACTCTTTCATTTGTCTAACTTCATGGTCATTCTCCTTCATAATCTGACTAGGTAAAGCATGGAGTAGGATACTTTCCGAAATTTCCATTTCACTTCTGCCTCCTGAAACCTTTGTTATCTGAGTGTGTTCACGCTAGCACGCGCGCTTGTATGGGAGGCAGAGGTTGTTGTTTTTTGGCTAGACTGAACCACAAAGACATATCATATTGTTAAGAAAGGGAGAAAAAGGCTGGCCTGTTTTCTTATATAAATATATGCAATTTCCCTATCCCATGTCTACTAATTCCCTTAAATAGCAACACTATTTTATCTTCCTTACTGAACCCAATGAAACATACTATGTTCGTTGCATATAAAAATATTAACAGGCCAGGCGCAGTGGCTCATGACTGTAATCCCAACACTTTGGGAGGCCAAGGCAGGTGGATCACCTGAGGTCAGGAGTTCGAGACCAGCCTGACCAACATGGTGAAACCCTGTCTCTACTAAATATACAAAAAAAATTAGCTGGGGGTGGTGGTGTGCGCCTCTAATCCCAACTACTTGGGAGGTTGAGGCAGGAGAAGCTCTTGGAACCCACGAGGAGGAGGTTGCAGTGAGCCGAGATCGTGCCATTGCACTCCAGCCTGGGTGATGAGTGAAACTCCATCTTAAATAAATAAAATAACATAAGAATTAATGATTTGGGGAGCTAACTACCTAGTCAGTGTTACTTTCTTAAAGCAATTCTGTCTTTAGTAAATACTGCATTATATAAAAGTGTGTCTTTTTTCGATAATATATGGCACAGGAGCAAGGGGTTTTTGCAGGGAGGGTGGTAATCAATTTGTTTAAGGAAGATTAACTTAGTGAACTGGAAATCCAAATTTAGAAATGGAGAATAACTCTAAAAATATATGTCTTGTAAGTAGTTTGCCTTAGTGATAGCAGTTTATGTCAACAATTCTAAAAATAGAAAAAAATGCCATTTCTTCCAACTGTTTAAGATAGAGGTCTTGCCATACCCTATTTTCCAACACAGCTTTAAACTGTAATAAAACATTTTATTATTTCTAAAGTCATTAAAACACTGAGCCAATGCTTTATGTTTTTTAATGTTTATGCCATTTACCAAAGCAGTTTTAACTTTAGAACAACTTTTTTGATTAAAAAAAGTATACACATGGATTGGGGGACAGTTATGAGAACTAGATGATAATCTTAAACTCTGAAAAATCACATCCAAAACAGGATGGCAGGTTGGTGTTCCCTAGCATTATCCTAGGATTCTACATTCTTTCTGATAGACTTCTGGAATTAGGCCTTTTGTAATCTGTATTACTCAATCATGGTCTCAAAGTTATTATGGCACTGTTCAAATAACAAGGAAGAGGCAAGTTTAATAAAACAAATGAAATAACCAGTTAAAAGTATGTGAGGTGTGAGACTAAATCTTCCCTCTTATATAAAGTTTTCAATGTACCCATTAAAAATAAAATATAATATATTCATTGGAAAACCTTCAAATAAATCTATGATTTATTTAATATCAGAACTTCGAAGAGAAAGATAACGTTAGACAAGTGTTAACAGGATTTTGAAACAGCTAACATGAAAGACAGTTTGAAGGGAAAAAAGCCAAATACTTTACTTTTACTAAATTCAGGAAAAAAATGGTTGTTGGCAATTGTTTTCATATAGCTCTGAACAATGGTATTATTTTGTTCTCATTAACTACAACTGTGAACATCTGAACCTCTTCACTGTTGAGAGGTAATGGTGCAGTATAATATCCTCATCAGCAATACTGTGGGCTTTATTATTCATTAAACCAGGGACTGACCTTGGTGTCTATTCATTACCACCTATAAGGAATGGCAACTACACATTATTCAGTAGTTGCCAAATATTTATACTGTAATTTCTATACAGATTGAAGCAATTACTTGCCCAGAAATGAAAGTAACCCCATATCATACTTTTGACCACCTAAATTGGAATTATACTGGCTACTGAGTTAAGACATCTTTATACAGCAGTGTTGTTTTTATTTCTGGGTAGTTTCAAGAATTCTCTAATTTTCTTTTTTTGAGGCAGAGTCTCACTCTGTCACCCAGGCTGGAGTGTAGTGGCATGATCTCAGCTCACTGAACCGCTGCCTCCCAGACTCAGGCCATCCTCCCACCTCAGCCTCCTGAGTAGCTGGGACTACAGGTGCATGCCACCAAGCCCAGCTAATTTTTCCGTTTTTAGTAGAGATGGACTTTCACCATATTGGCCAGGCAGGTCTCGGACTTCTGACCTCAGGTCATTTGCCTGCCTCGGCCTCTCAAAGTGCTGGGATTACAGGCGTGAGCCACTGTGCCCTGCCTCAAGAATTCTCATAAGGGCACTTGGGAATGAATCTCACCCTAAGCCTTAAAACAGAAATGAAGAATCTTTACTGGTAAGAAAGGGGATAAGCAAGGTTCTCACTATGGGGAAAAGCTTGTGAGCAGAATAACAGCAACAAGGCAGTGGAGTACACTTAGCTAATAATGGAAGAGTTACTGGCTTAACTGGAACCAGTGAGTGAAAAGGCTACTGACCACAGACCATGAGCCAGTTGCAGAGTTTAAACTCGATCTCATAGGTACTAGGGAACCCCAGATATTAAGAACCAAATTCTTTTTCTTTTTTTCAAGACGGAGTTTTGCTCTTTTCGCCAGGCTGGAGTGCAATGCCACGATCTTGGCTCACTGCAACCTCTGCCTCCCAGGTTCAGGCGATTCTCCCTCCTCAGCCTCCTGAGCAGCTGGGATTAAAGGCGCCCGCCCCACCACATCCAGCTAATTTCCGTATTTTTAGTAGAGACGGGTTTCACCATGTTGACCAGGCTGGTCTCAAACTCCTGACTTCAGGTGATCCACCCGCCTTGGCCTCCCAAAGTGCTGGGATTACAAGCGTGAGCCACCGCCCCCAGTCCAAGAACCATATTCTTAAGCACAAGAGAAGGTAGAAGTGTTCGCACCTCAGGGGGGACTATCTTTCCTCAAAGTTCTTCTCTCAAAAGACCTTAAAACAGAAGCTAGAGTGCATTCCTAAACCCACTTGCTCAAAAGGTCTCTCCAATTTACAAGTGAGCACTGATGTGTAACAGAGATATGACTAGAAAATAGCATTAACTGCTCAATCTCACAAAGCAAAGATGTTTACAGTTTCAGAAAGTTTCTTCTGAGAATGGAAATTGCTTTTGAAACATAAAAATCATAAGTAACCAAAATGAAATTAAAATGTTAAGCTCTTTGGCAGGGTGTGGTGGCTCATGCCTGTAATCCCAGAACTTTGGGAGGACGAGGTGGGCAGATCACCTGAGGTTGGGAGTTCAAGACCAGGCTGACCAACATGGAGAAACCCTGTCTCTACCAAAAACACAAAATTAGCCGGGCATGGTGGCGAATGCCTGTAATCCCAGCTACTTGGGAGGCTGAGGCAGAATCATTTGAACCCGGGAGGCAGAGGTTGCGGTGAGCAGAGATCATGCCATTGCACTCCAACCTGGGCGACAAGGGCAAAACTCCGTCTCAAAATAAAAATAAAAATAAAAATAAAAATAAAAATAAAAAGTTAAGCTCTGTAAGGATGAATTTTTCCAAAATCCTGCCAACATAGTATAATAAATTAAGGTGATAATTTCCATATTTAACTAAGAAGATATATAAATGCCTTTAAAGTTTTTTCAAAATTTTACATTTCAATATCACTTGGGCCATGGATCTTGGAATTTTTCATTAACCTCACCCATACTGACGTTAGTGTACACGAGCACAGCACCCTACAACAGCCACATGATATGTTAAATCCTATAGGAAGTACTTAAAGACAGCTTCTGTAGTAATTCATAAGCATTTTGAAGTTTAGTGGCTTTCCACATCCCACAGCATATGAGGTATACGATTAGAAAATGACACTGATCTCACTATTGCTTGCTAACTCAGCTGCATTAATATCTATTACAAAGTATAAGTTAAAAACCCAGTAACTTTACAACAGCGTCTAGTGTTCAGATACTGAGTGATGTCTTTATACCCTCTGTTCTTTGGGGCTGAAAAGTCCTTTCTAGCTTTCTTGATTATTCTGAGAAACACTATTTAAAGCCATCTTCACTTAAGATATGACTCTTCTGGCTGGGCGCGGTGGCTCACGCCTGTAATACCAGTGCTTTGGGAGGCCGAGGCAGGCGAATCATGAGGTCAGGAGGTGGAGACCATCCTGGATAACATGGTGAAACCCCGTCTCTACTAAAAACACAAAAAATTAGCTGGGCGTAGTGGCAGGCACCTGTAATCACAGCCACTCAGGAGGCTGAGGCAGGAGAATTGCTTGAACCTGGGAGGTGGAGGTTGCAGTGAGCTGAGATTGCGCCACTGCACTCCAGCCTGGGTGACAGAGCAAGACTCCATCTCAAAAAAAAAAAGAAGAAAAGACATGACTCTTCTTTGTGATCTATTTCCTGACATCTACCTTAAGGTTATTTAGAAAATAATAGGATGAGAAAAATATACACATGCTTTCTTGATACAAATACCACCAGATTTCTTGATCTATTTCAAATATAACCCTATACTTGAATTTCATACATTTACTGATAACTTTCCACAATTATGCCAGGTAAATATTAAACACTGACAACTAAAGCATATATAACAAACCAATATTTTAATCTCCAGCATATGCAAAGAAGATTTTTAAAAACCTCTTTCAAGTTTTTTGCTCTGGTCTGGGCAAATCTGAGTAATTACCTCTAATCTTCGTATCTTAGAAGCTTTACTACTAATAAGCCTCACCTTTTCTAAAACTTTACTATTTTAAAAAATCTAAGAATTCCTGATAATTTTAATAACAGTAAAGATTTACTTTTCTATTCAAGTATGAAACAAAGATCAAGAAGAATTTGACTTATTTATCAGATTCAGGGTATAAGACCTTGGGAAAAAAGGAAACAATTTCAACATTTTTTTGGCATGGAGGACTTTTTACCTGAATCCAAATCTCCTTTGAGTTAATTTCTGCTCCTATATTAGTTTCTATTTCATTTATCATGAATAAAATTCTTCTTTCAGAAACACTTCAGGCCAGACGTGGTGGCTCACGCCTGTAATCCCAGCAATTTGGGAGGCTGAGGTGGGCGGATCACGAGGTCAGGAGATCGAGACCATCCTGGCTAACACTGTGAAACCCCGTCTCTACTAAAAAATTCAAAAAGAATTAGCTGGGCATGGTGGCGGGCGCCTGTAGTCCCAGCTACTTGGGAGGCTGAGGCAGGAGAATGGTGTGAACCCGGAAGGCGGAGCTTGCAGTGAGCCGAGATCACACCACTGCACTCCAGCCTCGGCAACAGAGCGAAACTCCATCTCAAAAACAAAAACAAAAAACAAAAACAAAAAGACAAAACAAAACAAACACTTCAGAGAAATGGCAAAGAAAAAAATGGCTTCACGTTATAAAGACCCAATGCTATCCTGCACTTCACAGTCAAATGGTATATTAGTGCCCCCTCATCATAAGAATGTCTATGCTCAACTTTGGTGAAGATGGCTTATTATTGAGTTATCCCTTGCTTGGTCTTTTGATTAATGGTGGCATTTATGAGATAGATAAAGAAGAATAGAGATTTTCCCTCTCACAAAATTAACTGGTTTCTATGAAGACTGTATCTGACTTTTATCATCATGGTGCTCCAACGGACAACTTAACAGTATCCAAAATGAGTAGAATTTTGCCAACTCCTACTTCTACAGCAGATTCTAAAACAATGTACTTATTTAGCATAGTGCAGAGTAAGTTACATAGAAGGTGAGGCATTATATGGTTGCTTCTGCCCCAAGAGAAGTAGAATGATCCTCTGGCTCCGAATTTCTTCTAATCTTGTGGACCTCAAACACCTAAAATCTTTTTGGTTTTAAGAACGAGATTCTTCCCACGAGTCAGACAAGTGCCTGTGTTAGAAGAAAAATTGGCCACAATCTTTCCTTCTAAATAAGATGCCTTCACAACCAGGGCTCCCTGGGGTTCATCAGAGAATGCTGATAAAAGCCAACAAGAAAACCTGAAACACTATCCAGGCAGATACTCTCCTGATAATTTTGATATTTTTCCTTTGGAATGTCCACTAGAAAGAATTTTTCTCTTCCTCATAGTATCATGACTCTAAAATTTCCTAAAGTAGCCTATCCAAGTAAATACTGCTTTTGTTACTGTTCAATTTATTAATTCCTTTAAATCATTACACATACTATTTTAAGCTATTCAAATAAAAATTAGGCATACCTAGCTGATAGGATGTACAACTGAGACACAATACATTTAAATATAGAATAAAAAAGACCTCCATGGAATCAAAATAAACAGAAACTCCCTAGGAGGAGCAGGGAGGGAGCAGACTGTGTAGACTTTCTTGGAAGGGCAATGTTAACCTGAGTATCTTGGTAGAAAGATGGCTCAAAGTTATTCTCTGGGCTAATGTCCAATAAGGACAGGACCCTGGAATGTAAGTTTCTCTTTCCTAATTTAATATCTTTTTTTTTTTTTTTCCAGTGCTAAAACATCAGATAAGAGCCTACCTGACATTTTGGAGAATTTGCTGTGCTGGGATTGATATTCCGCATTGCCTAAGAGTAAAAAATAAGACGGATAAAAATTACTTTAAGCCACATGGTCTGGCTGTGTAGGCTGACTTACAAATTGTATCCAGACATATCACCATAGCACAGAATTCCCAAGCTACCCAAGAAGAAGCAGACTGACGAAGACAGGAGCCAATGGAGTCACCACATAACAAAACTGGAACCTCAGAAGTTTTTAACAGCATTGAGGATAGGACAGCAAGACTTTAGGAGTCAGAACTAAAAAATAAAATTTGATATTGGTCACGTAGGTTCTTTGTTTCTGAGTATTAGATAAAGCAGATACAATATATTTGATGTTTCAGTGCTAAGATAAACTGTCAAGGGAAGAAGTTCACAGGAAGCCAAAAGACTTAAGATATACTGAATTTATTGTGATTACTTTAAAAAAATCTAAAAATAGTCTATTAGTATGAGAATAGAGCAGGTCTGTCAACTTCAACATAAGAAAAGACGACACAGTAGGCAGTAAAGATGAAACAAAGAAGTTACCTTTAAAGGAAGTGAAGCTATTCTGTCCAGGACCCATCACCCAGAGTAAGTTTGAGAATAAAGATTTAGGAAAATCTTTGGAAGGAAGAGTTTTACAAATAGCAGCATTTGCCCACCAAAAAACCCCAGGATGATCTATGGCATAAAACAAAATGGCGAATGGCCCCATTTCTAGACTTTACAAATTATCTTAAAAACAGTATGGTTTTGACATTAGTAATTAAAGAACTTTTTTTTTAGTTTCTTGATTTTGACAGTTTTTATTCATAGTGAAATTGAGACCTGTATTTACTTAGAACAACTACTACTCGGCAACAACAAAATGAAAAACAATGAAAATAGGTTACATAAAACATATTTTAAAACTGCTCTTTTTTTTTCTATTAGCCATGTAATTATATTTTTGATGGTTCTAAGGTGTTCTAACAATAGTAGACGAAAAATATTCTTCCTTTATGGTAATTTGTTAGAAAGTCAGAGGTACAATAATGCTTCCTTTCTCCATCCTTTTTTATGTCAGATAAAGAAACATTTCTTTCAAGATCACTTTATAGGGGCCAAAAGGAAAACTTCCCCTCTACCCTCTAAAGGTTCGCTGAAAATGAACTGATAATAGACAAATTAACAGGAGAAAATGGCAAACAAATTTATTTAAGGTGCATAAGCATGGGGGAAATTGCAAGACAATTATTACCCAATAACCAAGTGAGTTCCAGATACTATATAATACCCTTCTTCACAGGGGAAGGGGACATGAGGGAAATGACGCCATTTTGAAGGGCAGTAAATGATTTTTAGGAAGAATGAATGGGCCCAGTACACAGACAATGGTTAGTAAATAATTCTCTTTGGAAACTGAATGGGATCTGAGAACAGACAATAGTCTGGGCAAAGTTCCTCTGAGCTCTCTAGGTGTGATATTTAATTTTTAGTCTTTTCCTCTGTCATACAAGTTTCAGGCTTCTCTGGTTAATGAAATTTTGAGGAGGGGATCAAAGGCAATTGTATTCCTTTTGGTGGGTCTGGTTTCTAGGCAGATAAAGGAACTTCAAGGAACAGCCTCATCCTGTGCTTTGGCATAGAACTTGAGGCTGCTTCCTTAGTTTGTCAAAGAACCATATTTTGGAGTATCATTTTCTGAGCCCCAACAAGTTCCTGACATCGTATGTTGGCACATACTGTCTTACTCCTTCTATCAGGGTTTACCTTTGATGCCAATCACACTAGAATTGTATGGACAGATTACCGACAAAGCACAGTTTCAACGTGAGCCTGTCTCAGATGCCATGGCTTAATTTAACTCCTGAAGTACCAATTCCTCAAACCCCAAATCAGAGTTCAGGTAGTACTGAGTTCACATATTTTCACTGACACTCAAGAGATACTTTTAAAATACAGCCCTAAAAAAAACCCAAAAAACAAAAAACAGACCTTTAGGTGCCTCCTTCCTGGTAACAGAAATGTAGAGCTTTTTTTTTTTTTAAGAGACAGAGTCTCGCCATGTTGCCCAGGCTGGTTTCGAACTCCTGGGCTCAAGCAAACCTCCTGCCTCGGCCTCCCAAAGTGTTGGGATTAGAGGCATGAGCCACCATGCCTGGCCGAGTATGACGATTTTTAAATGTCTATACTTAGCATGCTGTGATTTAGCTAGGGAAAAAATGGCACAGATACATGTATTTTATGTATGTAAACAGAGTATCTCTGGAAAAATTAACAAAAAACAAAAAACCTAAGAAACTCATAGTTATTTAGGCCCCATAGGAGAGAACTAGAAAAACAGGGAAAAGATCTTATTTTGAGTGTACTTTCACCTCTGTACATCTATCACTAGTATACCATTTTTCTATTATCTATTCAAAAAAATTTTATATGGAAATTTAAAAATATCTACGCTACTTAACAAAAGACCTTATCTCCAATATCTGAACTTAGTAGATTTAACCACTCTGAAATAAGATAAAGTAAAAATTAATGTTGAGATTAATTATATATATTAGGAACATAAAAACCAACAGTACCTTCTGGAAGAAAGCTGATGGAATTGGTGATTAAAGGGCTTCAAAGCTCTCTACTATGTCCTACTTTCCCCAAAATAAAAAAACATCCATAAGCAGGTAATTTTAAAGCACACTGGCATCTTCTAAACTTGAAGATAACTTTTTGTTTTTGAGACAGAATCTCACTCTGTCACCCAGGCTTGAGTGCGGTGGCACAATCTTGGCTCACCGAACCTCTGCCTCCGAAGCTCAAGTGATTCTTGTGCCTCAGCCTCCTGAGAAGTTGAGATTACAGGTGTGTGCCACCACGCTTGGCTAATTTTTTTATTTTTAGTAGAGATGGGGTTTCGCTAAGTTGGCCAGGCTTGTCTTGAACTGGCCTCAAGTGATCTGCCCACCCTGGCCTCCCAAAGTGCTGGGATTACAGGCATGAGCCACCGCACCTGGCCAAAGGTAACATTTATTTTGTTTTCAATGAAAATTCTTAGATTCGGTAATACCGAAGTATATTTGTCATTTGAGAAATGTCATATTGGTGTATCCCGCCACGTAAGTTATTAATAAAGGATGTTTTCTCCTGAGTGATGTTCTAGAATTTCCCCTTTAGTGAAATCCTCAGAAAAACAGCAATCCACAATTCCATGTACATTAGAGAAAGCATCCTTGCTTCCTTCAATTTTTGCTCAATTGCAATGACCATGACCAAAACAGCTCTTCATGATACAGGTTTCCAAGTCACATCCCTTGTAACTTGATCAAAGGCCATTCACAGTCACAAAACTAAGACAAGGACAGGGCTGGATAGAATGCTTCTGTGTCACTCAGTTTTACAAAGACAACATTCCTCTGTAACTAATAAATGTTAAAATGAAATCTGCCCAACTTTAAGAAAACAAACCCCCAAAAGTGGAAGGCTGGTTTCTAACCTGTGGCCTCACCTGCCGAAGCAGTTCTTGCTGTTTCAGCCGCAGCCTCTCCTTCTCCATCTGCAGTTGCTGCAGTCGCATCTGTTGCTGCTGGTTGGAGTTGCTGCCACCCATGACGCCTCCCTGTGGGCTCTGGGGAGCCAGGGGTGGTGGCTGTTTCACTGGAGCACTCTGACTGATTCTCTGGTTCATGGCTGAAATGAAAAGAAAAAAAAAATCTGTCCTAAAAAACTAGTGAAGGAAGATAAAATGATGATTTAATTATTCAAAAGCAATTTGGGATATTCGATGTAACTTTTTTGGGCAGGAAGACTGGAAATAACCTAAAAATCCATCAATATCACAATGACTACATTAATTTATTATTACTGTTGTCACAAGATACAAGGAAGTCATAAGAGAAAAGAAACAAGACGTAGTTTTAACATGCAATAAGGAACAGTTTCTAAGGACTTACTAAATTAAAAGCAAGGTGCAGAAGAGAAAGTGTTTAAAAAAAACGGGGTGGGGGAAGGGAGCGGGGGTGAATATATTGCATATTCAGAGGATATAAAAATTGATGAATAGCTAAGAAGCAACTAACATCTTTTGGCTCCAGAGATGGGAAACTGGGTGACTAAAGGACAAAGGTGGAGAACCTTATTTATAACTTCTGAAGTGTGAATGATGCAAATTCATTACTTCTTATGAAATATATAAATTAAAAATTCATCCACAAAAATTAAGACAAAGCATTCCAAACAGCAAAGCCCATCAAAATAATCAGCCCTTAATATATCCACATACACATCCCAATAAAGCAAGTAGATTAAAATGATCTGATGCTTGCTCATATCAAATTGAGTCCACAAGTATCTGGATGACATGGATTTGTCTCATTTGACACCATGGTAACCCCCAGCACAAAGCCTAGGTAGTAAAAAAAAAAAAATTTTTTTTTGAAGCTGTAATACACCATTTGGTGGTTAGAAATGGACTGGGTTTTTATACTAGTGAATTTCTGTCACTGATACAACACTGATCAAACTGTGAATTAACCTCAGTGAGCAGAGGGAAGTTTTATGTGAAAATGTTAGTAAGAATAATAAACCTTTTCAGATACATATTCAACTTAAGTTGAAATTTTGGGTCACTGTTTCTACTAAATGTTTAGTACACATTGACTAAAGAAAACCCCAGGTCCCAATGGCTTTGCAGTCATTCAAGGAAGAAATAATACCAGTCTTACACAGCCTCTTCCAGAGCATAACAAGGAAAGAATACTTTCCAACACTTATAAGGCCAGCATAACCTTGATACCATACAAGGATATTAAAAGAAAGGAAAATTACAGGCCAATCTCTCATATAAACCTTGCTACAAAAATCCTAAATAACATACACTGACAGCTCTTATAACTTAATGGTCTCCCAGTCACACAGCAAACTCCTTGTGATTTTTAATGTGTCCCATTATAACAGACTGGCTGCTTGGTAAATGCCATTTCTTCTTGGAGACTACTTGAGCAAAACCTCACAAGGCTGGGCCCATCCTATACATTAAGAATTTTCTTCTCTCAAGGAATTGCCTGGGAACTTTTCCATATTGTCTACTGACATTTATTGCCTGATTCTAATTTTTTACTTACAAATTTATATGCTCCCTCAGACTGAGTGCCACAGGAGTATGGGTCATATCGTAGTCATCTATGTGTCCTCAATACCTAGCACAGCATCTGGCACAAAGTGTGCGCTGAAAAAATACTGAGCCATTTCTACATAAGTTGAGTAGTTACTCACTGAGGCAGAAACTATTTAAGACAACAGAAGTCCTACTTTTAATTTCTCTTTACATTAGCACACCTTTTTTTTTTTTTTTCCCCTTTTCTGTCTTACTATGTTGCCTAGGCTGGTCTCAAATGCCTGGCTTCAAACAATCCTACTGTCTGTCTCTCAAGCAGCTGAGACTGCAGGCGAGCATCATACCTGGCTCAAGACTGCCCAATTCTTCTATCAGGCTAGCACAGCACCGAGACAGAACCAAGGATATTAAAGAGAGGAATATTACAGACCAACCTCCCTCAGAATAATGCCTTAGTTCAATCCAATCTTCTCAGCTACCTGTTAATAAAAGATGACTGCATTATTAACTTATTTCTATTTTTTCTGTTCTTTTTCCCTCCAGCTTTTCTGTGTTTCATTTTCTAACTTTTGAATTGAACTTAATTCATTTACATCTTTTTTTGGAAGACTTAAGTCAATAAACTTACCCTTAAGTCCTGCTTTACCTGCATCCCACATGTTTTGAAATAGTATAATTCATGACTGTTCTATTCCAAAAAACGTGTAATTTCTATGGTGACTTACATTTAATTCATGAGCTATTTTGGAATATATTTTTATGTTTCCAAACATATATTTTACATTTTGAAGGTAATTTCCATAAACATAGAAAAGTAGAAAAATTAATACAGATAATGAATCCTTGTGTACTCATCACTCGCTTTCTTCCCAATTGTTAATACATGGCCAATCTCTTTTACCTCTATCCTCAACTACTTTTCAGCGCCAATTATTTTCAAGCAAACAATATAGCATTTTACCCATAATTTTAACATGTATTTCTAAAAAGACAGGGCCTTCTTTAAAAAAAGAAAAATATAATTACAATACCATGATTACACTATCAAAATTTACCAATTCCTTAATATTATCAAAAGTCCATCCCATGTCTACATTTCCCTATTATCAAGGGAATTATTGTTATTTTTACAATTGGCTTGTTCAAAACAGAATCCAAACAAGGTCCATACATTGTATTTGATTCATAATCCAAGACTTCTTTAATAACATGGTTCTGTGGTTTCTGGATCATCAGGAGGAAGAGCACCTAGCAGCGTTTTAGAAATGCAAATTCATGGGCCCTAACCCAGGGCTAATGAATGAGAAACTACGGGATGAAGCCAGCAATCTGTGTTTTGACAAGCCCTCCCAGTGACTTTTGATTCATGCCAGCGCTCTGAGGACCACTGTTTTAATACACAGGTTCCCCCTTGGTTTTTTCTTTGTCATTTATTTGTCAAAGAAACTGTGTCATTTGCCTCAAAGAATCTTCTACAACCTGGACTTTGCTCATTGCATCCCCATAGTACTATGCAGCATGCTTTTCCATTTCTTGGTTTGCTGTAAACAAGTTCGAATATAGAGGCCTGATCACAATTTTTGGCAAGAATACTTCATTGGTGGCACTACATGAGGAGAGAAGGCACAAGATGACTGTCTTCATGATAAGGATGAATCAGTGGTGCAGATGTGGTAAACTTATTATATCCATTTTAGGTTATTTTCACCCAATGGTTTTTAGCAACCACTGATTTTTTTAAACCTAAACCCATTATTTCATTAGAGGTTACAAAATGATGGTATCATTCCTTCCCATGTATTATTTGAAGTTCTATAAATAAGAATTTTCCCATATTAAGTATTTGGTTACTCTGAAACATAATTTGTACAGGTAAGATACAGAATAAATGTTTGATTCATTCCCTTTTTGTGTACACTTTCAGGATGATGAGTTGGTCCCAGAGTCCTCCAAAAGGTAGCCAATGAGGGTTTAAAAAAAAAAAAATCGGCCAGGTGCAGTGGCTCACGCCTGTAATCCCAGCACTTGGGGAGGCCGAGACAGGCGGATCACGAGGTCAGAAGATCACGACCATCCGGGCTAACATGGTGAAACCCCATCTCTACTAAAAATACCAAAAAAAAAAAAAAAAATTAGCCAGGTGTGGTGGCGGGTGACTGTAGTACCTACCAGCTACTCAGGAGGCTGAGGCAGGAGAATGGCTTGAACCCAGGAGGCAGACAGAGGTTGCACTGAGCCAAGACCGCGCCACTGCACTCCAGCCTGGGCGAAAGAATGAGACTCCATCTCAAAAAAAAAAAATAATAATAATTCTGATACTCTGCTACCTGGAGCGAAGGGAAAAAAAATCATTATGAAATCACAGATTTGAAAATATGTTTATGATGTGTTTTAATCCAGCACAGTTATTCTGATCAATGTTCAAAGTGTGCCATATTTGACCAGGTCAAGCTGGATCTTTTTGCTATGGCTACAATGGGCTTGTTCTACTTCCTTGTTTGCTTTTAGGCACAAAAAGATGTTCCAAGGTCATCTAGTATATTCCCTGCCCCAAATTTTACTCAGCCTTTTTTGAAGAAGCCCTGATTTCTTTGAGTGGGAAATGGTATTTAGAGACATTACTCTGCGTACTAGGGGGTACCTATTATTATTCTGTTGCTTTTTTGTAACTGTTTCTAGGTGGTACTCTCCTTCAGAAAATGCATATTTCCAATTCAGATTTAGGATGCATGGTTTTTACTTTGATTTTGTAACAACTGTTTTTTCTCATGCTGAAAAACTGGGTTCTAACAACATTAATATGTATTGTCCTCTATACATACGCAATCATCTAAAAATAACATTATGATCACTAAAATGATTCAAGTTTCAGATTTCTTTGCAATTTTATCTCCTTAAGATATTCCATTAAGTACATAAAGTAAAATCACTGTGCTTTAAAGTCACCTGAAATTATTCTTCTATAATTAGCCAACCACCTGAAATACAGGTGTACTTATGACATTCTGTCTTTGAATTTCAGAGATTTGCTTTATTTCCCACCCGCTTCCTCCTACCTCCAATAGGTAACAGGTAAACTGTATCAGTATTTCCTTTATTCTACCCTTAAAAATGTAAGCAAACACATACACATCACACATCCCTTCTTCTTTGATATATGGTAGCATACTATGCATACTTCCTTCCACTTTGCTTTTGCCTTTGTAACAATATATCCTGAGATAACTCTAAAGCAGTATATAGAGATTTTCCCTCATTTTCCTATTGACATAGCTGGTTAATATTCTATTCAACCAATTTCCTATTAGGTTTTCATTATTAGTAAAGAGTACTGTACAGAATATGCTCATACATAATTTTGTATTTCTGCTACTATATCTTTGGGTAGATGTCTATACGGGAGATTGCTTAGTTGAATGTTGAAAGCATAAATAATTTTGCTAGATATCGCCAAATTTACACCACCGCCCCACCCCAGGAGTTGTACTTTGATGTATCCTCACTAGTAATGTAAGAGTGCTTTTTTGCCCCCAAGGACTTGCCAATTTTGGGTTTCTGCCCATCTGAAAGATGAGTAGTATCTCAGTATGATTTTATTTTTGCTATGTCTTATTATACAATCTATACACTAAGGATAAGAAATCTGTGTCTGTGATATAAGTTACCAATAATTTTCCTCAGATTGTCATCTTTTTGCTTGTTTTTCATAAGAACTTATTCTTAGCCAGGCATGGTGGCTCATGCCTGTAATCCCAGCACTTTGGGAGGCCAAGGCAGACGGATCACTAGAGGTCAGAAGTTTGAGACCAGCCTGACCAAAATGGTGAAACCCTATCTCTACTAAAAATATAAAAATTAGCTGGGCGTGGTGGCAGGCACCTGTAATGCCAGCTACTCCAGAGGCTGAGGCACGATAATCACTTGAACACGGGGGGCAGAGGTTGCAGCACGCTGAGATTGCATCATTGCACTCCAGCCTGGGCAAAAAGTGCAAGACTCTTGTCTAAAAAAAAAAAAAAAAAGCTTATTCTTTACTCAAATTTGTCAATCTTTTTAAAAATCTGAATTACATTTCCTCACTTTCAAACTACAGAGAAATTCACCCATTTTAATTAAAAAACTATAGTTCTCATTTACTTGGCAACTCAAATCTGATCCACTGCAATTTTTTCTGTTGTATGGGATGAATGGATCTAATTTTATCTTCTTCCATATGCTAACTGTGTATCTTTCCCCTCATCTTTATCATAGAATAAATTCTGACATTTTGTTATTTCCAGATTTTTTATTTTATTAATCTAACTATTCTTATACTAGTACGGCAGTACTGCCTTTATGTTTATACTATGTAAACGTGTAAGTTATATACATGTATATATGTGTATATAAACATTATTTAGTATGTACAATATGTACAAAAGTACAACTTTAGTAGTATGTTTTAATAGCTGGTAGGGCAAGACATGTTTTTTGAAACTAACTTTTTTATTATAAGTTTAAATTTAGTTGCATTGAGGTTTAAAAAACATAGTCTACATAATATTGATTCTAGACAATTTGTGACTCTGTGACTTGACAGTGGTCAATCCTTGTAAACATTGTCCTAGGCCAGGGCCAGGTCAGCTGCACGCCTGGCTTTTCCCATTGAGCGTGTTTTGTGTGTCCTCTTCCTTATTAATACTTTTATTAACAGTTCTTCTCAGGAGCCAAATGGCCCCTAAAACTGGCAGGCCTCTAGCACTACCCTCAATGCTTCATGTGGTTTTATTTTCTGACCTATAGAGATTTTTAAAAAATTCCTACCCTAGTTGTGTCTTTTTGGTTATCTTGTTTTAATATTTTGTCTGGAAGAAGAGAGAAGGGATGTCAAAACATGACATACTGCTCCAGCTTGTTCAAAGCCTTATTAATCTCATATGGAAAAAAAACATATTTATTAACTCACGAAGACTTATGAAATGGCTTTATAAAAAGTAAATGGCTAAAACTTTCATCCTTATAGGTTATAGTTTATTATTTTATAGGGCAATGGATACGAAAAAAGCCAACAATTTTTGGGACCTAAGATTTGCCAGGCACCAACAACCTCATGTAATAAAATTGCTCTTATCTGTTACCAACAAACATAGTTACATAATTGACAGGTATCATAAAAAACACAGCCTTTAGAGTCAAATGAACTTGGATTAGAGTTGGGCATACTAATTTGGTAATTCACTTAATCCTTGGTTTTCTCATCCGTACCATCAATACTGACATCTCCATTTGAGTTATTATGAGGACTGATTATTCTCTCACACACCTGGAATAGTGGGTGCTCCATAAACCTTAGTCCTCTCTCTTCTGCAGAACTTCTTTCTAAACCTAAAGACTCTGACTCCTACAGACGAATTCCATATTTTGATGATTCCTATACCTCTCTCCTTCTCCTCCACAAACACATAGACATACACATACATTCTCTCTCTCCCTCCTCCTATTTTATCATACCATTTACTGTTTCCAAATATTCCTATGATTTACAAAAATATGCATGTTTCTCTTTCCTACAAGGTCTAAATAGAAAAAAGGTAGTGGAGATTGAGCCAACGATATAAGAGGATCCTTCTCTTTCGGTGAAACATCTTCTCGGTGTTTCAATACAACACTCAACATATTTCCACACAGAAACATTTTATACAGTGTGCTGTGCCAGGTTTGATAGCATGAGTTAAATATGAATTGGGGAACTGATCTGAGATTCATCACATACAATGAACATGTCGTAAATTGAGGCCCAAGGCAAACAACTATTGGGGAAAAGTGTTTTTGGTTCCAAGCAATAAAAAAGCAAAACACCAAAAACCTGCTAGAAAATAGCCCATTAGTAAGCTGAGGAGTGTTGGAATTATAAAACATGATTGATTTCAAAACAGATTCTAGAGCTATATACACTGTTAAATACTTCATCTATTAAGAAACATTTGGATAAGCTTTTGAGCTTTCCCCATTATATTTTCATTATGTAACATAACATTAAGTTATTTATGAAATAACATACATTCTTGGTGAAAAACACTGAATAGCAATAAAATTACACAAAAATAAAGTGGTAAATATCCTTTGCTTCTCACCAGTTTCCCAGAATTAGATACCAAAAGCAGTAATCATTAATGACAATAGCCAATGCTGACAACAAACTGAATTGGTTGGTAAGGTCTTTTTCAAATCTAAGCTTATCTGACTATTCAAAACCACGGAACAGGAAAAATTAGTTAGGATATCAAAAGATGAAGGAAGAACCAGTCCACAGAATTAAACAGAAACTTGCACAAAATTATGTAAGAGAAATACTCTGATGACTATTGTGAGTACTTTTGGCTTTACCTAAATGTTGTTACCTATGGATACAAGCAGCACTACAAGGTTTCCATAGAAAGAACTCACTTAAATGACCAATTCAAACAACCTTGTTTATCTACTGAAGCTGGGATTTATTCCTCTCCAGAAGCATCCTGTTCTTTACCTTCTGAGTATCTTAAGTCTTTCAACAAAGCACAGAGCGGTGCACCCACATGGGGTGCAGCAGAGACCTCACAAGCAGGCAAGAAACAAAACCGGCTTTGTTTCCTGGGGAAAGGGGGCAGGGCAGCAAGAAAAGAAAAGAATAGCATTACCAACTTCTTCCTCTGGCTATCAACTATTGAAATCCCAATGTTTCCAGTTTTAATAAAATTTCCAAAAGGTAAAAACAAAACAAAAACCCCACAAAATGTCAGAATTTTAAAAATTATGCAATATTTTAAAATTTAGAGTCTGTGCTTCTTGCACTACGAAATAGTAACTGTTTCAAGTTTTGCTTAACAAATCAGCCCTGACAGCTTTATGGTAGAAAACCAATGACTGAGCAATTACTGAAAAATAAGGGACTACTTTCTCAAAAATAAAAGAAAGGGGTCATCACCATAGGTTTTTTTTCCCCAAGTTTCATTCTAAACATGTGAATTTCCAAACTTCAGACAATTTTTAGATTGTCTAAAAATTTACATGATTTGTAACCTCAAAACTTGGATTATAACAATGTATTACAGATCTGTTAGTCATAAACTTTGGAATAATAAATTTAATTCTAGTAATCTTACTGGGTATACATTTACAATAATAAACGATTCTTAAGCTATTAAAACATTACATCAAATCTCCCACAACAAAAGCTTTTGTCTAGTATTTTTTCAAATCTCAGACACTGAATATTTCCATATTAGCATAGCTATATTAACTTGTTCAAAACATTTAGAAGAAATATTTGGGTTTTCCTCATACCTACGAGTGTACTCAAAACTACAAAACAGTAGACTTTTTAAAAGAAATTAATGTTCTTCTAAAAACACAAACTAATAGGCCATCTGTGGGTCTTAAAGCAGTAAAAACAAAACACAAAACACTCACTCCTGGCTCTAAGTGTTTACTGCATGACCTAAGGGGACTGAATCATCAATAGAGAGTCGCTATAAAGTGGCATAATAATTTATCTACTTAAACATAAAATGTAGTTTTTCAGTAAAAATTGCTTATTTTAATTCACACTGAAAAGCTATCTTTTACAAAAGAAAAGGAAAAGACGAGTGTCCTAACCTAATGACTGAATACATCTTTTTATGATCAATATACAAAAGGTATTTCTCAATACACTATATACCTAAATGACATCATGCCTAGAAATAATTTTTTCTCTTTACTGGGATAATTCACCCTTGTTACATGTACTGTCTGGTAGTTCTTACAAATTCACAGAATTGTACACCCATTGCCACGATCTAATTTCAGAACATTTTCATCACTTCAAAAAAAAAAAAAAAAAGTCACAAAAACAAAAACAAACAAAAAAGCCCTGTATCCATTAGCAGTTCACTACCTACTGCCCTTCCTCCCAGTCCCTGGCAACCACTAATCTACTTCTGTCTCTATGAATTTTCCCATTCTGGACATTTCTAAAAATGGAATTAAGCAATATATGGCCTTTTGTGCCTGGCTATTCTCATTTATAATGTTTTCCAGATTTATTCATGTTTTAATATGTATCAAGCACTGCATTCCCTTTAATTGCCAAATAATATTCCATTATATGAATATACCACATTTTGTTAGCCCATTCATCAACTAATGGACATTTGGGTTATTTTCACTTTTTGGCTATTTATTATAAAATAATACTGCTGTAAACCTGGGTACAGGTTTTTGTGGAGACATACGTTCCCACAACGTGGAGACATACGTTCCCAATTCTTTAGCCTCTATACCGAGGAATGGAATTGCTCGGTCATATGGGAATGTTATGGTTAATGTTTTGAGGAACTGTCATTCTATTTTCCAAAGTGGTTACATCATTTTTCAATCCCAACAGCAATGTATGAGGATTCCAATTTCTCCACAT
Source organism: Homo sapiens (assembly GCF_000001405.40). Taxonomy (NCBI): domain Eukaryota; kingdom Metazoa; phylum Chordata; class Mammalia; order Primates; family Hominidae; genus Homo; species Homo sapiens. The sequence continues at coordinate 102,196,053 of NC_000011.10, read as the reverse complement.
TCTGGACAACATTTGTTATCTTTTCAAAAAAAACTTTAGCCATCCTAATGGGAGTTAAGTGTTATCTCATTGTGGTTTTGGTTTGCATTTCTCTAATGATCAATATGTGGGGACAGTTCACCTGCTCTAACATCCTACTCTAGGTTTTGTCACAGGCTAAGTAACCTCTCCATCCCACACTCTGCACTTCTTTCCCCACTTCTGGTACCAATTTACTGTATTAGTTTGTTCTTGCGCTGTTAATAAAGACATACCCAAGACTGGGTAATTTATAAAGAAAAGAGGTTTAACAGATTTACAGTTCAGCATGGCTGGGGAGGTCTCAGAAAACTTACAATCATTGCAAAAGGGGAAGCAAACATGTACTCCTTCACATGGCAGCAGGAGAGAGAAGAATCAGTGCTCAGGGAAGGGGGAAGCCCCTTATAAAACCATAAGATCTTGCGAGCACTCACTATCTGAGAACAGGATGGGAGAAATTGCCCCCATGATTCAATTATTCCCACCTGGTCCCTCCCACAACATGTGGGGATAATGGGAGCTACAATTCAAGATGAGATTTGGGTGGGGACACAGCCAAACCTTTTCCCCAGCACCAACTCCCAGCCTCCCCAAACTGGATTAAAGTTTTCACATCTTTAGCTGTTCAAAAATACTGGTAACAAATATCAATACTTTAGTCAATTCAACTTCCCCCTCCTCCAACCATAAAAATTCATTATAATGTTATTTTTCAAACAATACAATCATGAATGGAGCTAAAAGAAAACAAAAAGAAATCCAGCAGAACATTTTCTCCTCATCACCTCATCAAGCAGTTTAGGGCAGGACACAAGGGTTGCTAAATGAGGTGAGGCAGAAAAGGGAGAACGTGTTCTAATTAGCTTTCAGCTCTCTTTGTCCCCAGAGCACAGCTAGATGTTTTTCCCCACTATGAAAATAAACTTTAAGGTCTAGTTAGGAAAGAAAGTTCAGATAATGAGACTGTAGAGAAGCAGCCAGACATGGTGATTTGCACCTGTAATACCAGCTACTTGGGAGGCTGAGGCAGGAGGACTGCTTCAGGACAGGAGTTCAAGACCAGACTGAGCAACACAGAGATACACCGTCTCTAAAAAACTAAAAATTAAAAAAATAAAGGGGCATTATCTTTTAAAATATACTTGTCACTATTAATTCATGTTAGATTAATGAATAAACAGGTCAATTATAACACTTTATTTCTAATTTCATTTATTACTAGTAAAGCTCTTTCACAGAGGATAATTTATAATTTAGAAGTGATGCATACCTCAGAGTTTTTACTGAAAAACACAAAAACTGGTCTGAAATTTGACTGGTGGCTTCCTATGTGCCTTTTTGAAAAACCTCCCTTGACCACCCAGGTGCAAGCAGGTTCCCACCACCCTAGTTCCTTTCACCCCACATTGTTTAGTACCTTTTACCATACTTAATACATTTGTAATGATTTATTTACTTGTTTAGTAGCTTGTTCCTCCCAACCCATGGCTAGCATAGTGCCTGGCATGTAACTGGCACCCAAACTTTTGTTGCATAAATAAATAAATCCTAAAATAGTTTCTCTCCCTAGTTAGGAGGATGCTATTAGTAATGCACAGGAGAATCTCCAAGTTGAAGCAAGTCCAGAATGAGTTCTAAAATGACCTTAGCAACTAGGGTAGCAGAACAAAATGAGTATAAAACAAAACAAAACAGAATCTGAACCACTCTCCTTCTAAATCACACCAATTACTTTCAACAGAAATTTGACCTTTCCAATAATTCTATAATCTCTTTCTTTTTCTTACATCTGAATCTTTGGGTTGGTACAAAAAGTAGCAAGCAACACCAAATGGTTCCTCTTTTCCAGCATATAAGATGTTTGCTGTTAATACAGAGTTAATACAAATATAACTTGAAAAAGTTTCCTTTTAAAAAACTATGTAAAAGGCTTGGCACGGTGGCTCACGCCTGTAATCCCAGCACTTCGGGAGGCCGAGGTGGGCGGATCACGAGTTCAGGAGATCGAGACCATCCTGGCTAACATGGTGAAACCCTGTCTCTACTAAAATACAAAAAATTAGCCGGGCACGGTGGCAGGCACCTGTAGTCCCAGCTACTCGGGAGGCGGAGGTTGCAGTGAGCCAAGATTGCGCCACTGCACTCCAGCCTGGGCGACAGAGCGAGACTCCGTCTCAAAAAAAAAAAAACAAAAATCAAACAAAAAAAAACCCCCAAAAAACTATGTAAGGTCTTTTTAAGTGTGTTTGATAGCGGCTTTAGTAACACGAATAAGGCATTAGTTTAAACTATCATCTAATTGACGTTGCTGGTCTTAAACTTTCATGTTTAAAAAATCCTGTATGAACAATGTACTCATTATGTAAAGAAAGATAAAAATGTTTCTTCACTGTATAATTAACTAATTGCATCAATGAAATACTGATCAAGTAGAAATTACCTATTAGTTTATCCTCCGTAACATATGTCTACTCAGCCTTGGTTAGTACAGGAGAGATTGCTTACCATAACTGATAAACTATTTTGGAACTACCTTACTGGATATTTTCCCTAGCTAACCAAAGTATTTATTTTTAGATAAAAAATAAAACATTTTAAAAAGGAACAGCGAAATTTCACAAAACATAGTTGAGACATACTGGACAGAGGAATACAACTAAAGTTGTTTACTTTTTAGAATATATCCTACTGAATTTAACATAAAATTTTAAAAACTGCAGAGCTCAAGTGTGGAACTAATTTTGAAATCTATTCTATAATCTTATGTATTAAAATATTCATTTAAGCAAATGCTTGCTTTTGAAGGAAAAAGAAAATGTAGTGAGAGCAATAATTACTAACAATCTCTATTGGTATGTCTTAAATCAGGTTTTGCTAAGCACATGGCCTGGAACTAGGCTTCAAATCTGCTTACATTAGACTTTCTGTCATGGCAACTTTATGGGAGTTTTAAATTTTAGAAACAAAGTGTACCAACAAGGCATCATCTTTAAGGCAATAAAGCTGAACTTTGCTAACATGAACATGTTTAAACTCCCATATGCTTCCAAGAGTTTGAGAGTGTGGACAAAGCTTAACTATTCAGCCCAGCACTTCCCACACCCCCCATCAGATTTGTTTGCCTGGACATACTCACCATGTGATAAGGCTTATCTTTAGATTAAAGGCTGGAAGATTTCCCTGTCTCCTCTTCAAAAGTAATTCCACACTGTGACCAGAGGACCAAAGTTAAACTTAAATGGTGCAATAAATAGTTCAAAAGTATCTCTGAAACCTCAATGCACTCAAATCAAAAAGGCTATTGAGAAGTAACCTTAAGCAAGAGTCCAAAGCAGTTACTGAGCATATTGTATTCAGTTAAAGAGTGGAAATATTCTTAAGAGCATCCAGTCTAATCCAGTCACATTTTACAGATGAGTCAAGAGAAGTTAGGTATCTTTCTGATCCAGTTGGTTATATTGTGATAGCAGAACTTGGGTCTCTTGATTTCCAACTGAGAAGGTAAATTTTTCTACATCCCAATTTAATTCAGTTGAATCAAGTACATTGTTGTAACTATCATGTGGAAAAGAGATGCTAGCCTCTACTGCAGATTGAAGAAAGATTTTTGGAGGAGATTGAAAATGACAGGTCAGAGCAATGACATAACTATTTTTCTCACAGGATAATGTACATATGAAACACTATAGAATATAACACTTAAAGAAGCACTAGCAAAATGAAGGACATCCAGAGAAGTGAGTAAATTGATAAAGAACAGAGAACTCTGAACACATGAAAAACCAGAGAAACCACAGTTAGAAGAGAACACTGCTGGGATTAGAGCTGTATTCACACATGTGAAAGGAAGTAAATTTTTGGGTAATCAAGAAATATAAACTTTGTGGTCATTAGAATTTTCCTTAAGTAGAATGGGCTACACTATAATGAAGTAAACTAGTAAAGGGAAAGGTCAAAGCTGAGATCGGTGAGGCAAGAATTGGGTAAATAATTCAACTAGATGCCTTTAAAGTCTGTTCCAATCAGAGATCTTAAATTCTCTTACGTAATTAGAAACTTGGCCAGGCCCTATGGCTCACACCTGTAAACTCAGCACTTTGGGAGGTAGAGGCAGGTAGACTGCTTGAGCCCCAGGGGTTTGAGACCAGCCTGGGCAACACGGCAAAACCCCATGTCTACTAAAAACACAAAAAAATTAGCAGGGTATGGTGGCACATGCCTGTAGTCCCAGCTACAGGCGGGAGGCTTGTATGAGCCCAGGAATTAAGGCTGCAGTGAACTGAGATTGAGCCATGCTGCACTCTAGCCTGGGCGATGAGAGTGAGACCCTCTCTCCAAAAAAGAAAGAAACAATAAAGGAAGAAAAGAAAAAAAGAAAAACTCATTATCTTTGGGTAACTTATTCAAGATGAGTCACAATACAAGATGCAAGTGCATTAACCACTATTTTTCTCCCTCTCAAATTTTCATGTATCAGCATTAGTAGGTATTTCTGAAAGATTAACTGCATTGAATCTAAATTTCTTTTAAATTCTAGGTATCAAAAGATCAAATTCAAATTTCAGTTTTGCCATTTAACTATATAACCTTGGGTATAATTTCCCTGATCTCAGAGGGGCTCAGATTTTAGACCATATTCCCTAACTCTCCCAGCATTTAAAAAAAAAAAAAAAAGTGTTGGTGGTCCGAGGAATCGTAATGGCTGTGTGGTGCTATGGCACTTAGCGGGCCAGGGATGTTGAATGTTCTGCAGTGATCAGAAGAGTAGCATTCTCCCCACTGAAAAAATGATGATTAGAGGACTCATTATGAGGGCCAAATTTTGTGAGTTTTATCAGTTAATAATTTTTTTTTTTTTTGAGATGGAGTCTCGCTCTGTTGCCCAGGCTGGAGTGCAGTGGTGCGATCTTGGGCTCACTGCAACCTCTGCCTCCCAGGTTCAAGCGATTCTCCTGCCTCAGCCTCCTGAGTAGTTGGGACTATAGGTGCGTGCCACCAGCCCAGCTAATTTTTGTATTTTTAGCAGAGATGGGGTGTCACCATGTTGGCCAGGATGGTCTTGATCTCTAACCTCATGATCCATCAGCCTCGGCTTTTGAGATGGAGTTTCGCTCTGTCTCCCAGGCTAGAATGCAGTGCACCATCTTAGCTCACTGCAACCTCTGCCTACCGGGTTCAAGTGATTCTCAGTGCCTCAGCCTCCCAAGCAGCTGGGATTATAGGCGTGTGCCATCACACCTGGCTAATTTTTGCATTTTTAGTAGACGGGGTTTGACCATGTTGGCCAGGCTGGTCTTGAACTCCTTACCTAAAGTGATCTGCCCACCAGGGCCTCCCAAAGTGCTGGGATTACAGGCGTGAGCCACTGCATCCAGCCTGTTACTAATTTTTATTTTTATTCTTAATTTTTTGAGACAGAGTCTCTGTTGCCCAGGCTGGAGTAGAGTGGCATGATATTCACTCACTGCAACCTCTGCCGCCTGGATTCAAGTGATTCTCATGCCTCAGCCTCCTGAGTGACTACAAGCGTGCACCACCACTCCCAGCTATTTTTTTCTATTTTTAGTAGAGATGGGGTTTCACTATGTTGGCCAGGCTGGTCAGGAACTCCTGGCCTCAAGTGATCCATCCACCTTGACCTCCCAAAGTGCTGGGATTACAGGCATGAGCCACCGCACCTGGCCATCTGTTAATAATTTTTAGCTCGCAATAGCTCTTTTTATCTAAAACACACATCTTTTCCTCTGTACGCTAAGTAATTAATGTAGTCCATAACCAAATACTGACAGCCCAGGATAACCAGGAAAGACTTGAGTTGATAAGGGGAAAAAAAGCCTCAAACCTCAAAACAAAACAAAACAGAACAAAAAAAACCTCACTTTTAGCATACAGCTATCAAGAGACTTGCTTTGATAAAATTTAAATAATTAGATGCTGACATTCTCTTTGCTCAAGACTCCATTAATAAAGTTACCAATTTGGTTTCTAGAGACTTCAGTGGTTTTCCCCCAACACTAATAGGATGGATTCTTAGTTATTTAGTTGGTTGTTAGGTGCATTTTCATCAAAAGGAAAATATTATTTTTAACAACAGAAATATTTGGCTTAAAAAAGAAAAAATGTTAATGAATGTCTCAAAATTTTTATAGATATTTAATTATTAATGCCAAATATTTAACTCTGATGAAAAAGAAGTCTCAACAACCTTCGGCTTTAGTCTTATTTTAATAAATTGCATATAGGTATTTGTATTTTACTTATCCTTTTATTTCTTATTTCAAGACATTATAGTAACACATACACACGTGTATGTAAATGCACAGAAAGCAAGTTTTGGGAAACTGAAACAAAGGAACCAAAATCAACCTATGAGGTTTAATACCTCTGACATTTCTACACATAGAATTTCTGTGCACAGAACTGTAGTTAGGAATTAAATATTCTGTTTTTGTCACTCTGGACTGTTCATTACTTGCTTTAAAATTCAGAAGTATAATTTTTTCCCCAAATCTCTTGCTCCAATATTTTGTTTACACCAAATATTTTTATCCCAGTGGTGCCATCAGCACTTATTTCCTAAAACACAGATTGGTAACAATATTTTAATACATCTTTTTATAATATAAACAATAGCGAAAATAACATTAAAGATCAGTTTATCAACTATTAGTGTTTTAAAGATCTTTTTTCATTCTGAACAGCAATTATAATTTCATTGTGTTTTCATTAGGCCTTTTACTGGAAAATGTCCATGACTGTATTATATACAGTAATAGATCTACAACATACAAGGTGATGTTTAAACCTGAGACTCATGTTTGCCAGTACAAAATCTCCAGGGAAAAAAAATCACCTCCTATGTGTTTATATGAAATAATTTAATGGCTTGCATAATACTCAAGGAACCATTTTCTTGAACAAAGAGTAAAAACACTCCTAATATGACTCCTTAAAAAAACAAACAAAAAAAGCCCTATTTTTCTTAAAACTCAATAAACATCAGGGCATCCTTATTGCCATCTGATGTCACTTCATGATTTGTTATAAATTACTAATGAATTCTCTAAAATTAAAATATTAAAGAAATAGCTTTTAAATGTTAAAGAAAAAAATCATTAAAAAACCCAATCCACAACAAATTACTCTTTTATTCCCTAAAATTACATAAATAACATTAATTTCATGTGAGATGTGAAGGATTGATACTATAAATATAGTCATGTGTCACTTAATAACCAGGATATGCTTTGTGAAATGGATCATTGGCAATTCTGTCACTGTGCAAACATCTTAGAGAGTACTTACACAAACCTAGATGGTATAGCCTACTACATGCCTAGGCTGTAAGGTATAGCCTATCGCCCCAAGCTACAGAACTGTACAGCCTGTTAGTGTGCTGAACACTGTAGGCAACTGTAGCACAACGGGTAGTATTTGTGTATCTAAACATAGAAAAGTTACAGTAAAAACACAGTATTAGAATCATATAGGACCACGACTGTATATGTGGTCTGCCGCTGACTGAAACGTTATTATGCAGCAAATGAAGTGTAATTACTAAATATGTTTAATCTTAAAGCAAATGGCTATATTCTAACTATAATTAATCTGAAAGCATCTGATAAATAAACATATAAAAGGGGTTGTTTGAAGGAGCTAAAATTAAGCTTCTCTAGGGGCTTAGCTCCCATTCTAAGACACTGAAAGACACACATCTACTTGACTTAAGCCAAAAATTGATAAATATTTTAATATAGATTTGAAGAATATCGAAAAGCAAACTCCACAATCATGAAAGCAATATCCTACACCATTTGTTTGTGTTTGTATGGCCCAAAGGGTCAGAAACAAGGGGATAGTTTATATTTCTTTGGCAGAGATAAAACATAATCCACTATGCAGAACTTCTGATTTCAAGGAAAACTTCAAATCCAGCAGCTAACAGCTTGTCTCTATTTGCTGTCACTCTAGATCAGAGAAACCCACACGTTTTTTTCTTTCCTGCCCCCCTTCAGTTACACTTGAGCTCTCTGAGTGAAAAGGTCTGGAACAGATTAAAAGTCGGGCCACAAAATAAAAAGCTCTGGCATATTGTCAAGCCTGTCTGGAATACACACACGGTGGGCCCAAAAAGGGAAACTAAATGCAATAAGAGAATTTTATGAAACTTTTTCTGGGCACATCTAACTGTATGCCTGTGTGTACATAACGTGCTGGAGGGTGGTAGTGTTTTTTTAAAGTACCTCCTCCTCTTAAAACAAAAGACCAAGCTGTGTGTGTAATCAATAGTCTACTTAAGCTTACAGAAAAGTTGTTTTATTTCACTGTTTTAAAGGAAAAAATTTTTTTCTTTAAAAAGCTTTGTTCTTCCTGATCTCTGCAGTTGGTAAAGCGTTCGTCATCATCTTTCATAACCTTATGTCAGGGAAAAAAATTCCGCAACACCATTCTTCAGAATTTCCAAAATGTGGAGAAACTGAATTCATTCATTTCATTAGAGATAATTTAAGGAAACATGGCTGTTATTGTTCCAGTCCAAACAATTGGCCGCATTTATTAAATTCTCTATCTTACTTGGTTTCCTGTTCCAATCACAAGGGCTAATTCAAATAGTAAACAGAATCTGAAGTTGCAAATTATTAACATACCTCATTACTTTTTTTAACACCCAAACAGGTCTTGAAGCTTAAAAGGACAGTATTTAAGCCAAACCGGTTATCTGTCAAAATGACATCACTGCCCTGATCCTGCCATTGACTTAACTTGAACAGGGGGTTCAGTCAGTTTGGGGCAAACTTGAATTTATTTTTTTAAAGGTATATATAAGACACAAAATAACTGCTCATAATATTCCCGATGGAGAAGTTATTTTATCCAACCAGCTCCAGATACAGTTTTTTCTTTTTTCCCCCCGCAGGGTTGTGTTTTCATGGCATTCACAGAGTTAATTCCTCTTTCCCGTGAGGGCCCCGCAGTTGTTGTTAGGTCAAACCCTGTAAAGCTTCAAAGGTTCCGAGTCCCCTCAGTCTGACCTATTCAGTGATCTGCACATTGTTTTCATTTAGCTGCATCTAGTCCAAGATGAAGCTTCAAAACCACAATTATCTGCTCTTTTTTAGATGCATATTCCATGGCCTTGGAAAAATATCTCAGAAACCCAAATGAAAAACTGAAAACAGTTTAAAACACACACACACACACACACACACACACACACATTTTTTAAAAAGCACTGAAGAACTGGTTACACCCTTATCAAAATGTACACATTTGGAAGGGGAGGGGTTCCTTTGTGCAAATGTGATTTATTCATGAGATCTGGAGGGGAATATGGCTTTCTTTGTTTTCTGAATGAAGAAAAAAAAACATTTATTTTTCGAGAGAGACAGAAGAGGGGGCAAAATGCTTTCACTGGGCCATTTCTGGGGTGACATGTTCCTCCTTAGGATGGGAAACACTACAACACCCAGGCATAAGATGGTACTCATCACTCTCAGAACCTAAGCACAAGCAGACATCAGGTCACTGACAAAAGCTGGTACTCCTGGTCTGAGGTGTTGCATGACAGCCTGATTATTATTGCAGCTAAAAAAAAAAAACATTTTAAAAACAATCACTGTGTTTCTCCCAAAATGTGAAAGGAACAAGTGATTCTGGTTAGTCGGCCATTATGACATTCCCCCACCCCAACCTGAGGAGCCCTAAAAATCTGATTCAGATCTAAATTTCTCAAGTTTACAATGAGAAGGATAAAAACACTACTGGTAAACATTGGGTGGGCAGGGTCATTTTTTAATACTATAAAGCAATGCGATTTTATTTAAATGTGCTTTCCGAAGTATATTTACAAAAAAAATTAGCAACCAAAAGCATCTAAAAAGGTTTTGAGATGAACCTTTACCAAAACGAGGGTCAAGCCTTGGGTCTAGCCAAGAGGTGGTCTTGTTCTTATGGTTTATATAGTAAATTTCTCCATCCTGAGTCATGGCTTGTTCCCATCCATCAGGAAGAGGACCTATAATACAGAAAAAAAAAAAAAAATCATGGTTTTTATTTGGTGCACCTAAAAAAAAGTGGGAGGGGGTACTAATTTAAAAAGAAAACACATCTTAACATAAAACAATTCATTGAAACATATTTAAGGCTGTGTTCAGAGAAGAAAGGTAAACCTATATACCTGCTTCTTCTCCACTAAAAAGAAACCACCAAATAATAAAATGAATATTCCTCAACACAGAGATGAAGAAAAAAAATTTTTTTCCAAAAAATCCTTTTGGAAGTCATGGCCCAAATAATTACTATTACTGTTAACATAAGACACGGAAGAGCTTGCAGCTCAGAAACTACCACCCAATCCAATCAGTTTTGTGACAATACCTTCCTAGGAACACCAAGGTTCATTAATAAGAAATACATGCAAGTATTTTTAGAACGTTGAAAATATCATAAACATTCTATTTAATATAAAGCACATTTTAGCTAAGACAGCCAAGCTCTATTTATTTCCATGTTTTATGTGAGTGGCTCACACCAAGAAAACTGTAAGACAGAAAGCTACAGTCCAAACAAAGCTTATTTTTCAGCAGACCAGAAATTGCTAATGGGTTGGGGTTGCAATTTGAAGTTTAAGCTTGTTGGAGGCTTGGGAGGAGGCAAGATAAGTGCTAAAGTTGTTGGAAGGCAAACTTTAAGGAACATCATTTGAGAGATAGGACTAAAGAATACAGTTAACTCTAAAAGGATTTTCCTATCTTTATAGGAATAGAGAAGTCAAGACAATTGCTCTTGGGAGGTAACAGCAATGAAAAGAGAGGCCCAGAATAAATAACTAAAGTATTCAAACATAATTCTTCCTGATTTCCTTGTCCCTCCCAACTCCCCCAGTTCCCATTTCCAACAGGAATCAAAAGAGGCAGGGCAGGAGATACAAACTGGGATGGTCAGTACATGGCTAAAATCTTTTCTTCTGTGGACTAACATGAATTGAACACTTATCTTGTGCTAGTCATTGTTCTTATATATTATGTACATTAATTCATTTAATTCTTACAGTAAACAAATGACATAAGCAGTAGTACTACTTATTCTAATGAGGAAACTGAGGCACAAAGTGCCAGGTTGATCAGTCTGGTACAAGATCCCAAAGCTAGTTAGTACCAGGAATGGTACTCAAAGCCAGGCAGCGTGATTCCTAACCCACTGACTGCTCTTCACAACTATACTTCTTTTCACTCATCTCCCACAGATGACCAGAGCCTAAGTATCCCTCCTATGCACAAATAGAACAATTCCCTTCTTCCTGTATTGGCAGTCCACACCAGTCTCATGGGTGATGCTGAATAAGTAACTTTGGTTAAACTGACCACTCACACAAGGCCCATGGGACCCAAAGTCCTATTTTTAGGCCAGTTTCATTCGTATTAGGAACAGATCAATTTGCAGCTGCATTTTCAAAGGTCTACTTTGATGGGGTAAAATCCTGTTAGGAAATGCAGACGTGTGGAATTAGTTTTCTCCATGCCTAGAATCCTTAGGAAGGCTCCCCTTCAGTCCTGGATGTGTAGTACACACTACTAACCAAGTCCAGAGGTAGAATTTGTTGTACACATCCCAAGTTTACCAGAGGCTGAATGAGAAGCAAACCTGTTTATCACATGTATATCAAACCTTTTCTCACCAGCTTTCACTGTCATTTTGGGCTCTATTTCCTCCCCAGAAAGACAGAACTCCAAAACTGAATATTAATGGTTTGCTACTATCTTTAACTGTAAAATGGCTGAATTATAAAAAGCTTTTGCAAAACAACTAACTGTATTTAAAATTTTTAGGCACTGAAAATACCATGTGACTATACATGGTGATGAACAAGTCAATAGCAATCACTGAATGCCTTTGGGAGCCTCAACTCAACAACCCCAAGATCTCATTGTAGCTTTCTTTTTTTTTTTTTTTTTTTGAGACGGAGTCTCGCTCTGTCGCCCAGGCTGGAGTGCAGTGGCGGGATCTCGGCTCACTGCAAGCTCCGCCTCCCGGGTTCACGCCATTCTCCTGCCTCCGCCTCCCAAGTAGCTGGGACTACAGGCGCCCGCCACTACGCCCGGCTAATTTTTTTGTATTTTTAGTAGAGACGGGGTTTCACCATTTTAGCCGGGATGGTCTCGATCTCCTGACCTCGTGATCCGCCCGCCTCGGCCTCCCAAAGTGCTGGGATTACAGGCGTGAGCCACCGCGCCCGGCCCTCATTGTAGCTTTCAAGCCTGCTTGAATATATGGGTTTCATATATGTGGTTTAAACACACACACACACACACACACACACACACACACACAGAAACAGCATTATTCCCCACCTTAGCTGTCTGAATGAGAGCCACAAGAGATACCTAGGATACAAACCAACCTTCCCTACCTGCTCCACTCACTTCATTTTGTAAATTCCACTTATATTCTCTCCGATGGGTCTGCCACAGTCCATCTCAGAGAACTCAGCCATCAATACTTACCAGCTCTCTTTTTTGACCACTTCCTCAGTAACTGGCTTGTCATCTCTTCTCACTCCAAGGTCCTCTATCAGTCACCAGGGGTTTCTCTTCTTAAAATATTTTCGATTCATCTTTTAAACATGTCATTCATTCTTACTAAAGAACATTCCTATTGCTCTCCATCAAGAGGAAAATGCCTAAATTCTTTACTAGCTGGATTCATTTCTGAAGTCTTCTTCAGATACCCAGTTTTCCCACCAACTTTCCATAAAATCATGCCATCTCCTTGTATATGCCGTTCCCATTATCACAAATACTCTGCATCCCCTACCTCCTAAACTCTTAGTCATCCTGCAAGAGACAGCTCAGATGTCACTTCTTTAATTCAGCCTTTCCATACTACCTCAGACAGAAATTAGTTTCCTCTTCCATTCTCCATGCACATTTAACAGGTAGAATTGTAATTACTTGATTACATATCTGTTCTCCTGGCAATGATCAAGTCATTCTTCTTTACAAGCTTGTAGGCTAATACCTGAATAGCTGCTCAATAAATGTTTGATGGAAGAATCAATGTCTTGCCTTTTAAGTAATACTTTGAACTTTCTGTAAGCTTAAAATCATGTAGAACCTATATTATTTGCAATTAACATTTATACCAACACATATATACCAAATACAAAATAATACTTTATATTCATTTTATCTTTCATTTAATACTCTCTGGGTAAAATATAATGTTATATGGAAAGAGATGGCCCAAAATAGGATACTTTCTTTGTACTGAAAGAAAGCTGCGCACCAAAGGCAAGGAATAGATTAGAAAAGATCACCTTTAAATAACTTTTCACCACACTATCTTTGTCATAGAATTAAGATAGAGAAAACTGAAAAGAAACAATTCTTCCAGTGTTAATGGAACAATACAGATAAAGGCTTTATTCACAAAAAAAGAATTTTTAGTCCAGTGGTCCTTAGAAGAAATTCAGTGACTTGATTCTCAATGCAGGATTCCAAGTCATTCTCTTAAACTAACTGTTGAATAACCATGAAAAGGAGAGAAAGCAAAAAGTGATATGTTTTCTGAAAGTGAAACAAATTACACTTAGTGAAAATGTGTTTCAATCATCTGTTTGGGCTAGGGTTAGGATGCAGGAAGGTTAAGTCCAAGGGGGGAAATGTAGGATTACCACAAAAATAAATGTAAGAGGAGACCACAGTGGCTCGATCAAAATCAATTTAGGATGCCTTTATGTTCAATTTATATTCTGATTATAATGTGCTATAAATATTCATCAGAATCACCTGGAAGGTTTGTTAAAACACATGTTGCTGAGCCTTACCCCTATACTTTTTGATTCAGCAGGCCTGAAAATTCCCAGGTGGTGCTGATGCCGGTCTAAGGAACCACTGATTTAAAACAACCACTTAGGGCCAGGCATGGTGGCTCACGCCTGTAATCCCAGCACTTTGGGAGGCTGAGGCAGGGGATCACGAGGTCAGGAGTTTGAGGCCAGCCTGACTAACATGGTGAAACCCCGTCTCTACTAAAAATACAAAAAATTAGCCGGGTGTGGTGGTGAGGGCCTGTAATCCCAGCTACTCAGGAGACTGAGGCAGGAGAATCACTTGAATCTGGGAGGTGGAGGTTGCAGTGAGCCAGATCACGCCACTGCACTCCAGCCTGGGCAACAGGGTGAGACTCCGTCTCAAAAAACAACAACAAAAACAAACAAAACACAACCACTTAGAATTCTTCAGCTAGTACAGAAGTATTTCTCAAATTTATCTGAGTTATACACAACCACATCTATTCATTTTAGGCAGTTTGGAGATCAATCTATGCAGGTCTGGGAATAGTACACAGTCACGTCTGCTAGGATTAGGCAAATCTACCATGACAAAACAGGCACCACAAGGGCAGTACGTTTTTTTTTAAATTTTATTTATTTATTTTGAGAGAGTCTTTCTCCGTCTCCAAAATTCATTTCACATTTGTCCTTAATGACCAGATAGAAATAAGGAGTAGGTGGCAGGAAGTAAAAAGAATGGATGTGACCCATAGGAGTTATTATTTTATTTTATTTATTTATTTATTTATTTTTGAGACGGAGTCTCGCTCTGCCACCCAGGCTGGAGTGCAGTGGCGCAATCTCGGCTCACTGCAAGCTCCGCCTCCCGGGTTCACGCCATTCTCCTGCCTCAGCCTCCCAAGTAGCTGGGACTACAGGGGCCCACCACCACGCTCGGCTAATTTTTTTGTATTTTTAGTAGAGACGGGGTTTCACCGTGTTAGCCAGGATTGTCGCGATCTCCTGACCTCGTGATCCGCCCACCTCAACCTCCCAAAGTGCTGGGATTACAGGCGTGAGCCACCGAGCCTGGCCTATTATTTTATTTTTTTGAGGCAGGGTCTCATTCTGTCACCCAGGATGGAGTGCAGTGGTGCAATCCCGGCTCACTGCAGCCTTGGACTCCTGGGCTCAAGTGACCTCCTGCCTCAGCTTCCTGGGGAGCTAGGACTACAGGTGCACACCACCACGCTCAGCTATTTTTTAAATTTTTCTGTAGAGATGGGGTCTCATTATGTTGCCCAGGCTGGTCTCGAAATCCTGAGCTCAAGAGATCCTCCCACCTCGACCTCCCAAAGTGGTGGGATTACAGGTGCGAGCTACCATGCCCGACCGAGAATTACTACTGGCCATTTAGCTTCGAAACATTTTTAGTTGAGAACTTTTCACTTCCTCAATACAGATGAAGAGTTCTTTCTCTGTGCTAGTAAAAAAATTTCTTTATATCTATGTCATAGCATTTATCATTCAGTATTATTATTTTTGTTTTGATCTTCTTTTTTTTTTTTTTTTTTTTTGAGATGGAGTCTTGCTCAGTCGCCCAGGCTGGAGTGCAGTGGCATGATCTCGGCTCACTGCAAGCTCCACCTCCCAGGTTCATGCCATTCTCCTGCCTCAGCATCCCAAGTAGCTGGGACTACAGGCGCCCGCCACCATGCCTGGCTAATTTTTTGTACTTTTAGTAGAGACGGGGTTTCACTGTGTTAGCCAGGATGGTCTCGATCTCCTGACCTTGTGATCCACCTGCCTCGGCCTCCCAAAGTGCTGGGATTACAGGCGTGAGCCACCACGCCTGGCTCATTCAGTATTATTTCATTATGCATGTTTTCTTCCTGGCTAGACTGTGAAATTCCTGAACACAGGAGTATATATTTTGCATTTTCCATTTTTGTCCAGTATAGGATCTACTAATTAGAAATAGATTAGGAGGCCAAGGAGGGAGGATCATGAGGTCAGGAGTTCGAGACCAGCCTGGCCAACATGGTGACATGGTGAAACCCCATCTCTACTAAAACTACAAAATTAGCCGGGTGTGGTGGCGCACACCTGTAGTCCCAGCTACTTGGGAGGCTGAGGCAGGAGAATCTCTCGTACCCGGGAGTTGGAGGTTGCAGTGAGCCAAGATTGTGCCATTGCACTCCAGCCTGGACGACGGATGCGAGACTCCATCTCAAAAAAAAAAAAAAAAAAAATAGAATAAATGTTGGCTGAAATGAATGTAATTAAAATCCTTTGTTTATGCTTGTAAAACAAAATATTGTTTCATTCTTTCTATGTAAGCTCAATTTCTGCATTATTTTTATGTATCATTTAAACTGAAGGGACAGGGATATAGCAAATACTTTTACTCAACAAGTATTTATTGAGTTCCTACTATATTCAGGCCCTGGAGATGGAGCAATAAACAACATAGTCCCTATCTGATGGAATTTATGTTCCAGATAGAAGACAGTACAATGTTGGCTAATGATACGTGCAGCAAAAATAAAGCAGCATGCATGAAAGAAAGAAAAATGAAAAATGGGAAAGAAAAAGAAAAATGGGAAACAGTTTTTTAGAAAAGCAGATCAAGGGCAGGAAGTGACCTGTAAGCTCTGACCTAAATGCACTCCTAGCCAAACATGTGACATTCCGGGCATGGGCATTCCAGGCAGGGGCAAGCATGAAGAGGCTGCTACCTGTGGATGGGGCAGAATAAGCAGTTCGCTTCGTTTTTATGGTTAAGAATCTACCAGAAAAACTTTAATTATTTCAACCAGTAAATACTTAAAGGGGATTACCATTATTAAACAGTAATTCCAATCCCCCAAACTCATGACAACCTCTAGATTGGTGAGAATGGATAATACACATTTTCACCCCAAATAACTTTTACACACTCGAAAGCTGGGCCCTTAGACGTGAAAAAGATGTGGAAGCTTTTCAAGGCTGGGCTATCATGCCTGACCACCAATACCAAAGTCTTCTTTCGAAGAAAAGATTAAAAGTAGGCCCTATAGCAAAAAGGAAGAGAGAAACAGGCCAGCATTTTAATGAGACGTAAAGAGGGTGACATGGTTTGGATGTTTGTCCCCTCCAAATTTCATAGTGAAATGGGATTCCCAAAGTTGGAGGTGGGGCCTGGTGGGGGGTGACTGGGTCACGGGGTGGGGGGTGGGGTACCTCATGAATGGCTTCGCACCATCCCCTTGGTCATAAGTGAGTTCTCATTCAGTTCACCTGAGATCTGGTTGTTTAAAAGCCTGGGACTTCTCCCACTCACTTTCTTGCACCATGTATCACACTGGTTCCCACTTGCCTTTTGCTAGGATTGTAAGCTTCCTGAGGTCCTCACCAGAAGCAGACGCTGGCACCATGCTTCCTGTACAGCCTGCAGAACTGTGAGCCAAATTAAACCTTTCTTTATAAATTACTCAGTTTCAGTTATTCCTTTATAGCAACACAAAATTAGATTGACAGAGGGTGAGAAATTTGATTCAGGATAAGCAAAAAGAGAGTAGTAGGCAATATATAAAATAATGCATAAATTAGAACTACTTAAACTTGAGGGAAGCGAGTTTTTATGTAAGATTTACTACTAGTATTACTTGATTGACAACTTAGCTACTATAGCAAAAACCAACTCCCTGTGATATTTTAAAAAGAAATACTCCATGTCATAACACTGAAGGTGACTCACCATTAACTTCCTGCTCTTGCCTAAGGACCCTCTTGCATTAGTAATGACTAACTAAAACCATTTGCCATGTCTATTCAAACAGGAAAATCCTGATTAACTACACCACGAGTTAGAGGACCAACCTCCCCTTGTCACCTGCCCCACAATTTGGGAATAAAGAAGTCACCTAGGACACTGAAGTTTACTAAACACACCCTGATGAGTCCTACAAAGTACAGGATTATCAAGTAGTTTCCTTAGAAAGTAACAAGAGTAGCTGGAAAAGTACATTCAATGACCTTTTAAAGGAACATTCTGCCTGCTGCTTGTTTTGAAATTCTGGTCTCGTGTATTTATGATGATTCACAAACTGTTCTTACTATGTACACGGCACTTTTCCTAAGTTCTTTGCAAGCAAATGTTAAGTCACTTAACAACCCTACGATGGAGGTACTATTATTATACCCACTTTACAGATGAGGAATCTAAGGCAAAGAAAAGTTAGCTTGTCCAGGATCATTCAGCCCAACCTAGTAAGTGGCAGAGTGAGATTCAAACCTTGACAGTTGAGCTCTCCAGAAATCATGCTCTTGAATACTACACCACAATTATGACAAACAGTAATCATATTTTTTTAATCCTCTTTTCTTGGAACTTTCATGAAATCCCATGGCTTGCCATATTCACATAAATGACTCCCATATCTTTAATGCCTCTCACAGGGTCAATACTAGTCTTTCTCCTCCAACTGGACATTTGACACTTCACAAGATATGTTCCCATATTTTGAGTGGGGTTTCTTCAAAATGCCATTTCCATTTGTCCCTCAAAACTTTCACATAAACTTTTTTTTTTTTTTTTTTTTGAGACCGAGTCTCACTCTGTCGCCAGGCTAGAGTGCCATGGCGCAATCTTGGTTCACTGCAACCTCCACCTGCTGGGTTCAAGCGATTCTCCTGCCTCAGCCTCCTGAGTAGCTGGGATTACAGGCCCTCACCACCACGCCCAGCTAATTTTTGTATTTAGTAAAGATGGGGTTTCACTGTGTTGGCCAGGCTGGTCTCGATCTTTTGACCTTGAAACTTTCACATAAACTTTCACATTTCCATGACAAAGTTTTAGCAGTAACTTCCAAATTGGTCTTATTCAACTCCAACATTAAACTTTGTATGTACCACAGCCACATGATCATCTTACCTCACCTCCTCTAAGGAGGAAGTCCTCTGACTCAAGGCTCAGCTCCCTAAAGGAAAATTCTCAAATTTTTAGTGGGTTATCCTCTATAGTCAGGCATTATATAGCACTGCTTCGGTACTGAAAGCATCCAACATGCCAGGCTCTATCTATTCCTCCACATCATTTCACATCCCTCCTCATTCAATCTTCTCTCAGTTCCTCAAACATCTCCTCTCCCAGCTCCAGGACCTTCACAACTGCAGTTGCTCCCTGCAGGAACTCTTCTCTCTACCTTCTTTGCTTAGCTAACTCCCTCTCATCCCTTCCCACTCTGAATGTCACTTCTTCCTAATAACTTGTCTACATATAGTTTCTTCTCCTACTTCATCAGCTGCTTTCTCTCTGGTAAGATGATTCTATCACTTTAGTAATTCATTCAGTCCTCCCAGCCGCATGGCTTGTTCACTCCTGTCTTTCCAGTACCCAGAAGTGTCATGCACTTTCCACCTCCCTACATTCTCAGTATGTCCACCCCAAAGCCTGTGTCCTCCCAGCCTCCATTGTTTTCAACCCACTGAAATTCTACTCTTTTTTTTTTTTTTTTTTTTTTTTTTTTTTTGAGACGGAGTCTTACTCTGTTGCCCAGCCTGGAGTGCAATGGTGTGATCTCAGCTCACTGCAACCTCCGCCTCCTGGGTTCAAGTGATTCTCCTGCCTCAGCCTCCTGAGTAGCTGGGATTACAGGGGTGCACCACCACACCCGGCTAACTTTTGTTATTTTTAGTAGAGATGAGGTTTCACCATGTTGGCCAGGCTGGTCTCAAACTCCTGACCTCAAGATCCACCCACATTGCCTCCCAAAGTGCTGGGATTACAGGCGTGAGCCACCGTGCCTGACCCAATTCTACTCTATTCTTATGCCATATCTTTGTGAAGCTTTTCTCCAATCTGTCCCACTAGTAAGACTCTTCCCCACCTATAAATTTAAATTGCACCTGTTCTGATTTCTTGAATACAGTATGTATTGTTTTGTGTTCATCACTCTTCTACACTGAGTTTAACTATAAGCTATGTGGAATTATGAGAAAAACTTATCACTCTGCCCTAGACTATAGGGAAAAAGTTCTCCATTTTTTATGAGTGGGAATGTACAGTTTTGCAAGGTTGCTCAGGACAAAGATAGCAACATTTATTAGAAACCACTGCCTTGTTAGTAGTTTGTGATACTTTGGTCTGCAATTTGTGCAGACTTTTGGCTTTCAAAATAAACAGGAACTAAAATGTATCACCTCTGATTCTTCTTCAGTTTTTTTTTACAAAGGAGTCTTCCATAAACATAAATATCTGAAATTCATATGCTTGACCATATATGCCTTAAACAATCCCTAATCAAGTTCTGCCCACACTACTAAGATTTTTAGGCAGACGCAATGGAAATAGTTATATACAAATTTGCTGCATAATGACATTTCAGTCAATGATGGATCACATATAGAATGGTGATCCCAGAAACTTATAATAGAGCTAAAAAATTCCTGTCACCTAGAGATGTCGTGGCTGTCATAAGGTAATGTTATAGTGCAATGCATTACCTCTTCTATGTTTAGATATATTTAGATACACATATACTTACCATTGTGTTACAACTGCCTACAGTCTTCAGTACGGTAACATGCTGTCCAGGTTTGTAGCCTAAGAGCGATAAGCTGTATCATTGAGTCTATGTGTATAATAGGCTATACCATCTAGGTTTGTGTAAGCCTACTCTATGATATTTATACAATTATGAAATCACCCAGCAACCCATTTCTCAGAACTTATCCCAGTCATTAAGCAATACATGACTATATTATTATCACTAACTTATTTTGTGGCTTTGATAAGCCGAATATGGGAAAATAAACATTTACTGAAGAAAAGGCAGTCTATACATCAAGTTTTGGTAAAAGAAATAAGTTTTTTTTTGAGACGAGGTCTCGCTCTGTCACCCAGGCTGGAGTGCAGTGGCGCGATCTTGGCTCACTGCAGCCTCCACCTCCCAGGTTCAAGCAATTCTCCCACCTCAGCCTCCCGAGTAGCTGGGATTACAGGGGTGTACCACCATGCCCGGCTAATTTTTGTATTTTTAGTAGAGACGGGGTTTCACCATGTTGGTCAGGCTGGTCTCAAACTCCTGACCTCAGGTGATCTGCCCGCCTTGGCCTCCCAAACTAATGATACTATAAACATACTGATGAAAATAAGCTTTGGGCAAACAAAGAGTGGTTGGTGGCTAATCCATCCTGCCCACCCCATCCTGAGTTCAGGTTCACCCATGTCCTATAGGTACTTAGAAGATTCTTCTGCCAAACTACTAGAACACGCTGATGAATCCAAGCCCCTTCTGGATTACAATGGGCAGTGTGGTAGAATAAGATGAAACTGTGGACCATACATATGAAGGCTTAGATTGGAATTCTGGCACTACTACTTACCTGCATTCTATGCACCAGCATACTGGTGCCCCAACTACTATGTTCATGTCCTCTTTATAGCAGATGCCTCCCTGTACCCCAATCATTTGCCTGCATCCTTCTCTTCTCAACAGACTCAAGAAGTAGAGACGCTGACTTTTTTGTCTTTGTATCCCTAGGACTTAGCACTGCCACCAAATACAACCAAAGTTTGCTGAGCTGACATGATTAAGAGCCTATCTGTGGAAAAGTATGATCGGTCTTTGTGAAGTTGCAATCTCTCAGAGACTTGTTTTGTGCCTTTACAAATAATAGATTTTTTTTTTTTTGAGATGGAGTCTCGCTCTGTCACCAGGCTGGAGTGCAGTGGCGCAATCTCGGCACAATCTCAGCTCACTGCAACTTCTGCCTCCTGGGTTCAAGCGATTCTCCTGTCTCAGCCTCCCGAGTAGCTGGGATTACTGATTTTTGTATTTTAGTAGAGACAGGGTTTCACCATGTTGGCCAGGATGGTCTCGATCTGTTGACCTCATGATCTGCCCGCGTTGGCCTCCCAAAGTGCTGGGAGTGGCGTGATCAGCCACCACACCCGGCCTGTAAATAATAGATTTAAGAAAAAGTAGGTAACATATATTTTGCAGGGTTTTTATATTAAATAAGAGCTCATGAAATGATGGAACCACTCATTTGTATTTAGGTACTCAGTAAAGGTTTCATTCCAGCCTAAAATAGGAATGCTAAAATGATCTCTAAGGATATTTCTATGGATTTAAGTTTAAGCCATTCAACAGTATTCTATTTGTGCACTCCTTTAACCAGCAGTATCAGCATCACCAGAAAATTGTTAGAAATGCAGAATCTCAGGTCCCAATCCTACTAAATCAGACCCACTGAATAAGAACTGCATTTGAACAAATCCCGAGGTAATTCCTTGACACATTACAAATTAAGAAGCACTACTCTAGAATACCAAAGACTAACAAGGACCGCTTGTATGATTCAACCTTTTCTAGAGGTACCATTAACTCAAACTTTAACAATATAGCAAAAGTACTATTCAGTGGCTTACTTGATTAAAAAATCTTTGATACATTATAAATAAAATTCATATGACTTTAGTTTCATATTCAACTCCAGAAAGACAGTATAGTTTAGAGACTATAAAGGGTTTAGATTCAGACAGACCTGGGCTCAAATCTTGGATCGATCCAATATTTATTAGCCTTCTAACCTTGGGCAAATTCCTTTACCTGCTTGATGCTCACTTTCTTTATCTATAAAACAGAGATGAACACTCAATAGATCATTGAGAGAATTAAAACACGTGTTTGACACAGGTCATGGCTCCCAGTAGGTGCTTAAATGTCAGTTCCCTACTCTTTCTTAGAATAGTTCTACCATTTTGGTCCAATGATATATTAAACATTAAAAATTCATGTATACTATACCTAAGGAAGTAGCTTTAAATATAAGAAAATGAGATATTTGGATTTCAAAATTCAAATGATCAGATAATAAAAATAGGGAAAACCATAGCAGAAGACCCCTAAAGAAGATTTTTAATGGTATCCCAACATTTTCAGGACAAGGCTCAAACTTCTTAGCTTATGACACAAAGCCATTCTGAGGTGGTCTTCAGTCTCATTGCTCATCATCTTACCACTAGCAATATGGTATTAGAGGTTCCAGGGCTTAGTAATTGCCCATCTACTAGCTACTTTTATCTTCCCTTTTCTTCTAACTTAACTTCCCACTCGTCCACTAGTACTCAAGTCCTCAACCCAATCACTTTCATCACCACCACTTTGGTCATCCTCTCCCTGGGTTACTGCAACTGCCCTCCAAGTAATCTCCCTATTTTTTAAAAAGTTACTGATACCATGTCACTCCTCTGTTCAAAACCTACAAGCACCACTGTAATGCAGCCCCATTCTGCCTTTCACAGACTCTGTTCATGCTGCAGTGGCCTTTTTGCTGTTCCCCAAACATGTCTCAGGGCCTCTGAACGGGCTGTTGTGTTATGCATGAAGCATTCTCTCCCTTCCCCAGATATTCACATGGCTCTCACTCTCAGTTCATTCAGATCTCTGCTCAAAAGACGTCAATTACAGAGACCTGCACTGGAGAAGGTAATCTAAGCTATCATCTCCCTCCATCCCCAGCCTATCACTCTGACCATAACTGGTCTATTTTTCTTTCTTCCACTTTTAATATCTGACTCATTGTATATCCGTTCTCATAACTTAGAACCATGCCTGGCACATAGTTTGTATTCAATATTTGGATAAAGAAATCAATGAACCTCCCTAAAGAAGTCTTGGCAGAGTGTGGTGGCTCACACATGTAATCCCCAGAAAAGCTGCCAAAAAGCTGGGACTATAGGCATACACTACCATGCCCACCTTTTGTCTCTACCAAAAAAAAAAAAAAAAAAACGCTGTGCATGGTGCCGTATGCCTGTAGTCCCAGCTACTTGGGAGGCTGAGGCATGAGAATCACTTGAGCCCGTGAAGTTGAAGCTGCAATGAGCTGTGATCGTGCCACTGCACTCCAGCCTGGGTGGTGGAGCAACACCCTGTGTCCAAAAAAAAAAAAAAAAAAAAAAAAAAAATTCTTCACTGTTCTTCCTTTCCACTACTGACTCATGTGTTCCTCTCTCTCTACTTTCTCAGCACTCAGTGCATACATCTGCCACAACTTTTTCTTTTATTTTTTTTTGAGAAGAAGTTCTGCTCTTGTCACCCAGGCTGGGGTACAGTGACACAATCTCAGCTCACTGCAACTTCTGCCTCCCAGGTTCAAGCAATTCTCCTGTGTCAGCCTCCCAAGCAGCTGGGATTACAGGCAAACGGCACCAAACACCCAGGTAACTTTTTGTATTTTTAGTAGAGACGGGGTTTCACCATGTTGGCCAAGCTGGTCTCGAACTCCTAACCTCAGGTGATCCACCTGCCTCGGCCTCCCAAAGTGCTGGGATTACAAGTGTGAGCCACCACGCCTGGTCCTGCCATAACATTTTTTATGGTAATATAAAAAAAGTCTGTCTTAGCTTGATTCTGCAATCACAGGGCATAGTATAAAGCAGGGCATTTGATATTTGTAGAATGAATGATTTAAGAAGGGAAAAATACTATTATCTCAAGGTAAAACTATGAAACTGCTTAAAAAATCATTTTCCTGTTTGTCAGGTTATAGCTGTAAGAACTTTCTAGAAGAAAAGGTCAAGTACAAGCTCAGTGAGCCTACTAATATGCAACTCTTCAGACTTTCTTCAGTGCCACTTAAGTCCTTTAGATTTTAACTCAATGAAATGGCTTAGAGTTAGTTTACTAAGTTTATTTATTAAAGATTAGCTTTCTGTAAAGTTTTGCCGAAGGAAAAACAAATAGCACACTTAGACTTCAGACTGCTCAAATTAATACCTTTCATTAAGATTTTAACCTAAAGAAAGTTTTACCACTTCCTTACCTTACTAACATCAAAAGAAAACCTTATTTTGGAAAACTGTGAGTACTGTTGCAAGATTTATTCTGTTTCACTTATGCTGACTATATATGGTAGTCTATGAATATCATTTTTAAAGAATTAGCATCTTAATCTTTCACACAAATATTCCTCCTATGAGTCATAAAATTATTGTAGCAATAGAGTAACCAGAAGGATTTAGAAATCAGTGGGAAAGACAAAAATAATATTCCAACACTTATCAAGAGAATAAAACAGGCATTTGAGCTGGTTCTTAAATGGAAATAATTTAATCTCTTTCTCATTCTCTCTACTCCAAAGCTGAGCAAAGTTTCCAAAAATCTACAAATAATCACTGAAGAAAAGTTGAACACAAATACTTCTATTTTTATGCCCCAATATGTAATAAGTCATTTATTAAGAGAGCTGGTAGAAATGATACTCATGGATCTAAATTTTTTTTTTCTTTTTTTTTTTTTTGAGACAGAGTCTGGCTGTATCCCAGGCTGAAGTGCAGTGGTACAATCTCAGCTCTCTGCAACCTCTGCCTCCCGAGTTCAAACGATTCTCCTGTCTCAGCCTCCTGAGTAGCTGGGATTACAGGCACCCACCATCATACCTGGCTAATTTTTGTATTTTTAGTAGAGACGGGGTTTCACCATGTTGGCCAAGCTGGTCTTGAACTCCTGACCTCAGGTGATGTGCCCACCTCGGCCTTCCAAAGTGCTGGGATTATAGGTGTGAGCCACCACACCCGGCCTACCTTAAAATCTTAATAACATTCAAAATGTAAATGAACTTTACTATCCCAAATGATTACTTCAAAGGCTTCTAGTAAATTTTTTAAAATATTTGATATCTGTGCTCTAAGATCAGGTCAAGAGCACTCAACAGTCTTGAGTTTCTATATGTTTCCCCCTTTTTAGAAGATAATCTCTAAAGTAAAGCAAAGAGGACAGGAAAGAATTACCTTATCTGGAATAATCAAGCATGTAACTAAGCATACAAAACACAGTACTCCTCAACACATTTGAGATTTAGATAGTTACTGTGGATAATCATGATACTCAAACTGAAATAATCTTTTAAAAATATGTGGCACTATTAAAAAAAATACTGATCTGCAGCTACTGAAAAACAAAGTAATTATATACCCACATCTCAGCATAATGAATGTGGGTTTCTTTAAACAAAGAATGAAGAAATTAATACTGTAAAAATCATGACTGGAATTAAACAACATCAGAGTGATTCCCAGTGGAGACGAAGTGAAAGGCTCTCACCATCAGAGTAAAATCAAAGCCATTAGTTGCCCTGACACGAGTGGCATCTTCATTATGCAGCTAAGTCAAGAGCGATGATTAGAAAGTGCCTTTATCAGCCATCACTGGGTTTAACAAAGACTTCAGAAGAACTCCCATACTAGAGTAGATACAATAATTACAAGCTAATGCCATTTGCAAGCTGGATATTATAACTGAATTACTTTTTTTATTTCAAAAAGAAAAAATTTAAGTCATCATATTCCATATTGGCATATTTTATTAAAATGAAATGGATTGGCCATAGTTTTAAGTAAGAAAAATGGTGGTTGTTTCCATATTATCATTTTTCAGGAACTTAATCATCAAATAAATCAAGCCACAAGCTATATAAAACAAACCAAGCTTCTTAAGGATTGGCTATATTGATTCCAGATTATTATGCTTTTCCTTATACTATTTTTCCATTTTATAGGGCCATTTCTCTTAATTTACCTGAACTTCTAGATGGGAAAAAGAAAACAGCAATTTTGTTCAAAAAAAATAAGTGTTTTTATTTTAAAAGTTTTTAAAAAAGGTATTTGGAATACAAGCCCGAGAGTAACTAGTCAAATACACTATCTCTTCATTGCTCTGACTTTGGGCTTTGTTATAGTTCACTGCTATTAGGTTTCCCGTTAGTATAGTCTTTTCCCATATATTGTGACTTCAGACTGACAATTTCCATCTTATAATAATCCAGAACTTTTAGAAGAATCAGGAACCAACTACTTGGAAGAGCCAATGACCTCAATTTGATGATAAAAAGCCTACAGAGATAAACATAACTTCAAAGATAGTGTGGTAACAGATTTTTAACAAAGTAACAGTGGCTACCAGGTATTACAAACTGATTAAATTCTAAAATATCAGATCACATTTATTTTATCACATTTATACCAGGCACTGTACACTATTAATAATACATTTTAACTATGTGATATGGATTCTGTCATTTAATGCTCACAACAGCCCTATGAGTTATTATCTCATTTTTCTAAGTGAAGAATACAGGTAGATACAGTAACTTGTCCAAGATTTCATGGACAATAGATGACGCCTGGGATTCAAATCAGGTCCATGGGATTTCCAGAGCCCTTGGTCTTAACCCTTAATGTAAACTGTCTCTCAGTTTCAAAGGTGAAAAGTAAAACTTTAAAGTTTCTGAATTACAGCACATAAAGCAGGAATTACCAACACCTCAACCCTGTTGGTTCTGCAACTTCTCACATCTTTACCCTCTCTGTGCTTTTTAAAGTTAAAACCTAAATCAATGTGTAATTTACCCATCATTTTTATATTTCACATCTATTTTCTAGCTCTCTCATTTTTCTTGGTAACAATCTCTCATTTGATCTTCAGTGCTGAGAGATATTACACAGGCAGGCAGGAGAACACAAGAGGCAAACCTTAAGGCAGCTCTATACTACTCACTTTGCTTGCTTCTGAACATTTTTCCCCACTTCAAGGAAGGTGCTTAGCACATTCCTCTAACACGTATCACCTTTCATGATCAAGAGGGCATTTTCTCCACCCATCTTGAGGTATTTCCTAGGAAATCCTCACAGTTTTTCATAATAGAGAAATCTGAAAGTGCTACATTGGTAGAGTTGGGAACTGTCAAATAAATCCCAACAATTTCTAACTTTAAAGCATATAAATAATGAATTCTCTAAAATGTACCTGTAATAAGACATTTAGGCTTTGGGTTGTTATCAAATGTACATTTCTCAAAAGCAGATAAATGGGTTGATTCTGCTTAATATAAATCAAGACATAACTTTTATTGATCCTAGTCATTTGTCATACAGTTATTTCTGGATTATCACAGAATATACTTTGACTTTACTGTCCCTTGAAGATTCAGCAATCTTGTGGATCAGTGTTAACAAGTACACTATTTAAAAATTTAATATATATCATACACATAGAGCTAAGGAAGTATCACTTTTCACTCCCCAGGGCTTTCTTTTCTAATGCTGAACACAAAAATCATGAAATGTTTACCTAACTCTCAATATGGGGAGAAAAACTACGGATCCTAAGCAGGCATCAAAAGGCTATTATATATAATAACTAATTTATATTATAACTTTTTTTTTGAGACAGGGTCTCACTCTGTTGTCCAGGCTGGAATGCAGTGGTGCAAATATGGCTCACTGCAGCCTTGACCTCGTGGGCTCAAGCTATCCTTCCAATCTCAGTCACCCAAGTTGCTAGCACCACAGGTGTGTGGCCACCATGCCTGGCTAATTTTTATTTTTATTTTTAATACAGATGGGGTCTCCCTATGTTGCCCAGGCTGGTCTTGAACTCCTAGGCTCAAGCAATCCTCCCACCTTGGCTTCTCAAAGTGCTCGGATTATAGGCATGAACGACCACACCCAGCCTTATAAATTATGACTTTTTTTTTGAGATGGAGTCTTGCTCTGTCACCAGGCTGGAGTGCAGTGGCACAATCTCAGCTCATTGCAACCTCCGCCTCCTGGGTTCAAGTGATTCTCCTGCCTCAGCCTCCGGAGTCACTGAGACTACAGGCGTGCACCACCAATGCTCAGCTAATTTTTAAATCTTTAGTGGAGACGGGGTTTCACCATGTTGGCCAGGGTGGTCTCAATCTCTTGACCTCATGATCCACCCACCTTGGCCTCCCAAAGTTCTGGGATTACAGGCATGAGCCACTGCACCCAGCTATAAATTTTAACTTTCAAAGGACATTCACCTCAAGTAATTTAATAGACTAGACTTATTTATACATATATTTATACATTGAATATTTTAATATAAAGTAAAGTACAACCATTATCTTAATACATTATTCCATTTCCTCTTATTTTTCCATTTTCCTCTTCTTCACCTTTCAAATTCTTTCACAAAGCTTGCTGTCATTTACCCTGCCACTTAAATGGCACAGTTAAAGAATATAAATTAATCTTCTTCCAAGGATGTATTGAGTGTTGCCTCTAGAACCTTTTCCAGGTGCATCTTTGTTTTGGGTGATTCTCAGTTATAGATAT
Organism: Homo sapiens; assembly: GCF_000001405.40. Classification (NCBI taxonomy): domain Eukaryota; kingdom Metazoa; phylum Chordata; class Mammalia; order Primates; family Hominidae; genus Homo; species Homo sapiens. Next base: position 102,167,128 of record NC_000011.10, on the reverse strand, counting down.
TTGGAAATTTGCCCAATCACAAACCACTGGTCTCTAGGCTATATGTAGTATCTACCATTTCAACCTCATATTTTGAAAAAGGACTTATAAAAGCATAATTATACTGATCATTTTTGCTAAAGCCAATTAGAAAACAAAATAGAGTTTCATAAAATCTTAAGAATTGGAAAGAATCTTAAAAGATCTTTCATCCTAGTCAACCATGAAAATTATGCAGAAAACAGGTTTGGGGAGTCTAGAGGAAATTACAGTATCTTAAGGAAAGCAGTTGGATGAGGAACAAGATCTCAGAGCAGAACATGAAGCTGGACTCAATTATGAATGATGGGAATTCTTTTTCAAAAAAAAGCAAAGCGAGGAAGTCCTTATTAAATAATGAGTAATAAAAATGTAAATCAAGTTGCATTTAGCATGATTAACCCAGTAGAGTGCTTCAAAAGCACGGTGTAGCTTTCTCTTTTATGTGAAGGCTTCGGGTTAGCAGACTCAGAAGACACTCCCTTCAGGGTGAAACTTTTCTGTAGATACCCTGCTTCACGGAAGCCATTTTCTGCTTTGTTACATTAAATACCCTCAAAATTTACTTACATGCTCTCACAGTTGTCCTTGTTCACTGTCTCTAACATTTTAAAAACTCCTTAAAAGATCATTTTTCCAAGTAGAGAAGAGCATCCTTTTGCTTACTGAAACCTTATTAACATGTCAACATGACGTTACGGCTATTTTATGTGAACATGAGGTATATCAAGATTACAGTGACATTCATTCCAAAACATGTCAAAACCATGGGCTTCCACTGAAATGGAAGAAAAGACAACAGACAAGTGTATGTAATTTAGAGGAAAAAGAGGCATGTGCTGTAAAGATATTATCAGTACCCTCAGCACTTGATCAGCAGGTCTCCATATGACCAAATTCAGAATAATCCAGATATAAACTTGTCTGATTCTGGGAATTCATATATATTTAAGATAACACTTCACTCTAATTTGGAAAGTTTTGACTGACTCCTAGAATCGATGTGTTGCGGATGTTTTAAAAAGCCTTTGGTTTTGGACCCATCAGCTAGTCTCTTCCCTTCCCCATCATACTGTCTGACCGTCCCCATAAAAGGCAATAACCTCGAGTGCTCTCTTTGAATATTCTCTTCTCTTGAGTGAACAGTATTTTATTTGAAACAAGGCCTCCTTAAACAAACATCATCTCCACACCCATCACCTTCTGGAGAAGCAGTTCCCCAATATTATCTACTATTAATAGTATTTAAAAATAGCGCCTCCAGGACGTTCGTTAGTGGTTCCTTGTCGCTTCTGCTTTATCGGAGGCTTCGCTCTGTCAGTTATCCTATCTGTCAGTTATCCTATCCCTGGTTAACATACAGTGAAGAACATGGGATCTTAAATGAGACAGTGCAAAATGGACCTTCACTGAATGCCTGGTATATAAATAAGAATTATTATTATACTATTATTATTGTTAAATACCTTCTAGCACGCTGTAAACATGCTCAAGCCTCTTCAGAGGTGGCTTTTCTCATTTCAGTTCCTTCTTCCAACTCTCTCCTCACAACCCTCTCCTTTATGCCTTCTCCCCCTCACTCCTAACCCTCCAGTCACGCTTTTTGCCACTCCACTGAAACTGTGTCAAAGTCACCTCTTTACTACATATAGCTCTATTATTTAGACATGTATATGCATACTAATTTTTATGTAATATATTAAAACATTTCATATTTTACAAACAAGACAAAAATTTTTGTTGTTGTTGTTAAGATGGGGTCCCACTCTATCACCTAGGCTGGAGTATGGTGGTGCAATCACAGGTCACTGTAGCCTCAATTTCCCAGGCTCAAGCCATCCTCCCACCTCAGCCTCCTGAGAACTGGGTGAGACTTCACTTATGCACCACCATGACAGACTATTTTTTTTTTTTTGTAGAGACAAGGTTTCACCATGTTTCCCAGGCGGGTCTCAAACTCCTGGGCTCAACTGATCCTCCCACCTTGGTCTCCCAAAGTGCTGAAATTATAGGTGTGAGCCACTGTACCTGCCCAGGACATACAGCTGAAATAAAACATCCACAATTATTTTCAAACCCACTAAAACCGGCTGGACATGGTGGCTCATGCCTGTAATCCCAACACTTTGGGAGGCCGAAGACAGGCGGATCACCTGAGGTTGGGAGTTCAAGACCAGCCTGACCAACATGGAGAAAACCCTTCTCTACTAAAAATACAAAATTAGCCATGCGTGGTGGCGCATTCCTATAATCCCAGCTACTCAGGAGGCTGAGGCAAGAGAATCACTTGAACCAGGGAGGCGGAGGTTGTGGTGAGCTGAGATCGTGCCATTGCACTCCAGCCTGGGCTACAAGAGCAAAACTCCATCCAAAAGAAAAAAAACAAAAAAACCCACTAAAACCAAGTTGATACATACCTTTGACTTAAAGCATAAATTTCAGCCGAAATACTCTCATTTCTCTAGACCATCACCATCAGAAAACATAATAGGACACAACCAAAGCAATGTTCTAAAAGAATTACAATCAACCTTGTTAGACGCGAAATACTTACTCTTCCAAAATAAAGTTTAAATTAATGTTATCTGTCATTAACTGCCGAGATAATTTTTAGATGGAGCATGACAAAATGAATAATGTGAATCATCTTGTTTAACCATAAATACAGGGCAGATTTCACAACTTTATTTGAAAATTTGGTAATAAAAAAACATAATAGTTGCCAAGTAAAAATATTAATATTTGTACAATTTTTGTCTTAAAATTTTTTTAATTAGGGGCCAGGCATGGTGGCTCACGCCTGTTATCCCAGCACTTTGGGAGGCCAAGGTGGGCAGATCACAAGGTCAGGAGTTTGAGACCAGCCTGGCCAACATAGTGAAACCCCGTCTCTACTACAAATACAAAAATTAGCTGGGTGTGGAGGCAGGCGCCTGTAGTACCAGCTCGGGAGGCTGAGGCGCGAGAATCACTTGAACCTGGGAGGCAGAGGTTGCAGTGAGCTGAGACCATGCCATTGCACTCCAGCCTGGGTGACAGAGTGAGACTCCGTCTCAATAAAAAAAAAAAAAAAAAATTTTTACTTAAGTGTCACATATAAAAGAGATTCTGAGAATGTATTCGTAGTATAATGAGTTAAATTTAGATTTAAGGAATTTTTCTTCAGAATTTAAAGTCTATGTCAAGAAAAGCCCAATCACAAATGTTGCCATTTTCTTTGTTTTCCACTCTTAACTCTTTAGAACTCAAATGTTCAACCCACCAAAAGCAAGAGCAGAGGTATGTAACAGCAGAAACATTCCAGCACGAGGGGCAGAAGGACATTTCAAGTTCTGTGAATTCGCCTAGTCAAGGAACCCTCCTGTCAACTAATGGTACCACCCTTCCCACCCAACCACAACAGTCCCTTGCCAAAGACTGCTGTTTAAGAAATCTACTGTGTAGCTACTAAATATGCTTGTTATCTAGGGAAAATGCATGGGCGGTGGAGAAAGCCATCAAGTCTACTAGAGCTGCCACATACTATTGTTGCCATCTGTGTCCTGAACCTGGGCACTGAGCAGCGGGGTAAAGCGTGGGGGCCAGGGGAGTGGTCAGAAATCCAGCCCAAATGCTCCAATCTCTGATGCCAGGCACAATGTTACATCTTCCCAGAGGAAGGGCACCTTTTCCTAATATGTACAAAGGTACATAATGGGCTAACTGTGGCCTTGAACCCACCTAACAAAGGAGAAAGACGCCAGACAGTATGTGATAAGGAAGATGAAGGGGCTAAACTTTCACTTAGTACCTACTCTGTAATTACTAGAGGCTTCATATAAATTGTATTATTTCCTTTCATATCTTCCCTTCTATCATAAGGGGCACTGTTACTCCCCATTATGTAGATGAGAAAAACTGCATATTCAAGTAAATTGCCAAATAAGAGGTAGAAAAAGATTTATACTCAGGTTTATCTTCTAGTAAAAAAGGTGAAGATGCGTTTAATAATCCATGCTTGCCCTGGGAATAAGAAATATTCTTTTGGGTTTACAAAAGTTACTGCCTTCCAGATATTTTCAGAGTAGAATGAATAACACCACATTAAAAGTTGGGTTAAGAACACCATAGCAAAAAAAAAAAATGAAAAAAAAAATAATAATAATAAAAAATAAGAACACTATAGCTTGGCTTTCCATCCAAACCACAAAGGGAAGAGGGTAAATTCAACTCAAATACCTGAGACACAAGAAAGCAGCAGAATAAAACCAAATACGTCAAAATTAACAGAACTACAAATTTGAGATACCCGCTTCAGAACCAAATCTTAAAGAACCACTGGCTTTCAGTTATCGGCCCCCTTATGCGTTAACAACTATACAAGGCAATAATATAGCTTACGTTATTTTAAAATAGACTATGTCTTCTGTATGAAACTGGAGAGACAATAAACATCACCATGTCCCAGTTTCTGTAAACGAGTAATGACTATTTTCCACATCAACTTTTACCAATGCGTAAGCATTACTCCATGTGCTGTAATTACAGTGTCTCACTCACCTGAAGCCGAGTTCATCATATTCTGCTGCACTGGTGGACTGGTGGGGGCTGTGACGTTCATCTGGGACAGCATGGCCTTCCTGGGGTCCTGCCATGTTGTTGTCTGATCGATGTGACTAAGACAAAACAAACCACTGCATTAGGAAACAAATACCAGGTTCCAAAAACAATTCTTATCTTGTGGGCTCATAATCAAAGGGTGCCAAGCGAGCTCTGTAAAAGCATTAAGTCACAGCATCTCACTGCTCCCACCAGCCTCCCTCTGCAACAGACATTTTTCACCCTTAAATCACTCAACTTTCAACTCTTAGATCTTACAAGTGCAACATCTGAAAAAGTTATGCCTGGAATTTTAAGTGAAAGGAAATCATCTTCAACTATTAAGATAATTATTACCCCTTCTAATGCAAAGATACAATGTAGTTTGTAAACTAAAAGAGTAACCATATGACTAAAACCCAAGATTCATAAGAAATTCATACACTTATTTTCTCCTAGAGATAAGAATGCCAAATAACATAATTTTTAGGCCTAAAACGCCTTTTTAAGGTAAAACACCACAAAACCCCAAAAGTCATCTTCTTACATACTCCAAAGCCAAAGCAGAACTTTAAACTTCATCTGTAAGTTTTCATTTTCCCCTGTGGCTCCTGAATAACATGTTCTTACACAAAGCCCTTTGATGTTTGCTGAACATTTTCTACATAATTGTTAACTTACTGAGAAATACATGTATACATATAGATTTCTTAATCTATAAAGTTGGGAATTAAAACAGCTAAATACCATGAAATGTAAGACTGCAAGGCATCTAGCACGTTATCTGACATACAAACTTGCAATAAGTACTAAGTTTTCTTGTAGCAAAGTTTCATTGTTTCAATGAAAGAAAAACTAGATATATTATACAAATAAAACTACCTTAAAAAGTATCCTGCATTAATAGCCAGAAGTAATAAAACCCTTATATATAAACATCTCTTCAGTATCATTTATTACAGCAAGCATTTGAAAGCCAGTTAACATTTAATGATAGGGAATTGGTTAAACATGGATATATATGATGGACTGTATGCAGCTGCTGAAAATGTTTTAGAAGAACATATAATATGAAAAAATATTAATAATACAGTTTTTAAAAATAGGTTATAAAACAGTATGTATTGGACAAGGCTAATTGTTTAGTGTGTGTGTGTGTGTGTGTGTGTGTGTGTGTGTGTGTGTGTAGTGAAAGTACACAGAAAGACTCTGGGAGGCCGAGGCGGGCAGATCACAAGGTCAGGAGATCGAGACCATCCTGGCTAACACGGTGAAACCCCATCTCTACTAAAAATACCAAAAAATTAGCCAGGCGTGGTGGCGGGCGCCTGTAGTCCCAGCTCCTCAGGGAGGCTGAGGCAGGAGAATGGCGAGAACCTGGGAGGCGGAACTTGCAGTGAGCCGAGATGGCACCACTGCACTCCAGCCTGGGCAACAGAGCCAGATTCCATCTCAAAAAAAAAAAAAAAAAAAAAAAAAGAAAGAAATTATTGGTGACACTGGCCAAGAGCCATTTTAGAGGGACAGTGAGAGTACAGTGAGTAGGAAGTAAAGAAGCAGACAAATTTAGTTGTGCACAGGAAATAAAAAGCTAAATAGGTGGTTATGAGTTCTTGTTTTTTCAAGAGGAAGGGATACAAGTGTTTAAATGTGAACACAGAGTAGCTGAAGATGTGCAAAGGGATTATTGATGGGGCACAGTCATCCTTCAGAGAGCAGGAAGGAATAGGATACAAGCATTGCTTCCACTGTAATAGGAGGTAAGAAAGCAAGCAAATAACTTCATTGGCTGGTGAAAGTTAAGCAAATTCTCGTACTACTGGCAACTGCCAATTCCAGTTATGTGGCATTACCAGGAATAAAAACACGTCTTTTAGCTTCTGGCTTGGGAGTTCTTGTCACTCCATCTTACTGGTCTCAAAGTAAAAAACGGTTTTTCTAAAATGATAAGTTTGCTACTAGCCGAGTAGAATTTTTACAGAGAATCCTTTTAAATGCTTTCTTTTTCAAATCATCTATTAAGACGAATCCAGAACTAGCACATAAACTCTGCTGTCAGAACAGAAAGCTACATGTAATATACATAATACACAATGTTCATGATTTGTTAACTGATAGCACTGGTAAAGAGATAAACTGGTTATGGCGGTATTATGCTTACTATTTCTACACCTTTAAGTTGGTGGTTTGAAGCTTAAAAAAATATGCTGGGCCAGGCGCAGTGGCTCACGCCTGTAATCCCAGCTCTTTGGGAGGCCAAGGCGGGCGGACCACCTGAAGTTGGGAGTTCAAGACCAGCCTGACCAACATGGAAGAACCCTGTCTTTACTAAAAACACAGAATTAGCCAGGCATGGTGGCACACGCCTGTAATCCCAGCTACTCGGGAGGCTAAGGCAGGAGAATCGCTTAAACCCAGGGGGCAGAGGTTGCGATGAGCCAAGATCACGCCATTGCACTCCAGCCTGGGCAACAAGAACAAAACTCTGGCTCAAAAAAAAAAAAAAAAAAAAAATCCTTTATGTAAATCAGGTTTTGTCAGCTATACAAATTTAATATAGATTTTTGATTCTTTTGAAATGTCTGATACATTTCTTGACGCTACTCTTCCTCCAGGGGTAATCTTTTCCCCAACTGGCCCACAAAGCACCTAATTTCTATCCAACCTTTTAAAGACCCAGAAGCCTCCTCCTTTTGGAAGACTCCTCTGTGGAAAAGAAAAGTCAAGCAGATGTATATTACAATCCCAGCTCTGCCAATGACAATCTGGATTGTGTGGGCAATTTTTATCAATCTGCTCTACCTTCAATAAAGTGGGACTGATTTATTTACTTACTTTCCAGGGTTGAGGTAATTAAATTCAGTAACATATATAAAAGCAACCAGGACTGTGACTCCTGGTACGCAAAAAGCCCTCAAAAATTTCATTCTGTTGCTACCCCAATATTTAAAATAGGAAAAACTTCATGGTGAATGGGCCAAGAATATGTTTTGTTAAAAATGAGATAAGAGTTCAGTTAAGTGAAGATGACAGGTCTAGTTTAAGAGCTTTAATAGGAGTTTGGTTTTCACCAATAAGTAATGAAGAGATGCAGTAGGTAGATGCCACAGGTTTGAAGGCAAGGAACAGAAATGATAAAAATGTTTCTGGACCGTTACTTCAACCTGCAGAGAGCTATCAGCTTAGGGAAAGAATTAACCAGAAGCCTGGACATGTGAACGGAGACCCTCCTGCTGCAGGCTGAGCACTGCGCCCTGGGTACCTGCTGGCTGGCTGGGCTTTGAGGACCTGTGCGGCACCACAACCTGTCAATAAACACCTCGCCAGCAAAAACAAACACAAACAAACAAACAGAGAGAGACAGAGAATGAACTAGAAAAGGAACTCAGCAAGTGTAGACTATATTGGCTCCTAGGGGAAGGGGAACAACATAATAATTTGGAAATAAAATAAAAATCTCATCCCTATAACCAAATGCCGCAAAATATTAATTGCTAAAAACCTTTCCATACAATCAATTTTTACTTAAGCCATAAGATAGTCGGTTCTGTCAATATAAACCAAAGCAAAGAATAAACAATATTTCTTAAGCATTAGCCAAAGCTCATCCTAATAAATTCTAAAACACACTTCAAATTCTTGATTGTGTGTTTTATTTTCAAATGCTGAATCTATAACCCTTATTTAAGGAACACTGAACAACATAATCAAAATGGGCTTTATAGTAATGAAAACACTGATGACTTTCTTATACCTATCTTCAAAGTTTAGGATTATAATTTTATAATGCTAATTTGTGAAAGCACTAGTAGGAGGTTAGTGCTCATGTAGGTTAGTAAAATAAATAACTAAAAATAATATACTAAGAAAGAGATTAACATTGATACTGGTACTGTGATAAGGTTTGGAAACTTCAAAGAATGGATACTATCAATTCTTTCATACCCCTGCTATTCAAGAGTGTGGGCCTTGGGCCAGCAGCACTGAGCACACCCAGGAGCTAGTTAAAACTGCAGAAACTCAGGCTCCACCCAACCCACTGATGAAGAATCTATAGTTTAATGAGATCCTCTGTATGTTCGTTGAAGTTTGAGAAGCACTGCCTTAGATACTACTTTGAGATTTGATCACCTACAACATTGTTTTAAGAACGACATATGCCTGGAGGGTAAATATTTTGTGTCCATGATAAAGCAAAAACCACTAATCTGAGGAGTTAAGCAACCTCTGAAACTCTCAATTTGTAAAATGATTCCATCTTGGTTAAAATCTAGAACTAGTATCAGTAGAATGAAACTGTTTTTAAACTTAAACCTAACTATATTGTATCTTTTGTCCTCTTTTCTTAATCCATTTTTGAAAATATGTTTCTTCTAAACTAAAAAACTTGTAAAACCGATTTTTCACAAAATCCCAGGAGTGTAATCTTAAATCGTTTGTACCTGTGCACAGCTACCTAACAAACTGGTTCCTTCCAAGTCTGCTAAGATTTCGTGATGTCAGATGGCACAAATTAGGCGTTAGGAATTTAATATAATCTACAAACGTTATAAATAGAAGCTTTTTATGGACACTCCAAATACCATAATTAGAAACTTTTTTAAAAATGCAGCTGTCAAGTGTTTAAGCCCCTAACACACCTTTAAGACTGTCTTCATTGTGTTGTAAGGGGAAAAGAGAAAAAAACCCAAACATGCACTTTTGATGATAGTGACCTGCTCAGACACTGAATTTTTTCTGATAAAAGTGAACAAAGATAACATGACAAAAATGTGCTTTATGTGCCCAAAAGAGACATCAGGACAACCAAGTCACCCACTTCCCTGAAGAAAAGTGAGAAAACTTGAACTTAAATATATGTAAGACCTCACAAAGCCTAGTATCTAATGAGAAATCAAATGACCAACTAAACAATCTTTTTTTATTAAGAAAAATTGACTTTTAGTAAACAATAAAACTGGAAAACCAGGAATAATACAAAACGGTGTGAAGAATGTTTTAAGCTTTTAATATTGTTGTCAGGCCCTCAAAATACTATGATGGCAGTACTGGGAGTGGGCAGTCAGCCCAGATTTACTGCTCACTTATCAGGCCCATGTTTGTTGTGCAAGTGTTATAGAGTCACATGCTAGAGGCTGTTCCCAAACTAGCTAAACCTACACGCTTAACTGACTCTAGGAACAATGATACATTGTTCAATCTAATCCTTCCATGAGCCACAGTTCCTAAACCACAACTATAGGCTTTTTATATTTGTATATGTCCATGGTGGACTATTTCTAGAACCTCAAAAATTCAGTGATTATGCATATACTATATTTCCTTGACATGCATGAGAAGACGTAAACATTTTGCCTCTATGATAATATGGTTTCTGCACTACAGGATATCAGAATCTTAAATTGAAATTTAAATAATTAAGCTATCACTGAAGGCTGTTAATGAGTTAAAATTATGAACAAGTATGAGCAGAAATACATAAAAGCAAACATGACCATTTATTATAAGTCTACAAACTGTACACCACACTATAATCTGACCCTATAGCTTTAGGTTTGATAAAATTAACATTTGCCCGCAAGCATGAAACCAATTTAAACACAACTTAAACATGTTGACAAAAAAAGTGACATGCTGACATGTTTATATATAATACATCTCCCCTGGGAAATGATTATTCCCTAAGGAAAGGGTGAGGATGGACCAGCCATGAGAATAATGCCAAAGCTCAAGTGGAGGCTTCCTGAAGCAAGCACAGTTCTCTCAATCTTGATCCCAAATGGCGTGTACCTGAAGTTACGTTCAGCAAAATTGAACATCTTTTCCTAATGCCATAGTGACTGAGAATATTCCTCCCAAAAGTTCAAAAATTGTATTTGTCCTGATTTCATGATATAGAAAACAACAGATGTCATTAGAGTATGAACTGAAAACAAAGACTAGAATTCCAATGATAAGGTCCACCTAGCTCTTTTCGTAATAATCACCTTACAGGGAAAAGGCAAAAAAAGAGAAATGGCAGAACTAAAAATAAAGAAATATTTTAAAACAGCCCTGAGAAATTTTAGTTACAGAAAGTCTGCTGTAAGTGTTTTTCAAAATGTGGTTCCCAAACAACCTGCATCAAAATTAGCAGGGCAGACTTATTAGCACCTGGGTATTTTTATGAATAACAACAGTTATTTCAGGAAAATAATTGACCTAGCAATTTTACATGTTCTTTCATAATCTCAGATCTTTACATACAGTAAGACATTTATTTACCCAAAAGAGCCAAAATAGCAATTCAACCTCTTCAAAAGATGGTTGGTGGTTTTCTCATATTCTACTGTTTTGCTTAAACTGACATTCCTGAACAAATACTATTTTAAATGGAACTACTACATGTCAGATGTCAAAAAGAAGTGAACTTTCTTATATAGGTTACAGACATTGGCAGTATTATCTTTTCATTTTATAATTGTCAGTCTAGGCACAGAATAAAAAAAAAACTGTGAAGATGAAACAAATGTGATGGGTACCAACTCTGACCTCATTTGTCATGACATGACTTAGGAGTAATGCCCTCAACCAAGGACCAGGAAGGAAGACAGGTTTAGGCAGTCAAACAAAGTTATAATCAGTGTTCTGTGGCCACATCAGACACCAGTGGCTTCCAAATAAGGATCTGTTCAGTCGGCTGGCTCATACGACTACAGTGAGGGAATCTAGTTACAAATCTGGAACCACATTCACTGTATATTTATGGTGACATTCAAATTTTCAACTGTTAACAACATAACAGGGCTTCGGCCACCCAAAATATTATTACAACACAAGTCTAACAGCGAGGGAAACATTTCCCAAAGGGTAAATCACCAGGAAAAGAGTCAGGAAAATCCACACTAAACGCTTCTTAGCAAAGTGGGCAAATGGTCTTCATCAAAATAAAGTGTATATGGAACTTGTAACGTAAACTGCTGACACCACCCACTCCTCCTCCAGCCATTTTGATGAAAATAATACAAACAGTCAAGGAACCTTCTGTGTTCTTTACCACTTACTTTTAACAAGTTTGGTAACACTACAGAATGTCTTCAATCATCTACAAAGATTCATATTGTAAGTTAGCAAAATAACTTGGGGAGGGGCCCCAAAACATAAAACAATTTAACTGTTACATATTCTATACGTAATGTATGTCAAATAATGAGATGGTTTCCATACAAATAGATACTAAGCACAGAGTCTTACCTAGTCTTAACTACTCATTAAATGATATAAAAAATCTATTTTACTTTGATGTTTCATTATTCGTTAGATGTCATTTTTAGGAAATGTTATTTAGGTAACTTTGAAACTTTGGTAATGCTTTCAGGGCCTTCCACAATCAGAAAAGAGGGCAGGACAGTGGTAGAAAGGCATTAGATTTATTTAAGTTGGGAGTTAGGTTACCCAATCTCAGTGAAGTAATTTGACTTTTCTGAACCTCTGCTTCAGCAGCTGTGATATATAACAGGCCACCATTAAACAGGAACAAATACTTCACCTATTGACTGCCTACTGTGTTGTGCAAAACAAAGTATGTTATCCATATAACCAGTTTTAAAGTAAATAAAATAATATCTGATGTCAACACTGTTCAGTCTTTTGGCTCACATGTCTGCTGTGAGGGAATCATACTTAGCTACAAACCTGAAACCATATCCATTGCGTATTTATGGCAACATTCAAGTTTTCAACTGTTAGTAACACATTGGGTGTTAAATTACCAATAAGTAACAAAGTAATTTAAAGTAAGTAAGGGAACCCTTGGCTAAATAAAGGTTACTGGTGATAATAATAAATTAGTGAATAAGTTTTACACGTAGGACTATGACAGATATTAAGGTGGCTTACCAGATCTGTGGATTTCGTATGTGGCAAAAGAGTGGTGGGATTCTTTCAATCATGGCCAAAAATTCTTGCAATAGTCACCCATCATTCTTCCATCCATTAATATCTCTTTGTATGATTATAACATGCTGTGTTTTTCTCTGTATGTATGTATATACACACATATATATATACACATGCATGTGTAATTTTTTTTTAAAGAAAATAAATGCTAGACACTCATACAAATCATGCTTACAGGACTGGCTTACTTAGAAGAGTCAGTAGTCTTTCAATACCAAATTACAAATACAGATTAAATGTCTTCCCTTCTGTCTCCTCTGGATTTAACATGTTTACAGAGAGAAAGCAAGAGAACACAGTTGTGGTATAATCATATAAAGATATTTTAAATTCCCTAGTTCACCAGAATCAGAACATTTGTTCAGGCTGAAAACTAGGATTCAACTTGCTTTCTGTTAAGTTGCAATTGAAATGTGATCCTGTCAGTGAAAATACAGCTTTCTTCTTTGAACCTCTCAAGTTAAATGACTATGAAATTCCATTATACTATGAAATATATTATCACCTTTTTGAGGGGGATTTTTATGGCTACTGGTAGAAAATGTTACTAATAGTCACAGTCATGGTCATTAAAAAGAAATTAATAAAAAGGTTATACTGTAAATATTAAGTAACATGATCACTTAGAGACTGCCTCAATCTATGAGACCCATGCTAGCAGGCTGGATCTTTAGTGTTACATGAGGATTACACAGAAGGTGGGTTCACAGGTTTCTAGGTCTTACAGATTTTTTTTTTTTTAAGAGTTCCTCTGTATGGAGAGGAATATTATTCTAGTCTCCCATTAAGATGTCAGATGTCAATTGCCTAGCAGCTCACTAAGAACAAACTCAAGCTCTCGGAATCTAAAAAGTTAGTAAAAAGGCTGTTTACTAAATTGGAAGAAAGATAATTGAGTACAGCAAATATATTAGGAGTTTCATTGAAATTCTTTTCAAAATTCTTCCAATAACTAAAAAGATTAATAATTACTGAGAAAGGTTCCTGAAGCAGGAACTCAATTTGGTTATCCACAGAACTCACTTCATTGAATTTCTAATTCACATATAATAAACACATAGAAAATAACTGATACTTCAATGCTGTATCAGAAAACACTCTTGCATTTTAAGGTGAGAAGACTGACATACCTAAGAATTATAAAAGAAAGATGATTTCTCTGCTATCCTTTTTAAAAAGAAGACAAAGTTCTATACATGTAAGAGTTTTCATAAAATGTTTTGTCCACTACAACTGTGGTGGGGAGGAGCAGTGGAAGAGTGCGCAGTGACTTTAACCATCTGTGAATCACTCATATCTGTGATACTGTGGAAAATTTTGGTCACTATTGCTCAAAACTGACATATGTAACTGCTACACAAAAGATGAACTATGAAAATGGCTTAAGGGATGGAACAAAGACTAGGCCTAACTGGAATTGGAACACCTCAGTCTATAAAGATGAAGTCCACATGGAGATGTGATTAAAATCTAAGAGAAAAGGAAAATTTCAAAGTTCTCAAAATATAAAAAACACTTCACACCTGAAAGGAAACTTCAGCCGTAGATCACTACGTCATGTCTCCATGCCCTTGTTCACACAGTATCTCCGCCTTCAATTCCTTTCCCATCCCCACTCCTCTCCTGTCAAGTCTTTGAGGACAGCTCAAATGTCCGCTCTTGGGAAGGTTTCCCTAAGCTCTCTCAGCCTCCACACAGCAGCTAACAGAACCAATGGTCCTCTCCTGCATTTTTGAGGAAAAACCCAGAATACATATATTTCCAAGAAAGGCTGTTAAGTTTCCCTTTAATTACCCAAGGACAGCACAACTTACTTCTACTAATTGAGGCAAACACTAAAATATATTCAGATTACTCAGCTATGTTCCAGGCATAATCTGAATCTTTTGAAACACTTAATAGTTTAACCTTTTGAATGGCTTCATTTGGTGATTAAGCAAATAAAAATAACAGAATTGCTGAAATCGAAGGGCAAACTCACACAGAAGAATACAATGTCAGAAAGAAACTTGGAGACCACCTGACCAACTGTTTCATTTTATACACAAAGAAATGGACATTTAATTAAGGGCCCACAATAAGACTAAAACACATATTTTCAGACTTACAGAGTAGCCTGGCTTTCCCTAGACAAAACCCAGACTTACCTCTCAAATCGAGGCGAATCTACAGAGGCCAGAGTGAAAGTCGCATGGCCACTGCCTTATGTGTCACCTCCCCAACAACTGCTAACATCGGGGTCACTGGTAGAAGAGCATCTATGATTACTTTCAGGTCAATGCCTCAGAGGTTGAGAAACAAGTCACTACAAAGCTGTTTCATCAGCATCTTACAGATAGCTTTTCATTAGCGGTGAGAAATGGTTACTGAAGACTATATGTGAACCAGATTGAATACAATAATAGTTCACTTATCCAGGCCATCAATAAAGACAGTATAGGCCAAAAGTTCCTTCACAGATAAGTGAAAGGACCTCTTCATTTGGACTCCCAGGTGTTGGGCATTTCCTATTAACTACTGTTTCTAATCTGCTGTCTTAAGTTATGGGGAAAATATCTGGCAGTTACACTGAAGCCTCTTCTGTTTATTCCTGGACACACAGCTGTGTTCAATAAGGTTGTCTGGCCTCAGTTAAGTGAGCTGTGATACACAGCTTATGGGATGAGTGCTCCTCTTAACCTTGTAGCCCAATCCTCCCTCACTCTGTACATAATTAAAACTCATAATGGTCACTCAACCATGCCTGAGGTGATGGCACTAATGGGTCGTAGAGGCAGAACTAGAACTCAAGTCTCCTGTCAATCAGCTTCTCTCTCCACAATCCCAACCCTCTCCATACCACCAAAAAAACCGCACTAAACCTAAGCCAAACAATATTATCTGAGCTACAGTTTGTCTAAAGCACTTACTGAACACCTACTAAGTGCCAAGTACTGCTGACATCAAAATGAATAACACATAATCCCTGACTTGGAGGAGCTTATCTTCTAGTGGGAAAGATCCATAAAGATACAACTTGAATATAAAATGACAGAGGTTAGAAATGAATATAAAATGATCTATAAATGAATATAAAATGATAGAGGATAGAAAAAGGTTTAGGGTGTTTATGGAAAGGTTCTTGGTACAACCTAGTGATACAGAGGAGGACACATAAAGGTGACAGCCTCTGAAGGCAATGCTGAATAATCTATAAAATTAGCCAGCTGGAGAGACTGGAGAAGCATTCTTGAAAGAGAGGCAAGGGGAAACCATGGGCTAAATTACAGAGGTATGATTTCTGTACCACTTAAATGAGAGAACCCAAGTACATTTCAGCTAAACCCCACTGGCTGAAAAAGGGCTTAACATGATTCTAGCAACCAAATATGTCTTCAGACATAGCCAAATGTACCCAGGAAGGAAAGGGACAAAATCATCCCTTGTTGAGAAGTACTATTCTAGTCTTAAGAATAAAGACCATGTTCAGCCAGGCGTGGTGGCTGACGCCTGTAATCCCAGCACTTTGGGAGGCTGAGGTGGGCAAATCACGGGGTCAGGCATTCGAGACCAGCAACCACGGGGTCAGGCATTTGAGACCAGCCTGGCCAACATGGTGAAACCCTGTCTCTACTAAAAATACAAAAATTAGTTCGGCATGGTGGTGCACACCTGTAATCCTAGCTACTCAGGAAGGTGAGGCAGGAGAATCACTTGAACCTAGGAGGCAGAGACTGCAGTGAGCCAAGATTATGCCAATGCACTCCAGTATGAGTGACAGAGCAAGACTGTCTCCAAAAAAAAAAAAAAAAACCATTTGTATGTATGTTTTCACTGAAAAAAGATTTGCATGTGTAAAAATTTTTTGACAAGGTTCTATTAATATTCTTAATATGACAATATATTTTTAACATGTTTTAAGGTTTAAAGCATAAATTAAGCCAACACACATTTTTTTAAGTTACTGTAAGCCATACACAATGCTATAGACATGTGGGGGCTAAAAAATGAGTAGTACAAGATAGAATCCCTACACTCGAGGATGTCATTTAAAGGGAGAAAAAGATTTGGGTGAAACCATTAGATAATCACATACATTATATAATGCAGGCTTAATTGGTAACTGAACTATTTGATAATATATTTTATATCTCAACAATTTGCTATGTAAGATAACTAAGCACTACGTCATCACTTTAAAATCTCCCAAGACACTGACTGGCAATACTTTACTTGGCCAAAGATCAAAACATTCTGAAACTTCTTGATTGGCAGACAAAAGACAAGGGATGCTAAAATGATACTTCTAATTTCTGTGCAAAGTAGTAAGCAGGCTGGGCGCAGTGGCTCACACCTGTAATCCCAGCACTTTGGGAAGCCGAGGCGGGAGGATCACCTGAGCTCAGGAGTTCAAGACCAGCCTGGCCAACATGGTGAAACCTCGTCTCTAGTAAAAATACAAAATTAGCCAGGCATGGTGGCACATGCCTGTAATCCCAGCTAATCAGGAGGCTGAGGCAGGAGAATCGCTTGAATCCACTAGACGGAAGTTGCAAGGAGCCGAGATAGCGCCACTACATTCCAGCCTGGGCCACAGAGCAAGACTGTCTCAAAAAAAAAAAAAAAAAAAAAAAAAAAGCACACTACTCAAAATCTCTTTTTTAGCAAATATCAGTAGAGCAGTGGAAAGACATACTCCAGTAATCTATATTTCTTCATATACGCAATTAGTTAATGAATGTTCCTGAGCAACAACTATGAGCAAAGTCATCATGCCAGGTGATGTCAGGTACAGAATAAGGGAGATCCAGTCTCCAACTGGAGTCCAAAGTTGCAACAGAACAAGAAAGAGGAGGAAAATTAATTTAATCTTTTATGTAACTGAAAACAAAGGTATTCATCGTTCCTTTCCCAAACAAATCCTTCCTACTTTTCCATGATCACAAAAGCAATATTAAGTTATTTACATACCATTTCTGTTTTTACTTTCTATACTCAGCAATAACAAGTTTGGCCAATCATTTCACATATACCTTAAAAGACTTAAACTATACTCCCTGTATCACAAGCCACTTCCATGTAAATTGCTAGGCCAGCTTCCCTTAAACATAACTGATGTTAGTCTTTCCCCTCCCTTGACAATAAATCTGCCTTCCTCTTTCATCCATCTCCTGGCTTAACATTCATTTTGAACCCTTTATCTCACTAGCTTCTTTTCTCTCTTGAAGGTATCCTATCAATTTCTAATCCAGCATACATATCATACCCATCTTATTCCATCTCCCTGTACAAACCATGTCTCTTCCTTCTCTTATCCTACAGCTTCTTCAAAGCCTGGCTCCAAAACATGCCTGTTCAGGAAGTTGCAGATTGACTCCAATGGCTGGTGATCTCCTATCTAAATGTGCTCAGGTTACATAGCATTAATATATCTTCAATTTGTTGCCTTTAGGAACAATTTCAAGATTTCCTCCAAATCCTCCAGTATGGTGTTTTGCCCAGAAATGTCACTTTAATAAGCAAAAGGAACTCATATTTCAAACTGTAACCAACAAAAACTACATAGCAACACATGAAGAGGTAAAAGATATCAGAATACCACACAAAGCAGTAAAAAAGTAATATTTTAATAGGCTCTATCTATCATTTGCAGCTAGTGGAACAACAAATAGTTATAACTGTACTAGAGAACTGTTTGGCAATATTAAAAGATTATAGTTAAACAGTCTGAAAATATACAGCCAATAAGTTATCAATCGGTTATGAGATCATTTATTTGTTCTTTTGGCTTTTATATACTTTCAAACATTTCCTCCTATATTAAATCTCTACATGTGCAATAAAAAGCATAATTTGTATATGTTCTTAAAAGTAGATTGATATAATGACCAAGAACAGACAGAAGGTGAGGAAAGGCATTTCAGATACTGATGTCTTGTCCAGAGAACAGTAAGAGAAATAATATCTTAAAAATATATTGAATAAATACTTTATAATGATTCTAGTGCTGTATGGTTACCCCCAAGTTGACACCAATACTGAGTATCATGAACTCTCATGGAATCCTTAAACTAGGCACATTAATGCCATCCAAAAACCATCAGTGTGTAGCACACGTTAAGTACACGGGATTTATTGAACTGAGTGAACCACCACTAAACCACCTAAGTCTTTGTCATAGCTCTTGTTTTTTTCAGTTCTTGTCTATCACACAACATTTCTCAGATAAACTTAATCCAAAGCTTCTCTTTTTGCAGAAACACAAGTGTCATAAATGTACACTTATTTCAGCTTTCAAACCAATGATCTTCTTAGGCTCCCCCAAAGCCTTGAAACCATGTGTTTATAGACAAGTCAGATGTTTACTTGCAGCTTAGAGATCAAAGCTGCAATCTCTTACAAGTCAACTAAGAAACACCAAAGTTTCCCAATTTTAAGCATGCTCTATTAATTTCATGTTATGAAACTGGCTAGAATTTTAAAACAGAGTAAAAGCATTCAAAATTCTTAAGTGTCTAATATAGACTACTCTGTGTTAATTATTCTAAATAACCAAGGATAGTCATAAAGCTAACACAATGCTAGAAAATTCAAAGATGCTTTCAAAATCCTTTCTATAACTTTAACTTCCACAATATACTCCAATAATTTCTAAAATCTACATAGTAGACATTTTCTTCTCCTTTCACATGACTATCATTCTAATATCTCTAATATGCCAGTTTTTAAAGCCTGTGGTATAGATGACAGAGAAATGGTGTGGTTAATATTAAGTAATATGTACATGGTTACGAAATGTTTAGTAAAAGCTGTTGAAAATAACTAAAATACGTAAGCAAAAGACAGCTAATGACCTGGTTTTAAGATAACTTAATGGTGAAATAAAAAAATGGTGGAGAAAAAAGATTTCCTAAAAACCCCAAAAATAAAAATAATATCACAGAGGCTCTGCCTGTGTAGAAGCCATCCTCAGGGGTGGAGATTCAATGCTGAAACAGATTCTGCCTGTACTTCTTGTTCAATAAGTTGGTCATATTATTTCATCTTTGAACTTCTTTTCCTCATCTGTAAATAGGGATAATGCGCACCTGCCTTAAGCATAAAAGGTGCTCAATGTTAGTTCATTTCCACCAGAGTCTGGATTTATTTCAGCAATTAAATTTAATGATTTCAAAAGGTAGAAAAGACTAGAAAGATCATCTTATTAGCCCTCAAACTCCCGCATGTACATGTAGAAATTTACTATAATATGTTTATCTCTTCATAGTATCAGAATAGAGACTAGAATTTACATCTAAAGATGACTACTGGAGTGTTCTGGCATACTACACTATAAATCCTCATGTGGCTATAATGAGGATTACATTAAAAAATGCAGCTAAAGCACAAAGCGCAGAGCTGGTTAAATAAACATTCAAATACATTTTAGTATATAACAGTGGTTACGTGGACTTTGGTGCCAGATTAACAGAGCTAGAATCCTAAGTGTGCCACTTATTAGTTCTACGATTTTGGCTGAACTGTACCCTAGCTTTCTCAAAAATAAAATAGAGATAACAGAGTTACTGTGAAGACTCACTGAGTTACTCCAGATAAAGGAATTAAAGCAGTGCCTAGCACAAAATAAAGACTCTCTAAATGCTAATCATTATTGTTATTATTGATAGATTTCAGAACAAATCATGCCCTTGAAATTCCCCTGAATATAGTAAAAGCCAGACACAGTATTTTAATTCCATTTAGCAACATTTGAGCACAAATTATTAGTTGTCGTGCTGGAAGAGGAATTAGAGATATGGACCCAAGAATGAAAGTTCCAGAAGCAAGGCAAGCACAGAATCTCAATTCTCCACCAGAATGGAAGTACCTTGTTTAATCAAAACTAAGATCCCATGAATTGTAAGAAGTACCCTAATTTCAGAGGTTAAAATGTAAAAAATAGACATATTAGAGTTGAGGAAATGCTATAGGAATAAAAATGAGTAAAGTAATGCTACAGAAGTTGGGATAAGGGAGGGGTTCAAATGTTATTAGTACGAGCTACAGGAAAAAGATGGTGACACATTTGAGTTAGATCTGAGAGCCTTAAACGATAAAGTAAAAATGAGGGGTGTGTAAGACCTTCTCAGGGTAAGTAGCTGAAGTAGTAAAGAGCATTTACAATGCTACCAATGCATGCATGAATATACAACATGTAAAAGAGGTGCATCTCTTCAGTACATCCAATTGGTGGTGTCTCACAGGCAGGAGAGAGGAGTGAGGAGGAGAGATGGCAGATGCAGATGAGGCTAGAGGCCGGGTGTGGTGGCTCACGCCTGTAACCCTCGCACTTTGGGAGGTCTAGGTGTGAGGATTGCTTGGGGCCAAGAGTTCAAGACTAACCTAGCCAACATAGTGAGACCCTGTCTCTATTTGTCTTTTATTAATTAAAAAAGAGGGAGGGAGAGATGAGGCTAGAAAGGTGATATGGGGCCAGGCTATGGACCTTAATCTGTAGGTCATCGTTCTATGACTTGTCCAAGTACATTACTTATATGTAATTTAACTAACTTAACTAACTAAACTGATTCCTTGACATTCTGACTTAACTAACTTGACCTAACTGAATTTTGATCAAATGATCTATCTTTACTATCTGGGTCAAAGAAGAGGGCTTCTCTTTTAGTCTCTCTGGCAGACAGCAGCTTCATAGCCACTTTTGTCCTGAAAGACTTCAAGACAGTCAGGAATCAAAACACTGCAAATACTGGAAAGTCCAATGAGCAAAATGAGTGAGCAAAGGAGTAAGGAAAGTAGAAATATATATAAGGCATCTTGGATCTGAGAATGGGAATAGTGAATTTATGAAGTATTATTAATCCTGTCCATAAGATGAAAACTTGTGAAGCTCACTATGTTCTGATTTTGAACAGTTCAAACTAATAGGTTATAAAATACAGTCAACATTTTACATTTACTGCCTCACAAATAACCTAATTCTTTGTCCTAATAACGTCTTTTACCTTCAATTTTTTTCTCAGTTCAATATTTATAATTTATAGAACTTAAGTTTTCAAGTATTAGAGACCTAGATGATACAATTATTATAGGTTTCTTATCAAATTGGTTACATTTAACATTAAAAATGGACACTTCTTTCCACAGTGTCTTTCCACATTTGATAGCAACTTCTATGGGGCAGGAGCAGAGGCAGGTCATACATATCAGTGGTATTTCTGATATACCAGAATTCCTTCATGAACTCTTTAAAGAAATTATTCACATTGTACCTCTCTTTATCCCTACAAAGAAATACTTGCTTGGCCACTCAAAACACAATTGGTGAGATTCTAACCAATTACTGGAGAACACCAAAAACACTGAGCTGAACTCCAATCATTAGGCAGAGCACTTCTATTCTTAGGAAAAGGAAGGGTTTGGTTCAGTTGGCAACAGTCCTGGCCTCTGGATCAAGAGGTCACAGTCTCACATTTCACATATGAACTCCGGTTTACAACTCTTGCTAATACTCCTGCAGAATAATTCAAGAGGCATTAAATGACAGCCTTACCAAAAACCAAGTATCCAGTAAAACTTCAAACCCAGAAATACAATATAGAAACAAATTTGACATACTAATCCCTCTTTTAAACAAAAGACTCTGTGCTCAGAAATAGCTGAGAGGGAGGGAAGGAGAAGGAGAGAGAGAGACAGAATAAGTGTGTGTGAGCATGAGTGTGTGAGCATGAGTGTGTGTATGTGTGTGTGTGTGTGTGTGTGTTTTGGCCAAAGGTAGGATAAATGAATTATATTGCATAACTACATCGACACGTTTTTAAACAGTAACCTATTCCAAAAAGGGTAAGGCAACATTCGCAAAATTAAAAGTAAGCTTCTGGTCTCTAAATATTTCTATTAAATAATTTAACTTCATGCTAGGCTGGTGGGCTAAAAATACAGAAAAAATTCTTGCAGAAATGAGATGCCATATCAAGTGATTTCATGTGAACAATCTACAAGCACACAACTCAGACAGGGTGGCACCAAGTGATTAACAGCCCTTTACAAAAATAGATAAATAATGTTGCAATACATGAGCTCTCATTTGAAATACTAGGCTGAATTCCTGAAAGCAGAAGCTTATTCTGCTCTTTAAAAATATGCATCCTAGAAAAATCAATAAGCCACATTACAAATTCATACAACAGGTGACTTACTTTAAATAGCAGAGGTTCTAAAATGGCATAAGGTAACTTTCTTTACATAAATTTTTTTCTCCAATTTAAATAATACAATTGAATATGTACTTTACTCCTATGGGAATAATTTGGCCCTAAGATCATGACAAGAACTATATAACCTGAACTAATTCTGTACATAGTTGAGAAAATATTACTGGGATTTCTCTATGTATATAGGCATAAATAATCATTTCTACAATGTCAAGAATTTTCACTTTTCATTAAACATTGGTTTCTCTGGTAATCACTACTTTCAGTGCTCAATCAGCTATGCTTATGGACTCTTGATCACAGGTCTGGAGCCAGAAAGCACCCTGGAGGTCATCCTGTCTCTTCTCAGGCTGGACTGCCAATGCTGGGATGCCCTCTACAAATATCTGTCAGCCTCTACATTTGCTTAGTTTTCTTTACACGTCTTTATGATGAAGGCCACTTTATCTTAATCAGGTACTATGAAAGAAATCATTCCTATTGCTTATCATTCCCAGAAGTGGGAAATTCCAAGCAGGACAGTTCCATTAAGGAGGTTATGACAAATGACTGTCAATTTGAATTTGCTACTGTTTTCACAGTTATCATACAAAAACTGAGCAACACAAGCATAAATGAAATCTTTATCAACTTCTAAGTCAATATGTAAGTACTAACAAGTAACCTGTTCGATTAAAACACTGGTTTTCAGATAAAACAAGATGGCTATGTAGCCTTCCTTTCATGCCTACACTATGTGTTCTGCTGTTAGCAATAGTCAGGTAATAAAGGGGAACATATATATGGCCCTTTACAGTTTATGTAGTAGTAGTATCACACATTATCGCACATACATAAAATAATCAAGGAAACTTGAGGGTTGGGGCAGATATGGGGGGTGTGCTGGCTAATGTTGGTGAACATTTCCACATCTGTACAATGAGGGTCTACCCATCTCATGGCTTGATGGATGTATTTGATGATATGAAAAAGTATATGCCAATCATATCTTAAATCTGAAAATTTTCCAGTTCATTCAACAACTATTTGGTAAGTGGATGGATACATCAGAATCATCTGGTGAGCTTCTGCAACAGTACTTAATTCTTCCTTATTGATGCCACTTCTTTTAAGGAACATAGCAAGTGCCCCAGTTTAATTCAACAAGTATTTACTGATCACCAAATGAATAAGTATGCCATATGAGATACTACAGAAAACGCAATATAGTCTATATTTCTCTTAACCTATGCCAAAACTTGTTGAAGGGCAAAAACAAAAAAACAAAAAAAACCTTTTAATGGTTGCAGAGAGGCAGCCATAGGGTCACAGAAACTGCTCCTGCTTTGGAGTGACACATACCTGGACGGGTGAACCTGTTTAAGTTACTTAATCTCTTCAAAGCAGGCCCCCAATTTATAAAACAGTTAACTATGAAGAGGATTAAAAGAGGTAACACACGTTAAGAGACTACACCTAAGTATTTAAGATACAGTTGCTCTCACTTCAAAGCAGTAATATCAAATGCAGGACATAAAACAAATGTTATATGCTCAAAACGAAGTTCCTATCAATTACTAAAAAAGTTTGAAAATATCTTATTAGCCACAAACGGTTCTTTGAAATTAAATCTAAGTATAAATTATTACCCTACTCATAAAATAAAAAAAAATTCTAAGTTTTACTTGACAATCCAAACAATCTAAAACTAAAACTGATTGTAAAGAATAAATTCTGAAAGCTATGGAAAGTGACACATACAAAACTTCTGAGTTGTACTTGACAATCAAAACAGTCTAAAACTAAAACTGACTGTCAAGAATAGATTCTCAAAGCTATGGAAAGTGTCTGGCTATGCCATGGCTCTGACATCAATGAATAGCTCTTCCCTCAGAAGGCTGAAGACGGCCCTTTTTTGGCTCTCAGGAATGGTGACTGCCTCAGTCTTCATGCTAAGAGAAAAGTACAAATCAGAAACAGCTGCAAGTTAAAATCTCAAACTTCTTTAATTTCTTTTCCACAGTTTGACAGATAATAAACAATTTGTGATATGTTAGCATTTTCTCAAACAGGACAAATATTGCTTAAAATTACTTTGCATTCTTACCAAAACTACAACCAAAAACTAATCATCGATCTTTCTCTAGAAAGGTTGGCCCTCTCTTTTTCAGCCCTAAATATCAACTCCCTCTTAATTTCTACCTAAATTCTATAATGTCACTGTTAGAGCTTTTATTCTTCATTTTCCTCCAAAATATCAGTTAAGTAACAGTAAGAAAAATCCTTCTGAAAATACTCCTCCTATTGCCAACATTACTAAATCTTCTGGATTAATGATAACATTTATATATTAAACTTATACTTTATTCTACATGAAAAACACTGCAAATACAATGTTATCACACTAGAAAATATATATAGACTTGAGAATTCACAGGAAATCTATTGAATTTCACAGCATTTTAGAGCTGCAAAAGTTCTTACGAATCACATATTCCAATCCCCGAATTTTACAAATGAGGAAAACAATGCTCCAGAATTCAGTCAGTAAATCAGCTGGCACACCACATTCTCAAATATCTATTGCATACCAGACAAACTATGCTAAGTGCATAAGACACAATGGTGGGTCCAATGGGCCTTACCACATCTAGTGGAGGAGAATAAGCAATCAGGCACCTAAAATTCAAATGAGAGGAAATTTTTTTAACCAAATGCAGAAATACTAAAATTACATGTTGTTATAAAACCATGACAGATAAAGCAAAGTCAACAAAAGGATTCAATACAGAATAAAATCCTATTCTGTCTATTCTTATCCATCTTTCAAATACAACCAAAGACCAAACTTCTCCAAGAATTCCAACACAGAAGTAAGTCTCTCTTTTTTTCCTGAGTTCCTAAGCTACATTACTTAGGGCTTACCACATTGTTTAGCGCCAACTGGATATTTTTTCATACCACTTCTTACCATTGCACCCACCTTGCCTCCTAACCGAGGACAGGGACTGCATTGCTCTCAATCCTTGTCCCATACCTCTGAGCATGGTGCTGAAGCTTTATAAAGACACCAAAACAGGTAAAAATAAGTCAATGCTTCTGAAATGACTGGGAACACGAAAATAGTTCTCAACTTCTTTTTGGTGAGCATTCATATTGTGCTGCATCTCTATGCTAGGCACACAAGACACAATATCAAGTCCAAAGTGAAAACTCATATTCCCAATGCAGTGTAGTTGTGAAAGGCCATGAGGGACTCCCAAGGCAGACTTTGGACAGGAAAAATCTAGGTAGACTCTCTAGAGGAATTAACACCTGAGCTGAATCTTAAGGGAATGTATATTTCATTTAAATCGTTCCGGAAAAGATGGGGGTGAGGCACAAAGGTGAGGCAACAACATCTAAGGACCACTTCCCAAAAGCCACCATTCAGTGAAATAGAAATGTCCTCAATTTCAATTTATGTAACAGAACTAGAAAATTTCTCTCAGTTGTAACTGCCACAGTTAAGAAACTCACTATTTCACCCAATCTTACTGAAACCCAAGAGAACGTAGGGATTAAGATGTCTTTTTTTTTTTGGGAAATGGAATCTCACTCTATTGCCCACGCTGGAGTGAAACAGCACGATCTCAGCTCACTGCAACCTCCACCTCCCAGGTTCAAGTGATTCTCCTGCCTCACCCTCCCAAGTAGCTAGGATTACAGGTGCGCACAACCACGCCCGGCTAATTTTTGTATTTTTAGTAGAGACAGGGTTTCACCATGTTGGCCAGGCTGGTCTCAAACTCCTGACCTCGTGATCCGTCCGCTTTGGCCTCCCAAAGTGCTGGGATTACAGGTGTGAGCCACCACGCCAGGCCTAAGATGTCATTTTTAAAAGGCCTAGTAATCTGGGGGACATCCTTTAATGACACTGTTCTTTCTCTTTTTAGTGTGTGTTGCTATCATGCGTAGTTTTGTTGGCATGGGGGGTACTGAAACAGATTAAGAAATACTTCTCTTTTATAGAATGCCCATATGACTTTTAAATATCCTAGATTATTATATTAAATGTGAACACTTTCAATTTAGAGTAGATTTCAATCCTCAAAACATAATTCCTATCAATTGTTGCTTTCTTGAAATGAAAATCATAGATATTGCTAAAAACTAATTTTCTAGTAGCTATATAAAATTTTCCTTGAAATTGAATTTTTTCCAGAACAATGGAAAAATACAGATTTTTTTTTTTACAGGGACAGAGAATAACATGCAACAACACCCAATTTTTTTTACACTATCAGACTATATATACAGAAAAGCTACTATGCTTTAAAACTTTGACACCAAAAAGTGGAAAGGTTCTAAGATTCACAGGTTAGAAGAGTCCTATTTAGGATAAACCCCTGTTAATATTATCCAGAGCAGATTAAAGCTCATTGATTTTCAGTTCATCATTTGCTGATACCAAATCAAATTTTCCAGCCAAATTCAGATAAGCCAATTTCATCCTTTGATGATAAAAAACACAATTAGGCTATTTTCATTTTCTGTCACCATTTAAAAAAAAAGCTCACAAAACCCTACACAAAAATAAATGATGTTTTCATAGGTAGGCAACAAAGCAATCTACAATCTAAAATCAAATTCCCCTCAAACACAGATTCCAGGTCTACAGGATATAATTCCTTTGACAGACAACCCAACATCTGTTTTTATAAGCGTAAGTAAAACTGCTGGAAAAATCTGCATAAAATCTGCATTTTATGATAAGATGGTTTGATTTTAAGTAACTAAAAGGGAGTAGGGGATGGGGGAATCATTGTATTCTTAAATGCTGAACAATCTCCCGAACACCCAAAAACTAGCTTATATCCTGTAACTGCTTAATAATCTACCAGTTAACAAAGCGGGTTTAGAATGCCTGAAACCCTTGCTCTTTACAAAGTAGGCAACTGATAAACACTGCAGAGGGAAAACTTTGCACAGCAGTAGTTTTGAACTCACTCCACACAGACTGCAGGATGGGGGCTTGAATGACTGTTGGCCTGCAATCACGGACTTGCTCAGCAACTTTGCTATAATAGCTTCAAATTGCAGGCCTGAGGAAATGCTCCATAAATAGCTGCTCTTTTTTCTCGCAAAGCCTCTTCATAGACCCAATACAACTCCACTACCAAAAATGGAGGAGTCACCATGGACTTTTTTTTTTTTTAAGTCAAGAGAACAACTAGGAATATCCTGCTAATCATGTTACTCATTTTGGGAGTATGAATCACAGTGCCGAAATCTGATTCACTGTTTAAAATCAACTTTTGGATAACAAAAAATTACAATGGATTAAATCAGTTTTTATAATCACTCAATTTCATGAAGAGAAAAAAAAAAAACTTGTTTTCATGGGCCTTTAGAGAAAGACATATATGCTTTGCTTTTGAAATTAAATGTCTGAGAATGTGTTAATTACCCTCCAGTGAAGCAGTGCTCCTTAAGTGTTCATTCATAAGAAACCTGGACACGTGTGATGTAATCACAGAAAACATTTCTGGGAAGCAGGAACCACAGGAATATAACAATCATCCTAAAGCCACTGCAAGTATTCGCCTCCTGCATTATTTTATCTATATTTATGTATATAGATACCCACATACACGTACATAACTTGATGACTCAGATAATTTACTAGTCTGTAAATTAACTGAAACATTCAATGAAGAGCAAATAAAGTCTAATCCATCAGTAATAACAATGAACACTTTTCTCAACTTAATTGAACTCAGGGAGGGAGAGAAAGCAACAAAGTAATTAAACGAAACACGGGTACCAGAAAATCCAGGATCCATTTCTGCTAAATTTTCCATTTCAGTTCATGCCTAAACTAATCTACAACAGAATGTGGTAGAAGTGAAATTGTACAATGGCCTCAGGAGGCCTTAAAGCTTCCACCTTCCCCCTTTTGGAATGTTCCCAGCAACACCTAAGGAAGCCTGGACTAAACAGATGAATGGTGAAAACGTGAAAAGAAAGGCCCAGATGAGCTGGCACCAGACATTTGAGTGAGAGACCTTCCTAGACCCTCCAGCCCCAGTATAGCTCCCAGATACAGATGCATGAGTGACTTCAGGCAGTATCAGCAGAAGAACTGCTCAGCTGAGCCCAACTCGAATGACAGAATTATTATTTTAGGCCACTAATTTTTTCCATAGTCAGTTAATGCAGCAAAAGATAACCAATGCACCAAAGAACTTAGTTCCCTATCAGCTGGGCACAGTGGCTCATGCCTATAATTCCAGCACTTTGGGAGGCCAAGGCAGGCGGATCACAGGGTCAGGAGTTTGAGACCAGCCTGGCCAACATGGCGAAACCCTGTCTCTACTAAAATACAAAAATTAGCCAGGCGTGGTGGCACGCGCCTGTAATCCCAGATACTCAGGAGGCTGAGGCAAGAGAATTGCTTGAACTCGGGAGGCGGAGGCTGCAGTGAGCTGAGATAGCACCACAACACGCCAGCCTGGGCGACAGAGCAAGACTCCATCTCGGAAATTTAAAAAAAGAAAAAAAAAAGAACTTAGTTCCCTTCCACCTCTCCAAAAATCAGTTAATTATAAGCTGTGTTGTAAACACTTTTAGAAGATCTTACAAGGTTAATGATATTGAGAAAAGGAACTCCATGACTTTAAAAAAAAAAAAAAAAAGTCAATGACTCTAATAACGTGAAATATTTAGAACTAAATCAACCCACAAGAGCATGTGTGTGCTAATAGTTTCAATAAAACATTTAACCTAAAAAGTCAGATTTAACTTGGCTTTACTGTGATTTCACATGGAGCAGGGAGAGGCAGCAAAGTCTTTTAAGCATTCTATATTTTTCATATATGTTGTCTTTTTCTCAAAAGTTTATGAAAATTCTTCACATACAGCAAAATTGGAAGACTTGTACAGCGAACATTCATATACCCATCACCTAAATTCTACCCATATATGTGATTTTGATAAATTTGTTAACAAGGATATTAAAACATTATATGGCACCCAGTTTAAAACTGAATATCCCACAAACTTTAAGGAGAGAGAGATGTAGTATATTAATTCCATTCACTAAGAGATATTATGCACTAGTTTCTACACTCAGGGTTTTAACATGATACCCTATTCTCTTAGTAACTCTGCTTAGTAGGTATTACCACTTATTTTATAGATAAGAAAACTAAAGTTTAGAGAGTTTATGTGACTTGCCTCAGGTCCTAAGGCAGTAAGAAGCAGAACTGAGGTTTCAACCCAGATCTTGTTAGTTCCATCTTCAGATTATAGAAACATTTACATTAAAGGGCAAAGGAGACAGATGTTTTTACCATTGTCATAGACTAGAAGACTTAATGTAAAGATACCAATTCTCCAAATTTTTCTATAGGTTCATTGCAATCTCAGAATTTCAAGAGGTCCTTTGCGGAACTTTACAAGCCAATTCTTAAATTTATCTGACTACAACAAAGAACAGCCAAGACAAGATAAAAGGACTTCCTCTACTATCAAGACATATTCTAATGTTTTAGTAATTAAGACAGTGCTACTGACACAGCGACAGACAACAAACAGAATACAGTAACAGATCTATGCAACTATTACGGACAGAAGTGCAATCACTAATCAGTGAGGAGTGAACTTTTCAGTAAATCGTCCTAGGAAAACTGGATATCCATCTGAGAAAAAAACTCCTACACTCATATATACATAGTCAATTCTGAGAAGATTAAAGACATATATATGAAACTTTTCGAATATAGAAAAATGAGCCCGGTGCAGTGGCTCATGCCTGTAATCCCAGTACTTTGGGAGGCTGAGGCAGGTGGATCACTTTAGCCCAGAAGTTCGACACCAGCTTGGGCAACATGGTGAAACTCCATCTCTACCAAAAAAACAAACAAAAACAAAATTACCCAGGCACGGTAGCAGTACCCACCTGTAGTCCCAGCTACTTAGGAGGCTGAGGTGAGAGGATCACTTGGGCCTGGGAGATGGAGGTTGCAGTGAGCCGAGATTGTGCCACTGCACTCCAGCCTAGGCGACGGAGACCCTGTTTTAAAAAAAAAAAAAAAGGAAAAATGGCTCCCTGTCCTAGGCACATGGAAGGATTAAAAGCAAGCAGTTATCATACAGGAAAAAGGGGCAAAAATTCAAAAGAACACTGGGCAAAACATTTGAGCAAGTGCTTTAGAAAGTAAAATAAATGACCAAAATGTATATGAAAATATGCTCAGATCCAATGGTGATCAAGCAATGTAAGTTAAAACCACAGTGGTATACTAATATAAACACAGAAGACCAGCAAAAGTACCATGCACTGGACATACCCTGTGACCCAGCAATTCCACTCTTACACAGCCTAGAAAAGTTCTTATGTATGTACACAGAGAAATCCTTGCACAGAAGACATACACATGAATGTTCACTGCAGCATCTTTATATAACACAAATGTTCTTTAATGACAGAATGGATAAACTGTGGTCTAGCTATACAATAGAGCCACACAGCTATGAAAATATACAGCAATAAAAATGAACTATACTAACATTCACGAGTCCCACAAAATTGATCAAAAGATGCAAACTGCAAAAATATTTGCAGATATCACTTCATTTATATAAAATTTTAAAAATTAGAACTATTATAAGAACTGTGGCAAATTAAAAATGACCACCAATTTTTTTACTATTCCTCCCATTGAAAAATGAAGTCTAATTCCTTTGGCTTGAATCCATTCTGGTCTTGGTGATTGGCCTGACCAATACAATGGGATGTCCAAGGTTAGATTTGAAGAAGCTTGAAACTTCTGCCCAAGCCTCTTGAGGCTGCCTCTCTAGGAAATCTCAGCTGCCATTTAAGAAATCCAACTGCCTTCAGACCGCAATGCTAGAAAGGCCATGTACACACACTCTGGTACACAGTTCCAGCTAAGCCCAGCCTTCCAGCCATCCACATCAAAGTGCAAGCAAGACCTATGAGTGAAGCTATCTTTGGATCCAGTCTGCCAGCTGAATGGCACTGAGTGACCTCCATCAATGCTGCATGGAAAAGAATCACCCTGCTGTGCCTTGACTGAATCCCTAATTCACAAATTTGTAAGATACAATAAAATGGTTGTTTTAAGCCGTAAGTTTTAGGGTAGTTTGTTATGCAGTAGTAGGTAACTGAAAGAAATACACATGTAGATGGTAAAACTAAAAAATAATCCAGCCTAGGCAACATAGTGAGACACCATCTCTACAAAAAATTAAAAATTAAAAATTATGGTCAGGCTGTAATCCCAGTACTTTGGGAGGCTAACGTGGGCAGACCACCTGAGGTCAGGAGTTCAAGACCAGCCTGGCCAACATAGTGAAATCCCGAATCTACTAAAAATACAAAATTAGCCAGCATGCACCTTTAATCCCAGCTACTCAGGAGGCTGAGGCAGGAGAATCACTTGAACCAAGGAGGCAGAGGTTGCAGTGAGCTGAGGCTGCGCCACTGCACTCCAACCTGGGCAAAAATAGTGAAACTCCATCTCAAAAAAACACTAGAAAACAAATTAGCTGGCATGGTGGCATGTACCTGCAATCCCAGCTACTCAGGAGGCTGAGGCCAGAGGATCGCTTCAGCCCAGGAGGTCAAGGCTGCAGTGAGCAGTAATCAGGCCACTATACTCCAACCTGGGCAACAGAGTGAGACCCTATCTCTCAAATTTAAAAAAAGGTAAAATAAAAGGCCA
This sequence comes from Homo sapiens, assembly GCF_000001405.40. Classification (NCBI taxonomy): domain Eukaryota; kingdom Metazoa; phylum Chordata; class Mammalia; order Primates; family Hominidae; genus Homo; species Homo sapiens. The sequence goes on along the minus strand of NC_000011.10, from coordinate 102,134,694 downwards.
GAAGTTACCTCTGGATAGAGGGAAAGGGATGTGATCTGTGAGAGGTACGTGGAAGACTTCTAAGGAACTAGCAATATTCTCTTTATTAACCTGGAGAGTGGTTAACCTGGAAGCGTATTTCCATCAAAATCACTATTTAGAATAAGTGTGTTTTATGCATTCTTAAATATATATATATTTAATATATATATTATACATATATAAATAAATATATATAATTTTTCATAGATTAAAAAAAGAGCCATAACATAGCATATTAGGACAAAGTACATACCTCTGAATAATATGCAGAACAATACTGAGATGTAAAAAAAATCCAACTCTCAATCGTATATCTGCACATAATTCCATGTTGTTTATAGCATCCTGATATTTCTAAATCACAGTTAACAGATTAAGTATGATAATAAGGTACTAATCTAGCATCTTGAAATGAGAAAGCAAAAGGTTTCCCTAACAAGTCAATGGCAAATAAAGTGAGAGACCACCACTACCTAAATAGCTGATTTTTCAAACATAAACGTCCATAATGCAAACTCTTTTCAGTTAAAACAGTGTTTTGGACTAAATATCCGTGTCCTCCCAAAAGTCATCGCTGAAGTGCTAATCCCTCAATGTGCTGACATTTGGAGATAGGGTCTTTGGAGTTAATTACGATTAGATCAGGTCATGAGAGTGGCAGGGTCCTCATGATGAAATCAGTTCCCTTACAAAAAAATGACATGACAGTGTGTATTTTCTTACTGTATGTACAAAAAGCGGTCGTGTGAGCATGCAGGGAGATTGACAGCCAACTACAAACCAAGAGAAGAGACCTCAGGATGAAATCTACCATGCCAAAACTATAAGAAATAAATTTCTCTCGTTTGGGCCACTCCGTCTACAGTATTATTTTTTAATGGCTGCCCAAGCTGACTAAGATAACTAGTAACCGTAAATGACCTCCATGTGGCTTCCTACAAAACAGCAGAGTTGAAATCTTAACAGCCTAATATGCTATTGTCATCTAAACTTATTTCTTAATTATAAGCATTTGTGTGAAACTCATAACTTCCTTCCAAAACCATATTAAACTTTGACATTAGATAAACAATTCTAGGCCAGGCGTGGTGGCTTATGCCTGTAATCCCAGCCCTGTGGGAGGCCAAGACAGGCAGATCACTTGGGCCTTGGAGTTTGAAACCAGCCTTGGCAACATGTTGAAACCCCATCTCTACAAAAAATACAAAAATTAGCCGAGCATGGTAGCAACGTGCCTGTAGTCCCAGCTACTCGGGAGGCTGAGGCAGGAGAATTGCTTGAACCCAGGAGGTGGAGGCTGCAGTGAGCTGACATCGCCACTGTACTCCATCCCTGGGGTAGCAGAGTGAGACTCTGTCCCAAAAAAACCCAAAAATTCTGTGTGCCACAAGAGTTTTATTAATAAACTTAAAATCCTAGAGCTTAGTAAGAATTGTCGAGTTTAAAAATCTTTTTAAGTAAAATCCTAGTATTTTTTAAACCAAATTGTTTGTTTGTTTGTTTATTTATTTATTTTTGAGACGGAGTCTCACTCTGTTGCCAGGCTGGAGTGCAGTGGCGCCATCTTGGCTCACTGCAACCTCTAACTCTCTGGTTCAAGTGATTCTCCTGCCTCAGCCTCCAGAGTAGCTGGGATTACAGGCAAGCACCACCACTCCCAGATAATTTTTGTATTTTTAGTAGAGACGGGGTTTCACCATGTTGGCCAGGCTGGTCTCCATCTCCTGACCTCAGGTGATCTCCTGCCTCGGCCTCCCAAAGCGCTGGGATTACAGGCATGAACCACTATGCCGGGCCCCTATGCCAGTAAAAAATAAAAAAAGTAAAAAATTGTAATGTTTTACACATTTTACTATTAATTCAATTTGCAGGGATAATTACTAACTGAAACAAGAGTAACCAATGTGTGTAAACGGTTTATATTCACTTTGCACAATTCTAATAAATTTATTGGTAAACAAATGAACATGAAGCTGAATTTACCAAAAAATGAAATGCAAACAATCCCTTTCAACCAGCATTTTCTGACAAATGGTGTCAAAAAGAAGCAAAAAAGGAAAATCTTAAACAGGTGCCAACATCAAAACAAACCTTTAAAAAATGTATACAGGATACAATTATAGTTAACAATGTTTGTGTAATGCATAGTCCTCACTTTGAAACAATCTGTCTCAAACAGTGAATAAAACCAAGTCATTAAATGGCTTTTCAAGTGTTTTGATATCAGAAGAACTGTTTTTCAAAAAATGAAAAAAATACCCAAAGTCAGAATGCAAAGTAAACTGAGATTAATTAATTAACAGCATCAAGCGAGGACTCTCTTGAGATGCAATGTCATTCAAGGTGGGGAGGGAAAAGACCTTTGGTTTTACCAGAAAACCTTTTGGCAGCTCTGTCTTTGACTCCTCCAATGTCCACACAATCACTAGCTGAAAATGCTAACTCCCTTAAGCGTGACTTGAGTAGTATCTGACCCATGCTACTACCTCATGACTTTTCTCTCAGCCTTCCAGAGTTGTCTGCTCACCGGTATCACTCTTTTTTTTTATTTTTTTTGACACAGGGTCTCGCTCTGTTGCCCAGGCTGGGATGCAGTGGTGAGATCTCAGCTCACTGCAACCTCCACCTCCTAAATTCAAGCGATTCTCCTGCCTCAGCCTCCCGAGTAGCTGGGACAACAGGCGCACACCACTGTGCCCAGCTAATTTTTCTATTTTTAGTAGAGACAGGGTTTCATCATGTTGGCCAGGCTTGGTATCACTTTTACAACAGAATTTCTTACTCATTTAATCCTAAAGAAATCAGATATTCACTGCCCATGGAACAAAATTTATAATACCACAAAGTGAACTACTGTCACTTTATATCCAGAAGACAAACAATACCCTTTTTTAATAGTTCCTGTTAAAGCTTAAAAATAATCTCAAACTCATAAAATTAACTTTAGAATACACATAGTAAATACTCTAGTTCGCATATGTAATTTATCAGCCATTGTGGGATACTTTCAAGAGTGAAAAGGGCAATCATAATTATGCAGAAACTACAGTCATCAATCAGGAAGACTGTCGACCAATGGACTCTGAAATAAATGAGCACTCTATAGCATGTCATCTGCCAATAAATGTATCAAGAGCTACACACATAATGCTGAACAAAGACAGCAAGATCTCTCTTTATTGAACTCATAGCCTCAATCGTGAGGGACAGTTACCAATGAAAAGGCAAACAAGACACATGACTTACAATGAAGTTTTGAGACCTATCCAGTCCATCAAGACTGGCATGTTATTAATTTTGTCCCTATTACACAGAGTGGGATCCAGAACAACGCCTGCTACATAAAACCACTACATAGGTGTTTATAAAATCAAGAGATCAAAAGCACTTATAGTGAGTTCACAGAAAAGAATGGCAGGAAGAGCAACATCGACAATGGCCTACTAAAGACTAAGCATTGGCTACTCTTTTGGGCTACAGTTTTAGAAACTATAACTACATCAAAGCAAGTAACCAAACACTTTATCCCGAACCATGTGGGTCTTTTTTGAGAAAACCACCCAGTATTTGAGGGAAGAGAGAGAACTGGCTTATTGATAAGCTGTGCAAATTCTTATCTGCAGTATGATGGGCACCAACTCAAAGAAGACAGACAGGTACAAAGAGGGCATGGTTTATCCTCAAACACAGAGGACAATGACACTTACATATCATTGCAAAGAAACAGTGACTATTTTCTCACCCATAAGAAGAGATCTGTACTAGTCCTAACAGGAAAGCCTGCATACCCTCCAGCTGGGAGGGGTTAAAAGTGAACCCATCCAAACTACATGATTTTGGAAACATAACCTGTATCAGTCTGAACATGTGTAGAGGAAAAATAGAAACATCTGTATTTGGACAACTCTTTACCAGTTTTTTTAAATCTTAAAAAAAAAAAAAAAAAAAAAAAAGAGTAGTTATCCAGGAGAGGTCAGGTGTGGTGGCTCATGCCTGTAATCCCAGCATTTTGGGAGGCTGAAGTGAGCAGATTGCTTGAGTCCAGGAGTTTGATTCCAGCCTGGGCAACACGGCAAGACTCCATCTCTACTAAAGACACAAAAATTAGCCAGGTGTGGTGGCACATTCTTGTAGTCCCAGCTATTCAGGAGGCTGAGGTGGAGAATCACCTAAGTCCAGAGGATTGAGGCTACAGTGAGCCAAGATCATACTATTGCACTCCAGCCTGGGCAACTGGAATGAGAGCCTGTCAATCAATCAATCAATCAATCAATCATTATCCGGGAGAGCTTGGGAAATTTTAACTGTGACCTTAACACTGGTAAGAATTGGTTCCAGGCAGGGTCTCAGGAATCTCCATTTATTTAGCTCATTTCTAAACTTAGCACTTGGCTATTCTGACACACTTCCTTATTTTACACGAACTAAGGTGTACCAATTCTGTTCCACTCTTCCTCACACCATTCAATATTTTTGACTCAGAAAAATATTGAATTTTTTTTCTGAGTCAATATTTATGACTCAGAAAACCCTCTTCTCTGACTGCTATATGGTGCTCTGGTCTGGTTTTGCTTGTATGCAGTTTTAAAAGGTTTCTGGCCAGGCACAGTGGCTCACGCCTATAATCCCAGCACTTTGGGAAGCTGAGGCAGGTGGATTACTTGAGGTCAGTAGTTCAAAACCCCATCTCTACAAAAATTAGCCAGGTGTGGTGGTGCATGCCTGTAATCCCAGCTGCTGGGGAGGCTGAGGCAGGAGAATCACTTGAACCCAGGAGGCGGAGGCGGAGGTTGCAGTGAGCTGAGATAGTGCCACTGCATCACTCCAGCCTGGGTGACAGAGCAAGACCCCATTTCGAAAAAAAAAAAAAAAAAAAAAGTTTTGCTTCCTTTTCACCCAACAGATTTTCCTATGTAATCACTTTTTACCTAAACAAGGACAAGACTACTGAAAAATGGAACCTGGAGAAATTCAACTTGAGATAAAAAACAATAAAGGGTCCTAACACATCTCAGCCATCATCTATGGGTAAATTTTTTTTTTTTTTTTTTTTTTGGAGACAGAGTCTCGCTCTGTTGCCCAGCCTGGAATGCAATGGCGCAATCTTGGCTCACGGCAACCTCTGCTTCCTGGGTTCAAGAGATTCTCGTGCCTCAGCCTCCCGAGCAGCTGGGATTACAGGCACCCACCATCATGCACAGCTAATTTTTGTGTTTTTGTAGAGATGGGGTTTCACGATGTTGGTCAGGCTAGTCTTGAACTCCTGACCTCGTGATCCACCCACCTCAGCCTCCCAAAGTGCTGGGATTACAGGCGAGAGCCACTGCACCTGGCCCAGATGAATGTATTTTAACCTAAACCCAGTCTTCATGAAATTCTAACTCATTCTCTAAAAATGCTTACCTGACCATATGATAGTATATAGAAAAAAAAATTATTCTATGACATCAACAATGGTCTATTAGGGACTGAACACAGGCTACTTTTTTGAGTTCTCTATTAAATGAGCACCACCTGCCAGGGAGAAACTGAGATAAAACTCAGTTAAACACATCTCAGGGTTAACTTATGCAGTATACTGCATATTTACAATTACTGATCAATTTAGATATAAACATTTTTCCTACCACCATCTATACTGATGAGAGAAAGAAAGAGACAGTGTCAGGAGACTGGGGAGGGGACACAGGGTTTGGGGATAGGGAAGCGAGAGGGAGGGAGGGAGGTAAAAAAGGAAGAGAGGGAGAGACAAAGGAAGAGAGAGAGAGGCCAATAATTATATAAGGCTGTTTTACTTTAAAGCCCTAATTTTTAAAGCTGTTCATATTAACTAGATGAAGAACTTGGAAATGGCAAACGAACAGATAGGACTACCTCCCTTATCATACATAAGAATAGAAATTATATCTCCAGGCTCTCTGACCAGAATCCAAACCTTCTGAACAAAATTCTTAGACTGTCCATTCAATGCTAACCACTCTCGTGTCACAGCTGTAATTCTCCCTTTAAGAAAATCTAACATGCAAAAAGGTAAGCTAGCAAAACTGATACTGATAAGGACAAATATAAATGAAGTAAGCATTTGCTTGTTAAAAGCACTTAAGGATTGTATTAGTTCATTTTCACAACGCTGATAAAGATATACCTGAGACTGGGAAGAAAAAGAGGTTTAATTGGACTTAAACAGTTCCACATGGCTGGGGAGGCCTCAGGATCATGGTGGAAGGTGAGAGGCACTTCTTACATGGCAGTGGCAAGAGAGAAATGAGGAAGAAGCAAAAGCGGAAACCCCTGATAAACCCATCAGATCTCGTGAGACTTATTCATTATCATGAGAATAGCACGGGAAAGACTAGACCCCATAATTCAATTACCCCCCGCCGAGTCCCTCCCACAACACGTGGGAATTCTGGGAGATACAGCTCAAGTTGAGATTTCAGTGGGGACACAGCCAAATCATATCATGCTGCCGTTGGCCCCTCCAAATCTCATGTCCTCATATTTCAAAACCAATCATGCCTTCCCAACAGTTCCCCCAAAGTCTTACTCATTTCAGCATTAACCCAAAAGTCCACAGTCCAAAGTCTCATCAGAGACAAGGCAAATCCCTTCCACCTATGGGCCTGTAAAACTAAAAGCAAGCTAGTTACTTCCTAGATACAATGCGGGTACAGGTACTGGGTAAATACAGCCATTCTGAATGGAAGAAATTGGCCAAAACAAAGGGGTTACAGGGCCCATGCGAGTCCGAAATCCAGTGGGACAGTCACATTTTAAAGCTCCAAAATGATCTCCTGTGACTCCAGGTCTCACTGATACAAGAGATGGATTCCCATGGTCTTGGGCAGCTCCGCCCCTGTGGTTTTACAGGGTACAGCCTCCCTTCTGGCTGCTCTCACAGGCTGGCACTGAGTGCCTGCAGCTTTTCCAGGAGCACGATGCAAGGTGTCAGTGGATCTACCATTCTGGGGTCTGGAGGATGGTGGCTCTCTTCTCACAGCTCCACTAGGCAGTGCCCCAGTGGGGACTCTGTGTGGGGGCTCCAACCCCACAGTTCCCTTCTGCACTGCCCTAGCAGAGGTTCTCCATCAGGGCCCCGCCCCTGCAGCAAACTTTTGCCCACACATCCAGGCATTTCCATGCATCTGAAATCTAGGCAGAGGTTCCCAAACCTGAATTCTTGACTTCTGTGCAACTGCACTCTCAACACCAAGTGGAAGCTGCCAAGGCTTGGGGCTTCCAACCTCTGAAGCCACAGCCTGAGCCATACGTTGGCCCCTTTCAGCCACAGCTGGAGTGGCTGAGACACAGGGCACCAAGTCCCTAGACTGCACACAGCACAGGGACCCTGGGCCCAGCCTACAAAACCATATCCTCCTGGGCCTCCAGGCCTGTGATGGGAGGGGCTGACGTGAAAGTCTCTGACATGGCCTGGAGACATCTTCCCCTTGGTCTTGGGGATTAACATTAGGCTCCTTGCTACTTATGCAAATTTCTGCAACTGGCTTGAATTTCTCCTCAAAAAATGGGTTTTTATTTTCTACTGCATTGTCAGGCTGCAAATTTTCTGAACTTTTATGCTCTGCTTCCTTTATAAAACTAAATGCTTTTAACAGCACCCAAGTCACCTTTTGAATGCTTTGCTGCTTAGAAATTTCTTTGGCCAGATACCTAAATCATCTCTTTCAAGTTCAAAGTTCCACAAATCTCTAGGGCAAGGGCAAACTGCCACCAGTCCCTTTGCTAAAACGTAACAAGAGTCACCTCTGGTCCAGTTCCCAAGAAGTTCCTCATTTCCATCTGAGACCACCTCAGCCTGGACTGTTCACATCACTATCGGCATTTTTGTCAAAGCCATTCAAGAAGTCTCTAGGAAGTTCCAAACTTTCCCACATTTTCTTGTCTTCTTCTGAGTCTTCCAAACTGTTCCAACCTCTGTTACCCAGTTCCAAAGTCACTTCCAAATTTTTGGGTATTTTTCAGCAACGCCCCACTTTACTGGTACCAATGTACTGTATTAGTTCATTTTCATGCTACTGATAAAGACATACCCAAGACTGGGAAGAAAAAGCGGTTTAATTGGACTTACAACTCCACATGGCTAAGGAGGCCTCAGAATCATGGCGGGAGGTGAGAGGCACTTCTTACATGGCGGGGGCAAGAGAGAAATGAGGAAGAAGCAAAAGCGGAAACCCCTGATAAACCCATTAGATCTCATGAGACTTATTCACTATCACGAGAATAGCACGGGAAAGAAAGGCCCCTGTGATTCAATTACCTCCCACTGGGTTTGTCCCACAACATGTAGGAATTCTGGGAGATAAAATTCACATTGAGATTTCAGTGGGAACACAGCCAAACCATATCAAGGATTCAGTAAAAAGTGATTTTGTAAGGTTTAAACCAAATCATAAAAAATTGCTAATAGTCACTGTTTTGGGCTTAGAAAATTGGCAACTTCCTATAGTCAACCTGTAATTATAAACTGGATTCACAAAAATTCAGCTTACATACAACTTCTTAAAAACCTACTGCATACCTCTCTGCTTGGCCCAAGGAGGAAATCGATTATTCAGATTTCAGAGAAACAGACCTGGAGACTCTGGATTCAAACACATGACATAGCTGAGAGCAGGGATGAGGCCCCACATTGTCAAGCCCAAGAACACTGGTATTCAGTCCTAACTCCCATCACCACTGGTGCTCTCCAGACTGGCAGACTTAGCTAGAGATAGTGGCTGCTAAAAGAGGAAATTACTAAGACAGTGGCATTCAGGGGTCCCTGCAACTTCCGGGCTTGGCTCCTGTTGTATTACTCTCCAATGAAGCCTACCTAGACAATGAAGGCATCAGCACAAAATATAAAAAGAAACAGTATAATATCCTAAGGGAGATATTATATTACTACAACCATAAAATAAGAACAGCATGTTATTAAAAATAATAAACAATGAGCTCAGAAAAGACTCACTGTAAATTAAGAATGATACACAGGCCAGGCGTGATATGGCTGACATCAGTAATCCCAGCACTTTGGGAGGCTGAGGTAGGCGGATCACTTGAGGTTAGGAGTTCAAGACCAGCCTGGGTAACATGGTGAATCCCCATCTCTACTAAAAATATAAAAAAATTAGCCAGGCATGATGACGCATGCCTGTAATCCCAGCTACTCTGGAGGCTGAAGCAGGAGAATCACTTGAACCCAGGAGGCGGAGGCTGCAGTGAGCCAAAATTGTGCCACCGCACTCCAGCCTGGGCAACAGTGCGAAGCTCTGTCTCAAAAAAAAAAAAAAAAGAAAAGAAAAGAAAAAAAAAAGAATGAGAAATAGCTTTTTGGGAAAAAAGAAAATCAGGCCAGGCGCACTGGCTCACACCTGTAATCCCAGCACTTTGGGAGGCCAAGGTGGGTGGATCATTTGAGCCCAGGAGTTCGACACCAGCCTGGGCAACATGGTAAAACCCTGTCTCTACAAAACATACACACACAAAAATTAGCCGGTCCCAGCTACTTGGGGAGGCTAAGGCAGGACGATCACCTGAGGTTCAGAAGTTGAGGCTGCAGTGAGCCCTGAGCGTGCCACTGCATTCCAGCCTGGGCAACAGAGGAAGACCTTGTCTAAAAAAAAAAAAAAATCTGGCTAGGCACGGTGGCTCATCCCTGTAATCCCAGCACTTCTGAAGGTGGACACGGGCAGATCACTTGAGCTCACAAGTTTGAGACCAACCATGGGAAACATGGTGAAACCCATTTCTACCAAAAACACAAATACTTAGCCAGGCATGGTGATACGCAATCTGTGATCCCAGCTACTTAGGACACTGAGGAGGGAGGATCGCTTGAGCTCCAGGGGCAGAGGTTGCAGTAAGCTGAGATGGCGCCACTGCACTCGAACCTGGGCAGCAGAGTGAGACCGCCCCCCTCCCACATCATCTCAGAAACAAAAGAAAACAAAATCAACAGAAAAATTAAAAGTTAAAGTTGAAGGGATCTCCCAGAAAACATAACAAAATGCTAAGTGAAAGAAAATAGTGGGATAAGATAAGAAAATTAAAACAGTTATCCTGACTAGCAAGAATTCCAGAAAAAAAATAACAGATAAAACAGACTGGAAGAAATTACCCGGGAACTAATGAAAGAAATGTTTTCCAGGACTGAAAGATTCCATGCCTGAAAAGACAGTCCTGGAAATTGTACTTTAGGGCAACTGTACTGCAAAATCTTGAGGGGCATCATCCATATTGAAGACCGAGTTTCTTTACATGAACTGATACATGACTAGGCATTGTTGACAATGAATTTTAAAAGAGCATATCAACAGACATCATGAAATTTCAGACCCCCAATATAAAGAACAAAATACTAAAATCCCCAAGGAAAGCAAACACTCAATTAGCAAACTGGAAGCTAGAAGAAAATGGAGTGCCGGGCGCAGCAGCTCATGCCTGTAATCCCAGCACTTTGGGAGGCTGAGGCAGGCAGATCACTTGAGGTCAGGAGTTCGAGACCAACCTGGCCAACATGGTGAAACCCCGCCTCTACTAAAAATACAAAAATTAGCTGGGGCATGGTGGCACACGCCTGTAATCCCGGCTACTCAGGAGGCTAAGGCAGGAGAATCGCTTGAACCCGGGAGCCAGAGATTGCGATGAGCCGAGATCACACCCCTGCACTCCAGCCTGGGTGACAAAGCAAGACTCCATCTCAAAAAAACAAAAAAACAAAAAAAAAAGAAAAAGAAAATGGAGTGGCCGGGCATGGTGGCTCACACCTGTAATCCCAGCACTTTGGGAGGCCAAGGTGGGCGGATCACGAGGTCAGGAGATCGAGACCACGGTGAAACTCCGTCTCTACTAAAAATACAAAAACTTAGCTGGGCGCGGTGGTGGGTGCCTGTAGTCCCAGCTACTCGGGAGGCTGAGGCCAGAGAATGGCATGAACCCAGGAGGTGGAGCTTGCAGTGAGACGAGATCGAGCCACTGCACTCCAACCTGGGTGACAGAGCAAGACTGTGTCTCGAAAAAAAAAAGAAAAAAAAAAAAAGAAAAGAAAACGGAGTAATGCCATCAAAATTTCACGAGAAAATAAGCTTAAATGCTACAACCAAACTGCCCACTAAATGTTAACAGAGAAAGATAGTTTTAGAGACAAGAGATCTCAACACAGCTACCTCCCATGTACCCCTTTCTTCTGCAAATTTCTAGGGGATGAACAAACTCAAAGAGTGAGCAAATAAAGAAAGAGAAAAATTGGGTACCCAACCCATAAGAGTGATTCAGAAACTCCCCAGGATGAAAGCCAAGGCACATCCTAACATGACAACTCTGAAGCAACAAGTCTAGCACAGAGCAGGAAAACAAAAGACTCTAAGGATAGCTCCAAGGTGGGCAAAAAGCAACAGAAATAAAAACAAAAAATCACGGCAAAAACAAAATCACAGTTGGCCAGGCAAGGAAATACAGAATTTTCCAGAAAATCATAGTACATTATATGACTCTGCTGTAGGCACAACATGAATTGTCATAACGTAAAAATATTTAACAAAACAATTATAGTCATTATAATGGGAGGATTAAAGAAAAGGATTTTGAGGGGTGATGAAAATTCAAGAAATAGCAATGTAACACATTTTATAAATATGGAATTTTTAAAAGTACCAGCGGAAAAAACACCTAGAAGGAGTGGAAAGTGCTTGCCTCTGAAGAATGCAAGCTGCAAGCCAGAGATAAAGAAAAGAGGGTCATTGCTCTTTTCTTTGCTTTTTTTTTTTTTTTTTTTTTGAGAGAAGTCTCGCTCTTGTCCCCCAGGCTAGAGTGCAATGCTCGATCTCGATTCACTGCTGCAACCTCCACCTCCCAGGTTCAAACGATTATCCTGCCTCTGCCTCCCAAGTAGCTGGGATTAAGGCGCCTGCCACCACGCCTGCCTAATTTTTCTATTTTTTAGTAGAGATGGGGTTTCACCATGTTGGCCAGGCTGGTCTCAAACTCCTGACCTCAGGTGATCCGCCCGCCTTGGCCTTCCGAAGTGCTGGGATTACAGGCGTGAGCCACCATACCCAGCCTGCTCTTTTTCTTTATAAACCTTACAGTATTAAGGGATTTTCTAAATCAATGCACAGGTTACTTCCCTAAAAATTAAATTTCAAAATATACGTTTACACACAGGCTATGAAAACAAGGTTCTTCAAACACCTCTCACTGGTAGAATCTGGTGCTTCCTTCCGTTTTCTTTCCTTCTTTTTTTTTTTTGAGACAGAGTCTGGCTCTGTTGCCCAGGCTGTAGTGCAGTGGCGTGATGTTGGCTCACTGCAACCTCTGCCTCCTGAGCTCAAACGATTCTCATGCCTCAGCCTCCCAAAAGGAGTAGCTGGGATTACAGGCATGGGCTACCACGCCCATTTTTTTTCCTTCTATTTTTAGTAGAGATCGGTTTTCACTGTTGGCCAGGCTGGTCTTGAACTCCTACCCTCAAGTTATCTGCCTGCCTTAGCCTCCCAAAAGGCTAGGATTACAGGCATGAGCCACTGCGCCAGGCCCCCTTTCTCTTTTCCTGAATTTTCTGATTCTCTCTAATAAATGTTAGTTTTATAACAAAAACCATATGCCTGGCCAGGTGTGGTGGTTCATGCCTAAGGTTCACCTGAGTCCAGGAGTTTGAGACCAGCCTGGGCAACATGGTAAAACCTGGTCTCTACAAAAAATTTAAAAATTAGCCAGGCATGGTGGTGGATGCCTGTAGTCCCAGCTACTCAGGAGGCTCAGGTGGGAGGATCACACAAGCCTGGGATGTAGAAGCTGCTGTGAGCAGTGATCATGCAACTGCACTCCAAGTCTGGGTGACAGAGTTAAGACTGTCTCAAAATAAACCAAACAAATACAAAAAAATAATATACCTTATTAAAAGAAATGCCTAAAATCAGAGGCAGCAGTCCCCCACTTATCCTCAGGGGAAATGATCCAAGCCCCACAGTGGATGCTTGAAACAGCAGATAGTACCCAACCCTATATCCTATATATATACTACAGTCTTTGGATCTGACAACTGAGGTGGCTACTAAGTGACCAATGGGGTGGTGGCATGGGAGGTAGCATAGACAGTATGGATGCATTGACCAAAGAGAGGATTCACATTCCAGACTGGACAGCACAAGATTGCAGGATTGCATCACGCTACTCAGAACACTGCAATTTAAAACTTATGAACTGGTTTTCTGTTTTTAGTTTTTTTTTTTTTTGAGACAAGGTCTCACTCCCATTGCCCAGGCTGGGCTGAAGTGCAGTGGCACAATCACTGCAGCCTCGACTTCCCAGGCTCAGGTGATTCTCCCACTTCAGCCTCCCAAGTAGCTGGGACTACAGGCAGGTGCCACCATGCTCGGCTAATTTTTTTGTATTTTTAATAGAGATGAGATCTTGCTACATTGCCCAGGCTGGTCTTCAACTCCTGGGCTCAAAGGATATGCCCACCTCAGCCTCTCAAAGTGCTGGGATTACAGACGTGAGCTACGACGGCTGGCCATGAATTATTTCTGGAATTCTCCATTTTAATATTTTTACACCACAGTGATGGCAGGTAACTGAAACTTTGGAAAGGAAACTCATGGATGGTGGGGAGGGACTACCGCACATGAAGGAATAAGAGTGAGGGAGGACTGTTTTATAAATATAAAACAAAAGAACCCCCACATCTATTTCCATATACAGGAAAAAAAAATCCACATCTTGCTTCACCTCCTAGGTGGCAGCGTATGTACTTTTTATCCCAAAAGCCTGCTCCTTATTAGTCAGTTCAGGATATACGAGAAGTTGAATTTCAAGCAACTTTCTATACTACATTCCATTTTGTCAAAGCACACAGTAACACTTTAACAAGCACACTATCTTTACTCCAAATCCCAAATCAAATCTGCAGCAATTTTCATGCAAGTATCAACTCTCTAAACATACTTACTGGCCAAATAAATACCTTACTTTAAAAACAAACAGAACTCCTCTCCCTTTAGGTTAAGCAATCAATTGGAAGAAGACAAAGGAAGGAGCTTTTAATAAAATGTCCCCTCACCCACCCCCAACTGAGAATCCTGCTGAAGAACTTGATAGTCGAGTGACTAACATCCCATAAAGAGATAGAGAGACAAATTAAAGTGACAGCACATGAAGTAATGGCACTAACCACAAATAAAGCACTGAAAATATCTGGTAGAAGAAAACCCAAATAATAGATACTGCCATTTGCACTATTTTATTAATTTGCAACATCATTCAAAGAAACAACAGACTATCACTTGGTTGGTGTGTTTAAAAATTATGATTCTTCTCATGCTAGGAGCAAAATGAGGATTAAATACTGACCATTTTCCTTGTCTAGAATATTAAAGGGGAGGTGGGGAGGACTGCTGTGATTTAAACCAAACTTCTTTGTTTGCATTTAGAAGGGGTCAAGCCCTACGTAAATAAAAGTGCTTCCACGGTGGCAGTACTTGTTCCCAGGAAACTTGGTGCTACAGCACTTGAGCAACCAGAACCATGAAGCAATTCTTCTTCATAGAAACGGCAATGTCCCTTTCATGGCTTGTAGTTCTGATTAATCCTAGAATCAGAAGCCCTTTTTGTAAGAAGTGCATCACCTAGTAACCACAGTTATAGAACGACACAGCTCTTTAAGACCTCCCTTTATACAATGCTACTCAGCTATTATTAAAAACTTTCAAGCCACAATTAATGGCTAAATTATGCTATTACAGAGGGTAGCATTAAGTTTGAATAATCTTAAATCTTAGCAACTGATTTTTAAAATGACTTCACTTTGATTGGTCCTAAGCTTAAATTTCTATATATATTTTGGCAATAAAACAGTTTAGAGTTTACCTCCCCTCAAAGCCTTAAGGTACAAGGCAATGCAGAGTCATGATACCCTGAGTATTTTAAGCTGTGAATTCACATTATTTTTCTAACTACAAAGTAAAATATTTCTCTACATAACTAAAGAGGACTTATTTTAGGGTTGTAAAAACCTGGGTTTTTTTTTTTTCCAAGTTTCAACTATTTAAATGCTATCTAGATGTTTGGGTTTTTTTTTAATGGCTAAGATAAAGCTTTAGGAAAGGGTATTTTTTTTTAAATGTGACTTTAAAAAGAAAATTAGCCTACCACCTTGCAGTCAATTGAGTCTGCTACATTTAAACTTCCAGAGATAGTTCTAGAATTCTTTCTAGAACTAAGAATCATAATTTTTAAACACACCAAGTGACAGTCTGTTCTTTGAATGATGCTGCAAATTAATTAAATAATGCAAAGAAGTTCTAGTGAACTTCTTTCTTAGTTCACACTAAAAAAATTCCATTATTTTTCCCAGGGAATATGTTAATCTCTATGTTCTATTTACTCTGTCACATCTACTATCTTCCAACTGTTTTTCTTCTGCCACTGGTGAATACAGTTTCTCCAGGGTTCTCTCCCTAAATCACTGTGGCACTGTGTGCCATTCTTCCCTGGGATGCCCACCCACTGAGCAGAAGTAAGCTCTCCCCCACCCCCCAGAGCTAAGGGCGTACTTTCATCTTCTCTCTCCACTCAGCCTCAATAGCAAGACAAACAAGCAGAGACTGGCCTTCCCTCAAATAGGGAAATACTTCGTGATTGCAATTTGAACTGGTTTTTTGTTTGTGTATACATGTGCACGTGTGCAACTTAACATTTAATGGCAAAATTACAAGCTTTTCAGTTTTAAAGGGAAACTCTGGGTTATACTTGATACAGAAAGAAACAGTATAGCCTTATTCTTCATGAAACTTCCTTTTAAAGAGGCATAATCTTTATTATGAAGATACACTGTATATGTTCTGTATACAATGTATAAATACCAGGTACACTGTATATGATAACAACATACACTGTATATGTTCATAGTCTTTTTTTTTTTTGAGATAGAGTCTGGCTCTGTCGCCCAGGCTGGTGTGGAGTGGTGCAATCTCAACTCACTGCAGCCTCCACCTGCCAGGTTCAAGCAATTCTCCTGCCTCAGTCTCCTGATTAGCTGGGACAATAGGTGTGCGCCAACACACCCGGCTAATTTTTGTATTTTTGTAGAGATGGGGCAGGAGAATCACGCGAACCCAGGAGGCAGAGGTTGCAGTGAGTTGAGATCGTGCCACTGCACTCCAGCCTGGTCAACAGAGCAAGACTCTGTCTCAAAAAAAAAAAAAAAAGGAAAGAAAGAAAAAAGAATCAGCCTATGTATAGCGATCAATCACATCTACAAGGCAAATTAATATAGGAATATGGGTAGTTTTATGCCATGCAATGTCAAAAATCTCTGAAAAACATATCCTTTTTAAATTGTATACCAAGCTACTCAATATAACTTAATCAAATCACAGCCACAAAAAACCTTGAATCTTCGCAGACTAAAAACATTGTGGCCAGTTATTCAGAAAATGATAAACAATGGAAATGAAACAAAACTGTGCTTTAAAAATTATTAGAACATTATTAAAACAATGCAAATGTACAAACTTTTAAAATCACTGATCCAGATTCCTTAAATCAAATTATAAGGTCCTACATGGTACATTATATATAAGAACACATATCTTTGAACATGGTAATAGTTATAAGGCATCAGAGTCAATAAAATAAACTTGCAAGTAAAACACTCCTTGAAACCAGAGATATTATAGAATACTGAGTCAGGAAGTTATTCAGCAGCTTATAAAGAAATAGGAAGTTGTTGACCAACTACTTGAAGAACTATTTCCTGTAGGAAAACCGTAAGACAGCTGAAGAAGGTAATAACTCTCAGAGTCATAAAGAGAATGAATTCTTTTAAAATGAAAGCTCAATACGATGGTAAAGAAAATAGTTTTGAATAGTAAATGTAGTAGAACAAATATTATATGGCTAAGCCTTGTTTACATACTTCACATTCATCCCAGAGCTTGAAAACAAGCCACTGATAAATGTAACTAGCACCATACTTCCACCGTATCACTTGCCAAAGTAAGGTATGAGTCTCCTCCACAAGATCTCACTGACCTAAGGAGGGCTTTAAAACAACGAATGATTGCCTGCTTATAATCTTTCAGTAATCATGCTGCCTGGAAACTAGATGATAGGCCAACTAACTTCAAAAACTCAATCATCTATGGTCACAAGGCCAACAACTGGGTTGTTTCTTAACATTTCTAAGTTTTTTCTCAAATTACATCGTCTTGCCTGTCTGGACCATTTATAGTCAGGTTCTTCATGCCAAATATAAATCTCAATAAGTTATAGACTTTGTAACTTAAAAGTCAGTTCCAACAAATATCTAAAAAGATGCATTAAAATAAAATGTTTCATTGCGGAAACAAGTGTAAGGCAACTAATTTAAATCTTCATTCTACATCTGATGACAACAACACTCCTCTTTAGATACAAGAGGAAAGTATATAAATATTGATTACAAAGACAGCCCTATTTTAAAACATCAAAACTAGGATAAAAATGAACTTTGACAACAGAAACTTGGCACCAAAAGCTTAGTTTATCATCATCTTTGACTAATGGTTAGGATATTAATCTCATTTGTCTGTTCAGTACACAAAAAGAAGTTGTAACAACTATACGGTCCATAACATCATGGAAGTAGCTAACTGGAGAAGGTGAAATAATCTTATTTCATAACTTTTCTCCAAATTGCATAATGTTCATAAAGCAGATACTCTTTAAAATACAAAATTTTATAAGCCCACAGCATTCTTCTCCCACATCCAATGTTTAGGGGCCTCCATAGAATCCCTGACAGATACCAAGTAACCATGATTTTACCTACATTTATTGAGCAAGATTTACCTGTCCAGGAAAACTCTTCTAGTTCTTAAAAGTTTTATATAAGAAAATTCTTCCATGGAATCAAAATTCCTCACATTTCTTATATAGTAAGACTAATCCTACTCCCACATAAAAGTTCCCCAGAAACACTGAAACAACAATCATGTCTTATCTCTCCTCCTCCCAGTTTTTTCTTTTCCGGGTAAATATCTCTCTACCCTTGCAACCTTTTCTCCTATGACATAATTTGAGATTTATTTATTTTAGCCTGGTTTATCTTCCTTACAGGCCCATAGTTGACAGGGGTGAATTGAGGTGACTGGGGTTGGAAGGTATATACCCTTCATTAATCCATCTACATATATCAATACCTTTAAGAGAAACATTTCTTCACAAAGGAAGAATCACTGGAAACTTTGAAAAATGAATAGTCATTCCTTAGCATCTGTGGTCAAGGATTGGTTCCAGGACCTCCTACATGTACTAAAATCCACAGAGGCTCTGGTCTTTCATATAAGGTGGCATAATATTTGCATATAACCTATACATATTCTCCCATATACTTTATATCACCTCTAGATTACTTATAATACTTAATACAACGTAAAGGCTAAATAGTTGTTACATTATTTAGGAAATAATGACAAGGAAAAAAGTTTGTACATTAGTCAATACAGATGTAATTTGTTTCCAAATATTTTCAATCAGAGGTTGGTTGAATCCATGAATGCTGAACCCACAGATACGGAAGGCCAACTGTATCTAGAATACTGATTTCAGCTCAAAAAAAGATCATTCATTCAAAATAATGAAATCGTAGGCAGGTATCACCTACAAGCAATTATTACAAGATACAAAGAACTAAGAAGAAGAGCATAAATGTTGCTCTTTAACCTTATACTTTTAGCCACAGCATCAACCAAAGAAAGAAGGAAAGCAGGCTATTAAGCTGTTTAACAATCTCCCCAGGTCAGCATGTGACCCAGCAGGGAGAGGTTCAAAAAAGTGCAGCCTTTCTTTTTCTTCCTAACAACCTGGTTTGTTTCCACTCCCTTCCCCTTCAAGACACATCCTTCACAGCTAGCAGCTCTTTCAATCATTTACTTTGGATGTCTGCTTGAGAACAAATGATCTTGCTCATGCAGATGAGTTTGCCAGACTTGTGTGTACTTTCCAGTCTCAGGCCCTTTACTGTTCTGGTTGAAACCTGATCCTTTGAAATGGATACCAGGACACCAGAAAATGAATTTTTTTAAAAAAAAAGAAGAAAAGAAAAGAAAAAGTTGCAGGAAAGGGGGCAAAAAAAAACTGTACGAACTTTTCATGATCAAACCTTTTCCTTTGCTCTTCTGTAAGTCTGTCACAAAACTTTCTATCTTACATTACAAAGTAGCAACCCACCCTGGAAGACAATCAATATAAAACACATACTAGGATTCACACAACAAAACATCCTTAATGGTGTTATCTGGTATGATAAATAAATGTTACATTTGCCTTAGGAGTAGACTGTCAAGACCTATCCGAATCAAAACTTACACTGTTTTTCACTTTATTATCTCAACCTGATTAAACACTATTAAGTGAGCTTTTTTAAAGACATCAATTTCAGTCTATCATAATTAGTTTTAGTCAACATTTCAATATATACTTGATCCAAACAAGCCAGAAAAAAATTGAGGTCTTATCTGTAATTTCAAAATCAGAGGAGAGAAAATTCTATTTATGTCTTTTCAGCCTAGTGTAATTCTGCCATTTTATTAAACACAAAAGGACTGAAAAAATAAAAATAAATAAACAACCCAACGGTCATGTTTTTGTTTTCCCAGAGAGGAGGGTTTCTGTTGTGAAGACCTACTAGCTTGAAAGAAGTTTGCCACTGAGCGACTGCATATGAAACCTAAAAATTTTTATTTCCCTTTACATTTTTGGGGGGAAATATTGGTAAGTCACATCAAGCTTCAGTTGTAGTGCTTGTCATTTCACAATTTAAAATACTGTAAAATTAGACTCCCCCAAAAGCCCTACTTATTTTGTAGTTCTCTACCAATAAAATATTTATTTAAAAAGATACAAGTAGCACCATACGTATTTTGTAAGACGCTGCTAGCCCTGTAATTCCCAGAATTTGAAAATTTTCATGGTATTCTTTCTGTTTTGTGCTAGGCTAATTAAAAGGTTTGGCACAAGCTCAAAATGAGAATAACCAAACTTCCACAAAAGAAAAGATTATAAAGAGGCTCAGAACCAAGACTCAGTAAAGCTTTCAAAATATTACCCATACTAACAAAGGTATTTAGGTCATACCAAACTGAAACATATATATGGAAGATAGAGCTACAGAGCTTAACATAAATATTAAATAAAACATAAAAATAAATGATATTCTGTATCTTGACACCACTTTACTGTGTTTTCCAATACATATTTGTCTTAGATAACTGTCTCCCACCATTATTTTCACTTACTTTAAGAAGTATCTCTGACCAGAAGATGTCTTTGCCATCTCCCAACCTGCTGGCAGAGGTACATCATCAGGTATCTCAAAAGAAGACTGTCGAAGATGCTGAGCTGTGGGTGTAGCTGCTGGGCCAGAGACTACTCCAGTGGGGGTCAGTGTCCCAGGAGAAACAGCTCCCAACTGCAGAGAAGCTGGAGAGGAATGAGCTCGAACATGCTGTGGAGTCAGGGCTCCTGCAGTGCCTGCATCAGTACTGGCCTATTAGGGAATATTAAGATGAAAAATTAAAAAAGAAAAAACACAACTGAGTCCCTTTAAATTTCCCAGTCAGCGCTTAATTGCAGCCGAATATCTAAGTACCAAAGGAAAATTTCAACATTTAATATTCGACACTGGAGAACACAGGTTTTCAAATGGATACTTTTAATATTATATAATTTTAATATAAATTTTATAAATGTTTGTAATTGTATTGATGAGCAGTCCATCTAATGAATTTCCCCTGGTCCACACTAGACATGTAAGGGCAACTAGTACTGAATGAATAAAACATTCCAAAAATAATAGTGAATTTTAAAACCTAATTTTTAAGAGGTCAGTGCAGTTATGGGTGCTTTTCCAAGTTCTAAAATGTTCTAAGTATAAACACAACACAAAGAATATGTATTTTTTACTAGGTTTTAAGTAATTAATTTTTTTTCTAGGTCAAACTCAAGAAAAATCAAGCCCTCGTCATTTATTCCAACCATGATAAAATGCCATCAATAAAGAAATCATAACAAATTACACAAATTTTAATGAGAGCAACAAATTTGAACTGCCCAAATGTTCTTAAAAGCCATCTACAATGAACAGGATGAAAAAAACCCAACTATATCTTTGTATGTAGAAGATAAAGATGTTATCAGTCCAATTTTAACTTAAGAACTCACACACATCCACAACTCTATACAAGCAGAAAAAATTCTGCATTCAGACCCCAAAGATCTGAGTTCCAGTCTAAGTTGGCTAGTGTGACACTGAACAAGTATCTTAACTTCCATATGCCTGTTTTCTCCTTTATAAAATAGTTTTCATGATAGAAAAATGGATGTATATGAAAGAACTTACAGTCACCAGTTTGTGTTGTGAACAATAGTATTTACAACCTAGATTTGTACTATTCATAATCTTGCATAGTTTTTAAAATATTTTTAATTAGCATTAGAGTTTGATTATCAAAAAGTTAGAATTTCCTAGATTCACAAAGGTAAGGAAACTGGAAGGACTCAGTAGAGTCATTAATGCCTTAAAGTGATACACCTTTTTGAGTTTCCCATCAGAATAAGTATGATTTAGGAAATCATTAGGAGAAATAAAAGTCGAATTTACAGATGCAAAACACTTAGTTAAAAACTTATTTAAAACAAACAAAACTATAATAGTTTATGAATTTTAGAACTGCTGGATATAAATTCTTGTAAAAATTATTTACTAGAAGAAAAAGTACACTTCCCAGTTGTAATTCTTTGTGGCTGATGCCACAAAATGGGGGATCCAATCTATGTGTATTATACTTTGAAAACATACCGTGCAGTCTGTAGGGTGCATGCCAACATACATTTACCCACAATGAGTCCATAAACCCACTTCGAGGGGTAAGAGAAAAAAGCATACCTAAGACAAATTGAAGTGTTTAGGCAAGCAGCTAAATTGTTTTTCCTTCTTTCCTCCTCCTTAACCCGGGTTTTTGTCATCAGGTTAAGTGATTTTTTCTGAGTTCCAAAACCCTTTGGTCTCCGACAGGAGACTATACAACAGGCCTGCAAATAGGAGAGGGAATGGGAGTGGGGGCGGTAACTCTTCTTTCCACTCAAGTTACATCCCGAGTGGGCTAACTACATTGCAGTATTTGGAAAACCTATTAACTTTTGGGCAAAGTTCCTATGCTGAAGTTTAGCCTGAAGCAAGTTCTCAAAAAAAAAAAAAAAAAAAAAGAAGAAGAAATAAAAAAGAAAGAAAAAGAGAGAACCCTACACAAAACAAATCCACTGGGACCTATTGGAATGTTAACACTCATTATAAACAGTTTCACTTCTATGCTGAATCAAGTTGGCACAATAATCGAACATTGTGTATGTGGAATAGCAGCCATGTTCATATCCGCAATAAGAATTAAAAAGCAATGGCGATCCTAGAATTAGTCATCGCTTCCCAAACATTAACTTTTAATCACAGTTGAACTAGGCAGGACTTGGCCTATGAGTCAACCTGCAGTGTATTATCAAAGGCTTGTGTTAAAACCTCGGTACTGTAAAGCGCAACTCAGTTCCTGCGCAACGTACAGATGTGGCTAATTCAAAAGCGTTTCAGCCGACTGTAAATAATAGTCTACAACTGGGAAACCAACACGCGACCTACTAAGTTTGATAAGAGCAAGCCGGCCCAAGTTCCAACACACAAGGGAAGAGCAGGGGTGAAAGAACTCCATAAACAACTTCCAGGAAAGTCTGGGCAGGGGAAGCCCGAAACCTGTATTCCGAAATCGCCTGAGCCGCGAGGAAAATAAATGCTTACGGGAGGGGGAGGGGAAACGGGAGGGGGGAAGGAAAGAAAGAGCAAAAAACTAAATGGACCGGTTCTACCCCCACCTCTAATCAACACTGGAAAACAAGAGAACAATTATTTGACTCCCCCAGGAGACTGAAGTGGACCGAGAGGCCGCAAAGGAAAGGGGCCCAGGGCTCAACTTCACAAACTCGGCCGCCGCTGGCAACACACCCACACACAAATGCCAGAGGCCCCCCTCCCCCTTTCCCAGCCCGGCCCGGCGGGAGCGAAGGTGCGGAGCGCGCGGAGGCGCGCGCATTGTGCAAGCCCACCGCGGCCCAGGCCCGACTTTTCCCCACCCCCTTCCTTCCTCCCCACCCCTCCTCCACTCCCGCCAACCTCTCGGGAACCCCGGGAAGAAAGAAAGGAAGAAGGAGGGAAAGCACGCCCCCCGGGGCTGCAACCGCAGAGAGAAACTCAGAAGGGAAAAACAAATCTCAGCCCCGGACTCTGGGAGGAGTGGGGAGCTGGTCACCGCGGCGGAGTGGACGACTCCAGTTCCACTTCGCCTCGGGACCCCCACCCCAGCTAGAGTTCCCGCAACCCCCCTCCCCTGACCAGAGCTGGCGGCCGCGGCTCCCGAGCGCCCCCCCGGTCTGAGGCCCGCCCGACGGGGAAACGGGGAGAGGGGCAACGAGGTTACCTGTCGGGAGTGGGATTTGGGCTCCGGCGGCTTGAAGAAGGAGTCGGGCAGCTTCCGGAGCCTCATGGGCACGGTCTGGGGCACGTTGGCCGTCTTGGGGTTCATGACGGCGTTGAAGAGCGCCTCCAGGTCGGTCTCCGAGTCCCCGCGGACGTGCACGATCTGATGCCCGGCGGGGGGTGCCTGCGGCGCCGCCTGGGTCGCCGCGGGTGCCGGTTGCCCGGGTCCGGACGGCGGGCCCTGCCCCTGCGGGGGCTGCGAAGGCGGCTGCCCTTGGCCCTGGGGGGCCGGTTGAGGCGGCGGCTGCTGCCCGGGATCCATGGCTTCTGCCTCCCCCGACGCGCACCCCCTGACCCAGGCGAGCGAGGGCTACGCCCGGACGCCCCGGCTCCACGGGCCGAGGTGGAGAAGCGGCGACGGCTGCGGGCCGGGCGGCGCTGTCCTCGCTCTCAGGGCCGGGGGGCTGCGCCGCGGCCCCGCATCCCCCGCCCCGGCGCCTCCGCCCCCGCCCTGCGCCCCGGCTCCACTGGTCTGGCGGCTGCGCCTCGGGAGGGGCTGCGAGGCACTCGGACCTGCGGCGCCTGAGAACTTTTTCCCTCCAACTCCCTTGACGGAGGCCGGACAGCTCGTTGCCTTTCCCCGCCTCCCCTTTCTCTTTATTTCCTTTTCTTGTTCCTTCCTTCCTCCCTTTCTTTTCCCTGGCGGCGGCTGCGCCCGACTGAGACAGAAACTCGCCTCAAACGCCAAAACTAAAGTTAGGAGAAGCGCCCGCCCGCGCCGCCGCGGCCCCGCCTCCTCTCGGCTCTTCCTTCCTCTGCGCGCCCGCCCGCACCGCGGCCCGGCCGGCAGCGCAGGGAAACTTTTCGCTGCAAGTTGCTACATTCCTGCACACTCCCGGCCCGCGGCGCCTCTCCCGGCCGCACGTGACCCGCTCGCCCTGGCCCGGTCCGCCCTTCGCCCGCGCTCAGCCGGGCAGGGGCCCGAAGCGTGCCCCGTATTCTGCCCCGCGAACCGCAAACGATGGGTCCAATCCGGGTCCGAACTGTGGTGTCTGCGGAGAACGCGGGCGCCCTTGGCTGCAGGAAGTTCTTCCGCTCCGCTCGGCCCCTTTTCCCCGCCCGTGCTCGGGAAAGGCGCTTCCAGTTCGCCTGGACCTGCGAAAGGGCCAAGGCCGAAAGAAGTGGAGAGAGGATGTGCGAACCCACCTCCTCCTCCTCGCGTTACCCCGGCTTGACCGAGCGGAGCGCCTGTGCGAGCTTAAAGCCGCGAGGATAGATTGGAGTTAAAATAGATACCGTGAGCCGGCATTGATGTTAATAAAGATCCATTGTTTTCAGCATTAACTTTATTTTGTAATTGTTTCACTTATCTGTTAGTCTGCAAAAACTCACTTGAGAGGGGTAAACGGTTACTGTAATTGAAGCTTTGAGACCAGGTCTGTAACTCAGTGTAACTTATTAAAAGAAACAAAAACACTACATTTTCCAAATAGTGAAATCACATCAACTTTTTTAGTACTCGAATTTGCAATAGTCACTGGAAGCCGCAACCCAAAAAATTAGTGCGTCTTCAGGTACAAGCATTCATGCCTCTGTACCTGTCTTTCATCCTCAAGGAGCTGGGTCCCTACCCCTGCTATCCCTGTGCCTGGCCCAACGGTGGACTCCGTTAATGTGGACTGAATAAGAAATGAATGGGCAAGGAGGTCATCCCAGGCACCTGATGTACAAGGAGCCCTTCTGGAAGCCACTCAAAAACAATAGAAATGTTTTTTAAGTCATACACTCTGGGTTTTTTTTTTTTAAAGCATCCTTGTTGAGATATAATTTATATACCATACAGTTTTTGCAATAGTTGTACATATTAGTATATTTAAGCAATTCACTGTTTTTTTAAATATATTCATAGGATTGTGCAACATCAGTCTAATTTTAAATGCACAAGCCCATTCTAAGGAAATCTGGCTTTCTTGTTTTAATGATTTTGTCTACAATGCTAGTGAAACAAAGGTATAAGTAGGATTAAGCAAGGAAAAAGTCCGTGAGCAAAAAGGTAATTTCTTCCTTCAGCCAGAACATGCCCAGGAGAATTCTGAAGGATCTGTATCACTTGGTGTGGTAGGGCTCGGCCAAAGGAGCAGGCCTCAGACACTCAAAATTCTAACAGAAGATTCCAATCAACTACTCTGAACCCCCAGTTTCCTGTCTGAAAAAAAGGATCAGAGTAAATGACACCCATGACTAGTTCTTGGATTTGTTCCCACTCCTAAATGTCAAGTGCATTTAACGACAGACTTGCAGGTTCTGGAGTTACAGAGTTTTGAGTTCAGGTCCCAGTTCTGCCATTTACTAGCTGTGAGGTTTTGGACAAGTTATTTATTTCCTGTTCTTTAATATTAGCATCAGGGGTAATAACACCTACCTCATAGTTGTTGGGGCATTAAATGAGTCAATGGATATAAAGTACTTAGCCCAGTTTGGGACGTGCAGTGAGTTCCACATCAATGTCAGTTGTCATTGTTGTCCCATGTTCACAGATTATTTCACAGGTAGTAACATAGCCTCTCCTTGCAGCAGCCCTCTCTTTCTAAGCACAGCCTCAGGGACCCTGTTGGTAGTCCCTTCCTCTCTTATCCAATAATCAGTCCACACAAACAAAACCTTTGGGCAGAAACTATGCATTAAAAACTTTACCTGAAAGAAAACTTTAGGAACCAAAGTGGGCCGGGTGCGGTGGTTCATGCCTGTAGTCCCAGCACTTTGGGAGGCCAAGGCAGGGGAATCACCTGAGGTCAGAAGTTCGAGACCAGTCTGGCCAAAATGGTGATACCCTGTCTCTACAAAAAAAAAAATACATAAAAATTAGCCAGGTGTGGTGGCATGTTCCTGTAGTCCCAGCTACTCAGGTGGCTGAGGCATGAGAATCACTTGAACCCAGGAGGTGGAGGTTGCAGTGAGCTGAGATCACACCACTGCACTCCAGCCTGGGCAACACAGCGAGACTCTGTCTCAAAAAAAGAACCAAAGTGATTGAAAACCTGGGATTGGAATAGAAGCTGTCCCTTTACTAGAGCATTTACTGCTATGAACACTAACTAAAGGGCTTCAGATACAGCAGAGGCTGCTTTGTTCAATATTGTTTCACCTGCCATTAAACTGAGGACAAAATTACTTTGATAAGTGGAGTGAAAGGGTCTTTGGAGTGACTATGTTCTGTAAGCACTTCTGTATCATCAACCAAGATTTTGTAATTTACTATTCCTCGTTTATACAATTTCAACCACGGTGTAGTAGGGGATAAAGATAACATATTCAGTCCTTTGTCTACTCCCTTCCTCTTCTGCCCATTTTGTGGACCAATTATCTGTTGGCAGCATCTTAAAATAGGGAGTCACCTTCTTCGTATAAAGATGCACCCTTATCCTGGATCATTTTCAATGTCCAGGTAGATCACTATCTCAAAACATGCGTATCCCAATTAGTTGACCTGTCAACTAAAATGGACCCTCATCTCTACTTCACTTTAGCCACCTGCCCCTTCGTCTGTACTCTGCATCATCCAGAAATACTCCAGTAGTGAAGTCAGACTATGGTATACCATATTCTTAATAATCATCTGGTTCTCTTATTTCATTACTCACATCTCATTTATCCTTAACCTCTCCCTTTTCTGCAACCTATCACTCCCTTCCCTTTTCATTTCTGTTATGGTTTGGGTGTTTCTGTCTCTCCAAAATTCATGTTGAAACGTCTCCAGTGCATCAGTATTAAAGAGGTGGGGCCTTTAAGGAGGTGATTAGGTCACGAAGGTTCCTCCCTCCTAAATGGGATTAAGAACTTTATACAAGAGGCTTCACACAGCATTCAGCTGTTTTGCCCTTTCATCTGTCTGCTGTGTGAGGACACAGCCTTCATCCCTTTAAGAGGATGCAGCAACAAGGCACCATCTTGGAAGTAGAAAGCAGCTGTCATGAGACAGCAAACCTGTTGCTGCCTTGATCTTGGACTTCCCAACCTCCGGAACTGTGAGAAATAAAATTCTAGTATTTATAAATTATCCAGTATGTGGTATTTTTTATAGCAGCACAAACAGACTAAGATAACATCCTTGCCATTCAGTTTGGAAATCGTAATTCATTGTTTAAACTTCCCATGCCAGGCATGATGGCTTATGCCTATAATCCCAGCACTTTGGGAGGATGAGGTGGGTGGATCATCTGAGGTCAGGAGTTCAAGACCAACGTGGCAAAACCCTGTCTCTACTAAAAATACAAAAATTAGCCGGGCATGGTGGCACATGCCTGTAATCCCAGCTATTTGGTAGGCTGAGGCAGGAGAATCACTTGTATCCAGGAGGCGGAGGTCACAGTGAGCCGAGATTGTGCCATTGCACTCCAGCCTGGGCGAAAGAGCGAAACTCCATCTCAAAAAACAATAATAATAATAAATAAATTTCTCACAATTATCTAAATCTTCAATCCCGTTCTCTCATGGATTTTAATGAACCGAATCTGTTATACTGTTTTAATCCAGTTATCTGTGTTTTATTCCAACGCCTAAGCTTATAGGGCCTAGCCCCACATTCATGAGAAGCTTCAATCAAAGCTTTTAACATTTTGTCCAAATAAGGTTACACTACCTTCCCAAATATATGCCTACACTATACAAGGAGGCATTCTTTGTAGAACTTTAAACTTTGTCTCATCACCAAATGACACTATCTATAATGCATTATGAATTAATAGTTTAAGTAGGCCAAGTGTGGTGGTGCACACCTGTGGTCCCACCACTTTGGGTTGCCAAGGGGGGTGGATCACCTGAAGTCAGGAGTTTGCGACCAGCCTGACTAATGTGGTAAAACCCTATCTCTACTAAATACAAAAAAATTAGACGGGCGTGGTGGCACATGCCTGTAATCCAAGCTACTTGGGAGGCTGAGACAGGAGAATCACTTGTACCTGGGAGGCAGAGGTTGCAGTGAGCCAAGATGGAGCCATTGCACTCCAGCCTGGGCAACAAGAGCAAAACTCCATCTCAAAAAAAAAAAAAAAAAAAAAAGGCCGGGTACTGTGGCTCACACCTGTAATCCCAGCACTTTGGGAGGCTGAGGTGGGTGGATCACCTAAGGTCAGGAGTTTGACACCAGCCTGGCCAACATGGTGAAACCCTGTCTCTATTAAAAATACAAAAATCAGCAGGGTGTGGTGGCGCACACCTGTAATCCCAGCTACTCTGGAGGCTGAGGCAGGAGAATCACTTGAACACGGGAGGCAGAAGTTGCAGTGAGCCGAGATGGCGCCACTGAACTCCAGCCTGGCTGACAGAGCGAGACTCCATCTCAAAAAAAAAATAGTTTAAGTAAATTCTATAATTATCTGGTGAATATCACAATTATTTTTCTTTGTAATTATCCCATGTTAAAAGTATTAACTTGTTAAGTGTAAACATTTGAAACATACCAATGTTTTAGAACCTTCTCTTGGCATTCTGGCATGCTAAGTACACTGGGAACTTGAAAGAAGTGGTCAGCTCTCTTCCAGCCTCCGAGAAGCCTGGCTAACACCTTGGTTTCTGGGGCCAACGGAAAGGAATCTCACATGTGAATGCATTAGTGTCCTTCCACATTTATAGTCTCTAACTGAACCATGTTTCCCTGCATCTGTAATGAGCCTTTTCTTGCATGATATAGCTATTCTAAACTTAGTCACGTAACTCATCACATTTATTCATTATCCCCCTGCCCCTCAGAAAATGACATCTTCTCCAGTTGCTCAGAGATATGGAGGCCACCATATACAAAAGCCTTGAAAGTCTTTCCCTGGCTGGTCGTGGTGGCTCACGCCTGTAATCCCAGCACTTTGGGAGGCTAAGGCGGGCAGATCACCTGAGGTCGGGAGTTCGAGACCAGCCTGACCAACATGGAGAAACCCCATCTCTACTAAAAATTCAAAAATTAGCTGGGTATGGTGGCACATGTCTGTAATCCCAGCTACTCAGGACGCTGAGGCAGGAGAATCGCTTGAACCCAGAAGGCGGAGGTTGTGGTGAGTTGAGATCGCACCATTGCACTCCAGCCTGGGCAACAAGAGCGAAACTCTGTCTCAAAAAAAAAAAAAAAAAAAATCTTTCCCTGACCTACATAAACATATCTACATCCTCACAAGTTCTTCCCTTCACAGGTACATTTTTGGAAAGAGCAATCCACATGCCTGTTCACTTCACTTTGTGTTCATTTACCTCTGACTCAACACATCTAAAAGTGAATTCTTGGCCAGGTGTGGTGGCTCACGCCTGTAATCCCAACACTTTGGGAGTCCAAGGCAGGCAGATCACTTGAGGTCGGGAGTTCGAGACCCGCCTGGCCCACAGAGTGAAACCCTGTCTCTACTAAAAATACAAAAATTAGCCGGGCATGGTGGCACACGCCTGTGGTCCCAGCTACTTGGGAAGCTGAGGCACTGAGAATCACTTGAACATGGGAGGAGGAGGTTGCAGTGAGCTGACATCACACCACTGCACTCCAGCCTGGGCGACAGGTGAGACTCTGTCTCAAGAAATTAATTAATTAATTAATTAATTAATTAAAAGTGAACTCTTTACCTCTACCCTCCTCCATCACCAGCCATGTACACAACCTCGCAAGCCACATCCTTCTTCTGATTCACCAGCTCAGTTAATGGCATCATGGTCCACATGCTTGTTTAAGCCAGAAAACTGGGTGTCCCCTTAATCACCTTCTCACCATCACTTACAACTTACTTACTACTCATTTGTGTTAATTTTCTTTCAGATATCTGAAAGTCTACCACCCAACCACATGCCCATTTTCACGTCTATAATACTTCACTTCTTATCTTTTTGTTTGTTTGTTTTTGCAGTACCACCAAAATCATGTTCCTGCTTCTAGCTTTTTTTTGTTTGTTTGTTTGTTTTGTTTTTTTTTTTGTTTTTGAGACAGATGGTCGCTCTGTCACCCAGGCTGGAGTGCAGTAGCGTGATCTCGGCTCATTGCAACCTCCGCCTCCCAGGTTGAAGCGATTCTTCTGCCTCAGCCTCCCAAATAGCTGAGACTATAGGCGCATACCACTACACCCGGCTAATTTTTGTATTTTTTGTAGAGACGGGGTTTCACCATGTTGGTTAGGCTGGTCTCCAACTCCTGGCCTTAGGTGATCCACCCGCCTCGGCCTCCCAAAGTGCTGGGATTACAGACGTGAGCTACTGCTTCCGGCATCCTGCTTCTAGTTGTACCTGGCTCCATCAGACTTCTATTCTGATGTCAGAGTGAGCTTGCCAACATGCAAGTCTGATCAAGGTGTGATACCATTCAGGACAAATTCAGCCCCCTTAGAATGGCATATGAGGCTTTTAACCATTCTGGTCCTTGCTGCTCTCCTCAACCTATCTTTTGCCACTCCTCATCTATGTCTGCTTTGTTTCCAGACATATTGAACCACTTGTGGTTTCTTGAGTGAGCCATTTTTCCTCTCATCCTTTTACCACTGCAGATGTTTTTACTGCTGCTTGGAACTCACTTGCCTCCTTTTCACATAGTTTCCCCTGAAACTCAACCTTCAAGACTTAACCTCTAACAGAGAGCCCTCATGGTTCTCCCCTGCTCATCGGTCCCCACCCCAGAGTAGGCAAGGGGCTTCACCTCTGGGCTCTCAAAGAATCTAGCTATTGCCTCCATCATGGCATTAACCATAGTTTGTTGTAATAGTTTTTATGCATGTTTGTGTCACAGCACTCCTCTGAGTGCTTCTGCAACAGTATCTCCCATCTTTATATCCTCATGACAGCAATGCTCAACAAATAATAGGTGTTCAAGAAATGTTCAAAAGAGGGAGGGGAGAGAGGTAAGGAGAGAGATGTTGGAGCCCAAAAGTGAAGATACGGTTGAATCTCAAACAACTAACTTGCTGCCATGACTCTAATTTTGAAAATTCAGCCTCCACAGACCAGACAGATGTTTCTATACCATATATCTCCAAGACATCACAACACTGACTAAATGCTAATGCATTTGTCTTGTACGCTCAAATGTTTTTGATGGAATAAAAGTAACAGTTGGCCGGGCGCGATGGCTTACGCCTGTAATCCCAGCACTTTGGGAGGCAGAGGCAGGCGGATCACGAGGCCAGTTTGAGACCAACCTGGTCAACATGGTGAAACCGCACCTTTACTAAAGATACAAAAAATTAGCTGGGTGTCGTGGCGCGCACTTGTAATCCCAGCTACTCGGAAGGCTGGGGCAGGAGAATTGCTTGAACCCGGGAGACGGAGGTTGCAGTGAGCCAAGATTGTGCCACTGTACTCCAGCCTGGGTGACAGGGCGAGACTCTGTCTCAAAAAAAAAAAAAAAAAAGAAAAAAAAAGCCAACATTTAATTGGCTTCTCTGACACTGCTTTGTATATTGAGCTAATTTGTTCAATACTTTTTGCTTGTTTGTTTGGTATGTTGGAGATGTCACGCCTATTCCAGAAAGGCTTACTCCTTTCAAATATATATGTCATTTTTATATTCTTCCAACTATAGATGCATTTTGGTTAATCAGCTTCTTTTTTTAAAATATAAAGTCATATGTGCTACAGTAAAAATTAATTTTCAATTATATT
The DNA here is from genome assembly GCF_000001405.40 of Homo sapiens. NCBI lineage: Eukaryota > Metazoa > Chordata > Mammalia > Primates > Hominidae > Homo > Homo sapiens. Next base: position 102,102,551 of record NC_000011.10, on the reverse strand, counting down.
TGTTTTTCTTCTAAAATCTAGCTGAAATTATCCTTATGAGAGAAATTAAAGTTGGGCCGAATAGCCGGGTGTGAAGAATTTTGCAGTATGAGGCGCTTCAGGCTTAGGGCAGAGCTAGGTGTGGCATGCACCAAATAGGCCCCCTAAATAGCCTCTCAAATGCTATATACAATACCAGTTATCAAATTCCGGCTTATACTTTTCCACATCCCGGCTTGAAAATAAAGGCTACTAGATCTCATTATTTACTATACTTTACTAAATTATACTAAAAATGGAAAGATGTCTTCTAAATATACTATATATATGATTATCTGTCAGTGGTTCTCACAATGTGGTCCCTAAACCAGCAGCATCAGCATCACTAACTTGTTAGAAATGTAAAATCTCTGGCCATAACCCAGACCAACAAAATCAGGGACTCTGGAGGTGCACACAGTAATCTGTTTTTTTTTTGGGGGGGTTCATTTTTATTTATTCATTTATTTTTTGAGATGAAGTTTCAATTTTGTTGCCCAGGCTGGAGTGCAATGGCGCAATCTCGGCTTACCGCCACCTCCACCTCCTGGGTTCAAGCCATTCTCCTGCCTCAGCCTCCCGAGTAGCTGGGATTATAGGCATGTGCCACCACACCAAGCTAATTTTGTATTTTCAGTAGAGATGGAGTTTCTCCATATTTGTCAGGCTGGTCTTGAACTCCTGACCTCAGGTGATCCACCCACCTCGGCCTCCCAAAGTGCTGGGATAACAGGCATGAGCCACTGCGCCCGGCACAATCTGGGTTTTAACCAGTCCTCTAGGTGTTTCTGGTGCATGCTGGCGTTTGAGATCCACTGCTCTATATTATCTTCTACATTCTGTTTTTGTTCTATTAATATTAAATATCATCCTTTGTAAACATTATGCATCAAAGTAAATGTCTTCATTTTATAGACAAATCCTTTAATCTCATTTTCCCCGCAAATATCTATATCTAGCGTATATGTATTTAATTGATAACTGAAAATATCTATCTCACTTGTAACATATTCATGTTGTAAAGGATCTTACGAACTGATGTCTTGACTCCTACCTGAAAGCTGACAATTAATCTCTTAAGCAGTGATTCCAATTTGTTTGTAATTTTTTTTTTTTTTTGATGTGGAGTCTGTCACCCAGGCTGGAGTGCAGTGGTGTGATCTTGGCTCACTGCAACCTCCACCTCCTGGGTTCAAGCGAGTCTTCTGCCTCAGCCTTCTGAGTAGCTGGGACTACAGGCATGTGCCATCATGCCTGACTAATTTTTCTAATTTTGTAGAGATGAGGTTTCACCATGTTGGCCAGGCTGGTCTTGAACTCCTGACCTCAAGTGATCCACCTGCCTCAGCCTCCCAGAGTGCTGGCATTACAGGCGTGAGCCACTGCACCGAGCCATGTTTATATGTTTTAACATTCTTGTGACTTGCTTGCTTTGTCATACACGTATCTTCAACATAACGTAGCATAATTTTTTTTTTTTTTTAGACGTAGTCTCACTCTGTTGCCCAGGCTGGAGTGCAGTGGTGTGATCTCGGCTCATCACAACCTCTGTCTCCCAGGTTCAAGCGATTATCCTGCCTCAGCCTCCCGAGTAGCTGGGACTACAGGTGCGTGCCACCATTCCCGGCTAATTTTTGTATTTTTAGTAGAGACAGGGTTTCACTATGCTGGCCAGGCTGGTCTCAAACTCCTGACCTTGTGATCTGCCTGCCTGGGCCTCCCAAAGTGCTGGGATTACAGACATAAGCCACCGCGCCGGCTGCACAAATACATTTTAAAAACCATTAAGTAGGCCGACGCGGTGGCTCAGGCCTGTAATCTCAGCACTTTGGGAGGCTGGGGCTGGTGGATCTCTTGAGCTCAGGGGTTCGAGACCAGCCTGAGCTACATGGCAAAACCCCATCTCTACAAAAAAATATAAAAATTGGCCAAGCATGGTGGGGCATGCCTGTGGTCTCAACTACTCGGGAGGCTGAGGTGGGAGGATCACTTGAACCCAGGGGACAGAGGTTGCAGTGAGCTGAGATCATGCCACTGCACTCCAGCCTGGGCAACAGAGAGAGGCCCTGTATCAAAAAAGCAAAACAAAAAAACTATTAAGTAGAAACCACTAGGCTGGCGCAGTGGCTCACGCCTGTAATCCCAGCACCTTGGGAGGCCGAGGGTGGATCACGTGAGGTCAGTAGTTCGAGACCAGCCTGGCCAACATGGTGAAACTCTGTCTCTACTAAAAATACAAAAATTAGCCGGGTGTGCTGGTGGGCACCTGTAATCCCAGCTACTCAGGAGGCTGGGGCAGAAGAATCGCTTGAACTCGGGAAGTGGAGGTTGCAGTGAGCTGAGATCATGCCACTGCACTCCAGCCAGGGTGACAGAGAAAGAAGACTCCATCTCAAAAAAAACACTAAATTTCTGTTGAGAATTTAATATATCAACTCTCAACTCTCTGGAAGTGCCTTCTAATACCCACTTATTTCCTCTTTAACCTAAGTTCCTAGTATTTTGTCTAATAAGTGGAGAACAGCTGGATACCATTTCTGTCTAATAACCCTTCATATACTTGAATGTAGTCATTATTCCCTCAGTCTTTTTTCTAAACAATCTGGGTCCCTTAACCTTTACTCAGTCTGTTTCTCAACTCTTCAATCATCTCACAGACTTCTGAAGCCTCTCCAAGCAGTCCACATTCTTATTTATTTATTGAGACGGAGTTTCACTCTTGTTGCCTAGGCTGGAATGCAATGGCATGATCTCGGCTCACTCCAACCTCTGCCTCCTGGGTTCAAGCAATTCTTCTGCCTCAATCTCATGAGTAGCTGGGATTACAGGCATGCACCATCACGCCCAGCTAATTTTGTATTTTCAGTAGAGATGGGGTTTCTCCATCTTGGTCAGGCTGGTCTCGAACCCCTGACCTCAGGTGATCCGCCCACCTTGGCCTCCCAAAGTGCTGGGATTACAGGCATGAGCCACCGTACCTGGCCTCTTCTCTACTTATTAATGTCATGATATATGCTACAGACAGTCCAAAACATCATTTTTGTATATACAATTGATTAAAACTTATCAAAATTTTCTATATGTAAAAAGTGTATAATTTAACATTCTTTAAAAATATTTTTTTGGTTAGGAAATAAAAATTTAAGCTCTTCTCTTGTGCCCATGTATTTGTTGTGCTGAATTAATAAAAGAACATTTTAGAATCAAAAGGCAAAGGAGATCACTTAACTTCTTCATTTTACGGAAGAACTCAAGGGCTTGGGAGGTTAATCTCCATCACCCAATATGGCAGCCACTAGCCATATTTTAACAAAAAATTCAGTTCTTTAGTCACACTAGCCACTTTTCAAGTGCTCAGTAGCCACACATGTGGCTAGTAGCTATGGTAGATAGCACAGGTATAGATAATTGTCTCTTCATCACAGATATTTCTCTTGGACTGTGCTGGTTTAAATGATTTGCCCAGAGCAAATCAATAACCAGTGGCAGAGCCAGAACTTCCAGTTCCTGGTCTAGAGATATCCCACCATACTATCTACTACCTTTTAAAATAAGATGAAATATGAGCGATTACGTCTCTAATATACAAGCATTTATTACATTTATGTACAAAGCATTGTGGTAGGCACGGATCCTGACCCCAAAAAGGTTGTTTTTGTTTTGTTTTCAGACGGAGCCTCGCTCCGTTGCCCAGGCTGGAGTGCAGTGGCGAGATCTCAGCTCACTGCAAGCTCTGCCTCCTGGGTTCACGCCATTCTCCTGCGTCAGCCCCCCGAGTAGCTGGGACTACAGGTGCCCGCCACCACACCCGGCTAATTTTTTGTATTTTTAGTAGAGACGGGGTTTCACCATGTTAGCCAGGATGGCCTCGATCTCCTGACCTCGTGATCCGCCTGCCTCAGCCTCCCAAAGTGTTGGGATTACAGGCGTGAGCCACCGTGCCCGGCCTTTTTTTTTGGTTTTATAGACAGGCTCTCACTATGTTGCCCAGGCTAGAGTGCAGTGGCCATTCACAGGCATAATCATAGTGCATTAAAGCCTCAAACTCCTGGGGTCAAGCGAGCTTCCTGCCTCAGCTTCCCCAGTAGCTGATAGTACAGGCACAAGCCACTTGCCTAGCTCCAAAAAGGTTTTAAAAAGAAAATTACTTTAGGCCAGGCACAGTGGCTCACGCCTGTAATCCCAGCAATTTGGGCGGCTGAGGTGGGCAGATCACTTGAGGCCAGGAGTATGAGACTAGCTTGGCCAACATGGTGAAACCTCGTCTCTACTAAAAATACAAAAATTAGCCAGCCATGGTGGCATGCACCTGTAATCCCAGCTACTCAGGAGGCTGAGGCAGGAAAATCGCTTGAACCCAGGAGGCAGAGGTTGCAGTGAGCCAAGATCGTGCCACTGTACTCCAGCCTGGATGACAGAGTGAGACTCTGTCTCAAAAAAAAAAAAGAAAAAAGGAAAAAAAAAAAAAGCCAGGCGCAGTGGTTCACGCCTGTAATCCCAGCACTTTGGGAGGCCAAGGCAGGGGAATCACGAGGTCAGGAGTTCGAGACCAGCCTGAGCAACACAGTGAAACCTTGTCTCTACTAAAAATAAAAAAATTAGCCAGGCATGGTGGCAGGCACCTGTAATCCCAGCTACTCAGGAGGCTGAGGCAGGAGAATCGCTTGAACCCAGGAGGCAGAGGTTGCAGTGAGCCGAGATCGTGCCACTGCACTCCAGCCTGGGCAAGAATGGGACTCTGTCTCAAAAAAAAAAAGAAAGAAAGAAAATTACTCCATTCTCCTGCCTCAGCCTCCCGAGTAGCTGGGACTACAGGGCCCACCACCACGCCTGGCTAAATTTTTTGTAAACCTGGGAGGCAGACCTTGCAGTGAGAGGAGATCGCGCCACTGCACTCCAGCCTGGGCGACAGAGCGAGACTCCGTCTCAAAAAAAAAAAAAAAAAAGAAAATTACTTTAAATAGGATTGCTGCCTATACAGAAAATGACATACGGTTTGGTTACATTTTTCCTTTTGGCCTCTAGCTATTTAATGCATTTATGTATATAAAAGTGTATGTGTGTATGTGTTTTACTGAAATATCTCCAATCCCTTTGACCTTCCCTGGGACATCAGATACTTCTCAGCTCATACCTCAATTTCTGCAGCCAATTCCTGGCTGGTTTCCCAGGCTGCATACAGCCTTTCCTGTTTCTATCAATCTTCTTCAATTCTACAGCCATTTCCCTCAAGTACCATTTTCACCCTTGCTCACCCACTCAAAACTGTATTTGATCACTATAGTGTATCATACACTAAAAACAACCATGATGAAGTTAACAACAAGGACTTACATTTGTGTGACACACTTTTCTCAAGGCTTCCACATATCATCCTGTTTCATTTAATTCCTGTACTTCTCTCTGGATTTCAAAGCCTTCAATCAGCTGTTGCTCTTTTATTTCACAAGATTGTTTCTTGTTAAATATTTCAGGTACATCAAGGCTGGATGTAGTGGCTCATGCCTGAAATCCTAGCACTTTGGGAGGCCAAGGTGGGAGGATCACTTGAGGTCAGGCATTTGAGATCAGCCTGGCCAACATGGTGAAACCCCATCTCTACTAAAATTACAAAAATTAGACGGATGTGGTGGCACACACCTGTAATTCCAGCTGCTCTTGAGGCTGAGACATGAGAATTGCTTGAACCCGCGAGGCAGAGGTTGCAATGAGCTGAGTGAGATAGCACCACCGCCCTCCAGCCTGGGTGACAGAGCGAGACTGTGTCTCACAAAAAAACAAAAAACAAACAAAAAAGGTCAAGCAGATCTATTCTAAAAGTTTTATAACTAGGAGGCTGAGAGTCTTCTTGACTTTCCCAATTCAATCCATCAGCAAGTAACATTGGTTTCAGGTCCAAAAGCACATCTGGATACACCAACTTCCTTCCATATATATGTTTGCTTTAGGCCGTCATAACTAAGTACCACAGGTTCGGTGACTTAAACAATAGAAAGTTATTTTCTCACAGTCCTGGAGGCTAGAAGTCCAAGATCGAGGTTCCAGCAGGATGGATTGGTTTATTCTAAGACTTCTCTCCTTGGCCTGTAGATGACCATCTTCTTCCGGTTTCTTCACATGATCGTTCTTCTGTGCTGTGTTCTAACTTCTTCCTCTTATAAGGACAGCAGTCAGATTTAATTAGGGCCTACACAAATTACCTCATTTTGCCTTTGTTACCTTTTCAAAGGCCCCATCTCCAAGTACAGTCCCATTCAAAGGTACTGGGGATTAGGATTTCGACATATGAATATGGGGGACAGGGGCACACAGTTCAGCTCATGACACTCCATCGTCACCGAAACCATCCTTGCCCAAGCTGCCCTCGTTTGTCATTAGACCATGATGCTAGTTTCCTTACTTCTACATGTCCTCTTGAATCCACTTACCATATAACAGCCACAGTGATCTTTTGATCTTTCAAAAATGCATAGCACTCTCTTGCTTAAAATCTTGTACTGGTTTCCCATTGCACTTAAGTTAAATTTCAAACTCCCCTCATTGGCTTACAAGAGGTGTGTGATCTATCTTTCTATCTTTCCAACTTCAATTCATGGCACTTTCTTTCTTGCCGACTTGTTCCATCCACAATGACTTCTGTCAGGTTCTAGAACATAACAAATTCATTCCATCTTGGAGCCTTTGCATATGCTATAATTGTTTTTGAGAACATTCATACGCTTAAGTCTCAATTTAAATGTTAACCTCCTCAGAAGAATCTTCTCAGACTTACCACTATTATTTCCTAGTAAAATCATAATTCGTAATTACTTTATGTATTTTACTATGTTTTTGGTCACTAGATTGTACGTTTCTTTGAGCCATGATAATGTGTTTTGTTCACCACTGTTTCTCCAAGCTTAGCATTGTGCCTGGCACACAATAAACATTCTTTGAACAATCTACTATTTTGGCAGATCTCTTGCTCTATTCAAGAAAGTTTGTAATTGCACATGTATTTCCTACCTCTCTGCACCATAGCATGGAACATTCTTTCTACCTAGAAATCTTCCCCCTCTAAGCCAATCCATGGTTATCATTTCTTTTAAAATAAACCTCAATTCCCTTCCCAAGGAAGCCTTTGACTATGGATCATCCTTGACTGTCATCTTTCTCTCAGTTCCCTTAGAACTTCAGTGATACGTTTAAATTTATGTTTATTAAGTACTTAAAAACTTAGTTTTTTCTTTTTCTTTTTTTTTTTTTGAGACGGAGTCTGGCTCTGTCACTCAGGCTGGAGTGCAGTGGCGCTATCGCAGCTCACTGCAACTTCTACCTTCCAGGTTCAAGCAATTCTCTTGCCTCAATCTCCCGAGTAGCTGGGATTATAGGTGCCCACCAGCACGCTCAGCTAATTTTTGTATTTTTAGTAGAGACGGGGTTTCACCATGTTGGCCAGGTTGGTCCCGAATTCCTGACGTCAGGTGATCCACCCAACCAGGCCTCCCAAAGTGCTGGGATTACAGGCGTGAGCCACCACGCCCGGCCAGTTTTTTCTACAAAATGTTTTATTCTACAATATGTTAAGGTAATAAAGGGTGCTAGTTGATTAAAAAAAAATTGGCTGAATAAAAGTTAATTTAAAAGTTAACTTATATTATCATACATGGTTTCTACATTACTATCTCCCTCTCATACCTTTCTAATAGCAAAAGTGATAAAGAATATAATTTATAGATCCATAGTGTTTGTTAAAGTCCCATGAGTTTACTTTTTTCTCTTTGCCAAAAAAAAAAAAAAAGAGAAAGAGAGAAAGAGAAAGCATGAGAAAAGAAACATAAGCAGGCATGGTATCACTTCTCAGCCTTTTGGCTAAGATCAAGTGTAGCAGGAATGTTAAGTTTCAACCTTACTTAAACCAAGTTCAGCCTGCTTATTCCAATGAACTTGGCATGTGTACCAAGTCAGGAGATTGAAGACTTACATTAGAGGATATCAGGTTTACCAGCTACTAGAATTTACCAATTGGGACACTGCTAAATATGGCACTAAATGTAGCTTTTAGTGTTAATTAATGCAGCTTTCACTGTAAAAGAATACTTCCCTGTCTCTTATTCTTTCCTTTGTTCTTTTGTTTTCATCTATTCTTTTCTTTCTTTTTCTCTCTGGTTTTTTAAACCAGAGAAGGAGTAGAGAGTAGAGTAGTCATTCCCAACCCTGCAGTTGCCAACCAGAATGAATACACATTTTAAAGGGCAATATACAAAATAATGCTCTATCTCATAAACAAGTTAGAGCAATTAAAATAATACCATTTTGGCCGGGCGCAGTGGCTCATGCCTGTAATCTTAGCGCTTTGGGAGGCCGAGGCAGGTGGATCACCTGAGGTCAGGAGTTCGAGACCAGCCTGACCAATATGGAGAAGCCTCGTCTCTACTAAAAATACAAAATTAGCCAGGTGTGGTGGCACACGCCTGTAATCCCAGCTACTGGGGAGGCTGAGGCAGGAGAATTCCTTGAACCCGGGAGGTGGAGGTTGCAGTGAGCCGAGATCACGCCATTGCACTCCAGCCTGGGCAACAAGAGTGAAACTCTGTCTCCAAAAAAAAAAAAAAAAAAAACTCAGGCTAGGCATGGTGGCTCATGCCCAGCACTTTGGGAGGCTGAGGCAGGCAGATTGCTTGAGCTCAGGAGTTTGATATCAGCCTGGGCAACATGGTAAAACCCCGTCTCTACCAAAAATACAAAAAATTAGCCAGGCATGGTGGTGTGTGTCTGTGATCTACTCAAGAGGCTGAGATGGGAGGATTGATTGAGCCCTGGAGTTAGAGGCTGTAGTGAGCTAAGATCATGCCACTGCACTCCAGCCTGGGTGACAGAGTGAGACCCTGTCTCAAAATGAAAATAAAAATAAAAACAATACCATTTCACATTCATCATACTGAAAAAAATTACAGATTTGACATATACTAAGTGTTATCTAGAAAGTTGTAAAATGGGAGTTCTTACATCAGTAGTGGGAGCATAAATTTGTGCAATCATTTTGAAGAGGAAGTTGTCAATATCTAATAAGGCTGAATATATCCTACTAATCAACAGTTCTATGAGATAGAAGCCTAGAGATCCAGGAGCTCAAGCCCAGCCTGAGCAACACAGAAAGACCTCATCTGCAAAAAAAGAAAAAAGACTTAGAGAACACTTCAGAGGAAGATATGCCCAAGGATATTTATTCCAGCATTATTCATACAACCAACATGTCTAACAACAGTGAGATGGATAGATATGGTAAGGCCATCCAGTTAAAACGGATAAACAGGCTGGGAGCTGTGGCTCACGCCTGTAATCCCAGCAATTTGGGAGGCTGAGGCGGGCGGATCACCTGAGGTCTGGAGTTTGAGACCAGCCTGACCAACATGGAGAAACCCCATCTCTGCTAAAAACACAAAATTAGCCGGGTGTGGTGGCAGGTGCCTGTAATCCCAGCTACTCGGAGGCTGAGGCAGGAGAATCACTTGAACCTGGAAGGCGGAAGTTGCAGTGAGCTGAGATTATGCCATTGCACTCCAGCCTGGGCAACAAGAGCAAAACTCCGTCTCAAAAAAAAAAAAAAAAAAAAAAAGGATAAACAGGAGTTATTTGTATCAACATAGATAAAATCTGAAAAAATGCTGAGTAATAAAAGTAAGTTTGCAAAAATTTTAAAACAGTATAACATATAATATATATAACAGTATATAATGTTAATAGAAACATATGTAGTAAAAGTATAAAATATACAGAAGGGCTGGGCACAGTGGCTCACACCTATAATCCCAGTACTTTGGGATGCTGAGGCAGGAGAATCTCTTGAGGCCAGGAGTTCAAGACCAGCCTGGGCAATATAGGAAGACCTCGCTCTTTAAAAAATTTTAAAAAGGCCAGGTGCAGTGGCTCATGCCTGTAATCCCAGCACTTTGGAAGGCCGAGGCAGGTGGATCATGAGGTCGGGAGTTCAAGACCAGCCTGGCCAAGATGGTGAAACCTCGTCTCTACTAAAAATACAAAAATTAGCTGGGCGCAGTGGCAAGCGCCTGTAATCCCAGCTACTCGGGAGGCTGAGGCAGGAGAATCACTTGAACCCAGGGGGCGGAGGTTGCAGTGAGCCAAGATCCCGCGACAGAGTGAGACTCTGTCTCACACACACACACACACAAAAAAAAAAAGAGCCAGGTAGTCCCAGCTACTCGGGAAGTTGAAGTAGGAGGATTATTTGAGACTGGGAGTTTGAGACTGCAGTGAGCAGTGTTCACACCACTGCACTCCAGCCTGGGTGACAGAGTGAGACTCTGTCTCAAATAAATAAATATATATATATAAATATAACAAATATCAGATATATATATATATACATACATATATATATACACACATACATATATATATGTATGTGTGTATATATATATATATATGCAGGAGAAGGATGCCCACTGGCTTCAGGATATCGGTTATTTCCAGAAAGGGAAGGAGGAAAATGGTTTGGGAGTAAAAACTTCAAGAAAATCTGAAGTAAGGCCAGGAGCAAGGTCACTGTGGTTATAATAAGGTAATCTGAGATATCACTGTGGTGTTAGAATTGTTCATTATCTTTTTATTTTCATTTATTTGTTTATTTATTTATATTTTATTTATTTATTTTTTTGAGACGGAGTCTCATTCCATTGCCCAGGCTGGAGTGCAGTGGTGCTATCTCGGCTCACTGAAATCTCCACCTCTGGGTTCAAGCGATTCTCCTTTGTCAGCCTCCCTAGTAGCTGGGATTACAGGCACCCACCACCATGCCTGGCTAATTTTTGTATTTTTAGTAGAAACAGGGTTTCACCATGTTGGCCAGGCTGATCTCAAACTCCTGGCCTTAAGTGATCCACTGCCTGTGCCTCCCGAGGTGCTGGGATTACAGGCATGAGCCACTGCACCCGGCCTTTTTAAAAATTTTTTTTTATTTGTTTTGGAGACAGGGTCTCATTCTATTGCCCAGGCTGAATGCAGTGATGTGAAGAAGGCTAACTGCAGCCTCAACCTCCTGGGCTCAAGTGATACTCCTACCTCAGCCTCCCGAGGAGTTGGGACTAGAGGCACACACCACCATGCCTGGCTAAATGTTATTTTTTGTAAAGGCGGGGTCTTTCTACGTTGCCCAGGCTGGTATTGAACTCCTGGGCTTGAGTGATCCTCCCGCCTTGGCCTCCCGGAGTGCTGGGATTATAGGTGTAAGTCACTGTGCCCAGCCTCTGTTCATTATCTCGACTGTGCTAGTGAATAGAGAAACTTACACAGGTGATAAAACTGAATAGAACGTAATATACATACCACACACACACACATGCACAAATGAGTATAAGTAAAACTGGAGAAATCTGAATAAGATCAGTCAGTATCAATGTAAGTATTCTAGTTATGATATTACACTACAGTTTTGTACAATGTCACCATTAAGGAGGGGAAACTGGGCAAAGTGTACAAAGGATCTCTCTGTATTACTTCATACAATTGCATGTGAATCTACATTTATCTCAAGAATTTTAATTTAAAAATGTTAAATATCGTAAAATTTTAATTGTCAAAACTGGGTGGAGGGTATGTTATGTATTCCCTGCACTTTTTTCATATTTAAAAGAAAAAAGCAATATCTGGAACCCACTACAGAACTGATTCAATCACCAGAGGTAGAAGTAGAGATCGGTCACCTATACAGACAGTCCCCAACTTACGATGGTTCAACTTGAGATCTTTCGACTACAATGGTGCAAAAGTGATACACATTCCATAGGGACTGTACTTCAAGCACCCATGCAACCATCATTTTTCACTTTTAGTACAGCTTTCAATAAATTACATGAGGCATTCAACACTTTATTGTAAAATAGGCTTTCTGTTAGATGATTTTGCCCAACTGTAGGCTAATATATGTGTTCTAAGCACATTTAAGGCAGGCTTGGTTAAACTATGATGTTTGGTGTGTTAGGTGTCTTAAATGCATTTTTGACTTCTGATATTTTCAGCTTACAATGTGTTTATTGGGACATAACCCCCTCATAAGTTGAGGAGCATCTCAATTTGTAAAAAGCTTCAATCATTATTCTCAAGCAAAGCCAGGATTGTAAACCATTTGTTACTTTGGAGTGAGACCAAATTGGGTTCAAATCCCGGACCCAGCAATCACTTGTCCTGTGACTTACGGCAAATTACTTAACCTCTTTAAGTTTTAGCCTCCTCATATAAAGTGGAAATGTAATAGAACCGTGGTAATCCACTTTTTTGGATGTATAGCATATTTTCTGCTTCCATAACTATAAGCACATCCTTGACTGATGCAGGAATCTAGCTTACTCCTTTTCCTAATGTCAGGCGATGCTGCTCATATACAGTGCTGCTCCTCTAATTCTAGTAACTGTTCCTCATTTTGAGTTTAGGATTTTCACTACTCCTTCCATCTGGTTGTCATGTTGTTGATTCCACCTCTGGCTGAGTAGTATGTATCTCAGATCTGGCCAATAGCATTTCTAAGGCTACAGGGATTAGTTAACAGATGGTCAAAGTACCCCACTTAAGCCAGTGTCACAAGATGGGATTTCTGTTGAGATTCTTGGGAATCTTGAGATAGGTGTTATTTTCCCACTGGTTTTTTGAACTGACAGGATGTATGCTAGGTATACTAAATTTTTTTTTTTTTTTTTTTTTTTTTTTTTGAGACGGAGTCTCACACTGTTGCCTGGGCTGGAGTGCAGTGGCACCATCTTGGCTCACTGCAAGGTCTGCCTCCCGGGTTCATGCCATTCTCCTACCTCAGCCTCCCAAGTAGCTGGGACCACAGGCGCCCGCCACCACGCCCGGCTAATTTTTTGTATTTTTAGTAGAGATGAGGTTTCACCATGTTAGACAGAATGGTCTCGATCTCCTGACCTTGTGATCCGCCCGCCTCGGCCTCCCAAAGTGCTGGGATTACAGGCGTGAGCCACTGTGCCCGGCCAAGTATACTAACATTTTTGTACGTGGAAAGACACAAACTAAGAATGGAGTCAACAGAGAGAATATGAACTGAGAGAGAAAACGGGTCTTGCATTAAATCAGGCCAAAAAGCAACCCAAACTACTATGGGACTTTTCAGTTATGTGGGCTAATACATTCACTTTTTGCTTAAGACAATTTGGATGAAATTTTCTTTCACTTATAACCCCAAAGATTCTACTGACTTTTAACCTACTTTGAAAGGGTAGTTGAGAAGATTAAATAAAGTAAGACATGTCAAGCACTAACTTTGACTAGAAACAAACATAACAACAGGCTGGGTGTGGTGGCTCACACCTGTAATCCCACACTTTGGGAGGCTGAAGCGGGCAGATCACCTGAGGTCAGGAGTTCAAGACCAGCCTGACCAACATGGTGAAATCCTGTCTCTACTAAAGCTACAAAAATTAGCCAGGCGCAGTGGCAGGCGCCTGTAATCCCAGCTACTTGGGAGGCTGAGGCAAGAGAATCGCTTGAACCCGGGAGGCGGAGGTGGCAGTGAGCTGAGATTGTGCCATTGCACTCCAGACTGGGTGACAGGGCAAGACTCCGTCTTGAAAAAAAAAAAAAAAACCCAATAATACTGTCTTTCTACTTCCAGAACTATAAGCACACCCTTTGACTTACAAGGGATGCTAGTTTGTTCCTGTCATTAATGTCAGACAACGCTGCTAGTATAAAATAGAAATAAATAGGTAATCTGATTTGTTGCCAAATAGTATTTTAACCATTTGGTTAATACAAGGGAGAAAGACAAGGAAATCCCTACAAAACTTTATTTTAGGTTTCTTTGGAAATATACTTCTGCCTGTGGAACAGTTTAATCTTTCTTAACTTTCGCCTTTCTTCAAGGTACCTTTCCCCATTCTTTGTTTCTTCACAAACATTATCTAATAGGACTCCCAGATCTATTTTGAATAATTTCCTGACTACTTCGCGCAGGCATGATTTCTTCTCCTGAAGTTTTTTTGCCATTACGGTCTCTGCTAGGCATCCGATACTCACATGCTGTCTTGTACTATTAGTAATACTAACATGTATGAATGCCTTATGTCTCCAGCAACACCAACTTTCTTGAGTAATTGAGTCTTTCTCTTTCTCACTGCACCTAACACAGTTATGGGCACTAGAATGTAAGCTCCCTAATTTAGAAATTTTTGTTCATTGGTGTATTTGCAGTGCCTCGAAAGTGGCCAGGACATAACAGGTAATCAATAAGCATCTGTGGGGCCGGGCGTAGTGGCTCACACCTGTAATCCCAGCACTTTGGGAGGCCAAGGTGGGCAGATCACTTGAGGTCAAGAGTTCAAGACCAGCCTGGCCAACACTGTGAAACTCCATCTCTACTAAAAATACAAAAATTAGCCAGGCATGGTAGCGCGCGCGTGTAGCCCAGCTACTCGGGAGACTGAATCCCGAGAATGGGTTGAGCTCAGGAGGTGAAGGTTGCAGTGAGCTGAGATCGTGCCACTGCACTCAGGCTTGGGTGATGGAGCGAGATTCCGACTTAAAAAAAAAGCACCTGTGGGATGCATGAGAATGAATGTTAGTTCTTTACAAATTCTTGTTGATTAACTGGATGACTGAGAAGCCTTCAGGGTAGATAGTTTTCCTTAAGAAGCCTCCAGTGAGTTTCTAGAACCTTCAGACCAGTTTTCAAAGTTTTAAGGACGAATGCTGGTTGCAGATGAGTTGGAACAAGGGTGACAGACCTGTGAATCTGAATACAAGGAGAACTCAGGACAAGGGAGCTTCCTTCTCTGACCACAGCTTCCTACCACAGTTCCCACTTCCCAGTTCTTAGTACCTCAAACACCAAAATTTAATAATTCACACAGTCGGCTACCCTTTTTTGGGCCATATTTGATTTTTTTTTTCTATCGAGCATTCTGTTGTCCCATACTTCATGATGCCTTGAGAAGTTATCATTGCTATGAGCTAAGTTCAGTTAATTCTGTGCTTTGACAACTACTATGTACCTCTATTTGATCTTTGGACTTTGGACTTTTTCACCCCAATTTATCACTGCTGGACTAATCTTTCTAGAATATCACTTTCATGATGCTACTACCCCTATTCAAAAGTCCTTAATGATTGCTATACATCACCTACTTAAAAGATTTAAATTTCTTAGCTTTGTGCCCACAGCTCTGTGACCAAGTCCCCAGTAATCTATCTTCCCTGTTATTATCCAGAACTCCAGAACAGAACTTATTAGTTTTAACTACTCAAATGTACTCATGTCCCCCGAAATCACCTTGTGTTTTTGTATCTTTGAATTTATTTTTGCTCATGTGATCTAAATATCCCAACTTCTCTAAGTCCCTCTTTTTAACGTCCAAATTACAATTCTGCAAGACCCCTCTTCTTTAAGTTACTTTTGGAATTTTTTTTTTAAATTTATTATTATTACACTTTAAGTTTTAGGGTACATGTGCACAATGTGCAGGTTAGTTACATATGTATACATGTGCCATGCTGGTGCGCTGCACCCACTAACTCGTCATCTAGCATTAGGTATATCTCCCAATGCTATCCCTCCTCCCTCCCCCGACCCCACAACAGTCCCCAGAGTGTGACGTTCCCCTTCCTGTGTCCATGTGTTCTCATTGTTCAATTCCCACCTATGAGTGAGAATATGTGTTGTTTGGTTTTTTGTTCTTGCGATAGTTTACTGAGAATGATGATTTCCAATTTCATCCATGTCCCTACAAAGGATGTGAACTCATCATTTTTTATGGCTGCATAGTATTCCATGGTGTATATGTGCCACATTTTCTTAATCCAGTCTATCATTGTTGGACATTTGGGTTGGTTCCAAGTCTTTGCTATTGTGAATAATGCCGCAATAAACATACGTGTGCATGTGTCTTTATAGCAGCATGATTTATAGTCCTTTGGGTATATACCCAGTAATGGGATGGCTGGGTCAAATGGTATTTCTAGTTCTAGATACTTTTGGAATTTTTGAAGAATGCTCTCAGAAAGTCTCAGAAAGCCATTCTGTGGTCACTTGTCACCATGGCCAGTTGTCTCACTCCAGACAACCCCTCTTCTCTCACTTGATCACAGTTTGCTTTTACAAAGCCGGCTTCTACAGGCTGCGGCTGCTGCTCTCTAGGGACAATTTTTGCCACAGGCATGTTCCTGGGCTGCATATCTAATCCCATGCTGGGCAGCTAAATCCAGACTACAGTATGAATCCAGACTATAATAGTTTGCAAAATTTAACAAAAGGTTGAAGTATAACTAGAGGGATGACTGTACAGTAAATTTAAGGTGGGCACGTAGGTATGAAGGCTGCTAGAGTCCACCAGCTCAGCCCCTGCAGAGGAGGCTTCCATGCTGATGATCTATAACTCTCAGCACCAACCTTTCCTCCTCCCTCGCTTTCCACAGTCTCCACAGTTGCACTTCAAAGGCCAGTTTCTCTCTACCAACAGTACTTAGTCAGAGAATAGGCATGTATTGTCTTTCAAGTTCTAGGCATTGTGGACACAAAGGTAAACAAAATGGACACAGTACTTGTTTTCATGAAAGATATTAAACAAATTATAACAAATAGCTGCGCAAATAGTTCCAAGTGTACAAATGCTGCCAAAGAAATCCCTGGAGTCCGTGCTCAGGACCTCTACGTTCTCTGGGGCCTCCAAAGAGGAAAAACCAATTTTCCCATCTCTTCAGTCAATTAATAATAATCTATACAAAAGCAATTCTGGCCCCAAGAAGACAGCTTTTTACATTATTATGCAGACAGTTAACTGTTTCTCTTTTTTTTTCTTCATATTTCCTCAGTAGAGAATGCAGCCAAAATTCATGAGCACTTAAACTATGTGCCTGGCATCATTCAAAGACCAACATATGTATTAATTAATACAATTTTCCAAAAAAGGGAACTTATGAGGTAGTCCTATTATTATTATTATTATTATTTATTTTTATTTTATTTTTTGAGATAGAGTCTCGCTCTCTCGCCTAGGCCGGAGTGCAGTGGCGCGATTCAGCTCACTGCAACCTCCGCCTGCCGGGTTCATGCCATTCTCCTGCCTCAGCCTCCTGAGTAGCTGGGACTACAGGCTCCCACCAGTACGCCCAGCTCATTTTTCTTTTTTTTTTTTTTTTTTTTTTTTTTTTGTTATTTTGTTGTAGAGATGGGGTTTCACTGTGTTAGCCAGGATGGTCTCGATCTCCTGGCCTCGTGATCCGCCTGCCTTGGCCTCCCAAAGTGCTGGGATTACAGGCGTTAGCCACCGTGCCCTGCGAGGTAGTCCTATTATTTTTTTCCATTTTATAGAAAAGACAATTAAGGCGCAGAGAGTTAAGTAACCAGCTCAAGGTCACACAGCAAGTAATGGCAAATTAAAAAATCCAGGCAACCTGACAGCCCAGCCCAAACTCTTTATCACTACTCTATTATGCCTTATAATACAGATAATTTGCATAATCACAAATGAGTCATCAAATGATTTTTCCAAAACAATGGAGCAATCTTTCCTCAAAGGTCCTATCTACCTCCACCTTTAGAGCGGAGAAAAAATAGTGGCAATTCCTCAGTATCACTTTCCCATCTTTCGCCTCTGGACTTTCATCCAAGGGCCAAGCCCAGAGTACCTCGCCACATCATGTGCTCCCTTCAACTGCTGTTCTCTTCCATTACTGATATCCCACCAGTCTTTCCATAGAAGCCAGACTAAGCCTATCTTAGTTCAGAGTGATCTCTTCTATCTCTGAATTCATGCAACAATCACTATTGGTAGTCACACTCTTAAAGATTACCTTCCTAAATAGGTTTATAGGGAGTGTATGTTTCCCCAAAGTAAACTGCCCAGTGCCTTGCACAGAATTGGTATTCAAAAAGAATTACTGATTGGCCACTTGATTGATCGAAAGGGTCTCCAGGTCATAGGGAACTGTGAGGTAAGCAGCAAAGCTGGTAGCAAACAGACATTTCAGTTCTTGATTTTATGTTTTTATGTAATTTAAAAAAATCTATGGGTATTATGAGGATATCTAGAAAGTAGTTATTCATTCAATAAACATTTAATATGCCAAGTCATTGTGTTAGGTATTAGAAGTAAAACATACTCTTTCTCCTGAGCTCTATACCCAAATTGCCAGCTGCATTCCAGATTCAAATCCAGGTTCAAGTCCAAGATTATCGTCTTTATCCCACAACACAGAAACACATCTTTCAAACTTGCTCCTCCTCAAACCTCAACATTTCTTACAGGCTTCCCATGACCCATGGGATATATGTCAATGATTTTTGCCATCAAAATAAACCAAAAACAATCTAGGTTATACATTCATTCTATGAATGAAATAAGGAACAGTACTAAGATAACCTGCTTCTCACTCTTTGAACGACTTACTAATGCCATCAGGCAACTTTCTCTGTTTACATGTAGCTCTTGTATTAGCCGTGGGACAGCTGCAGTTTTAATTTATTATGTGATACAAGAGTTTACAACCACTTTCAGAACCTTTTTTTTTTCTGAGACGGAGTCTTGCTCTGTTGCCAGAGCTAGAGTACAGTGGCACAGCCTCGGCTCACTGCAACCTCACTTCCCGGGTTCAAGTGATTCTCTTGCCTCAGCCTCCTGAGTAGCTGGGACTACAGGCACACACCACCACAGCCAGCTAATTTTTGTACTTTTGGTAGAGACGGGGTTTCACCATGTTGGCCAGGATGGTCTCGATCTCTTGACCTCGTGATCCGCCCGCCTTGGCCTCCCAAAGTGCTGAGATTACAGGCGTGAGCCACCGTGCCAGGCCCCAGAACGTTACTTCTTTACTGAGGCTTATAAGTGGAACAAATGAAGCAAAAGAATTGTTATGCTTTGCCTAGCTTTACAGATGTAAACGCTTGTGCAATGAAGAAATGTAATTAAATGAAACAAGTTAAATAAACTAACAATTCATATTAATGATCAGTGGTAGACATGTTTAGTTTTCTGCTACATTTTCAATCCATAATTAATTAGCTTATAAATTAAAATACATGGAAAATTGAGGATTCACTTGAATCACAATGCAACAAATATGAACTAGATTTCTAATTCCTTGTAACTTTCTGTAAAAATTCCACAACTTTTTTGGTATAGATTTTATTATGGATGAAATTTGATCCCCGGTTAGTATTCCACACAAATTTTTAAAAAGGCATCTTGGTGTTTGCTTTCTTCTGCTCTAAGTAGGCTCCTTACATTTTTCTTGAATTAATTTGCAAAGTATATGTTTATCTATAAGTTAGTATTAAGATAGAAAAATGATAAATACAAAATAGTAGAGGTACATAATCTGAAAGAACATTAAGACATGTCTCCCACACCATAACAGTGGTATAAAACATGAAGGTGACGCCTGATAGGATCCACAATAAAGTAAGAAAATGTCTGTTCATGATTCTTTGCTGAAGGATAGCACATACCAGCAGAATCCTGAAAAAGACAAACCTAAATTATTATTATTTTATTTTATTTATGTATTTATATATTTATTATTATTATTTTTTGAGACAGAGTCTTGCTCCGTCGCCCAGGCTGGAGTGCAGTGGCGCGATCTCGGCTCACTGCAACCTCTGCCGCACGGGTTCAAGTGATTCTCCTGCTTCAGCTTCCCGAGTAGCTGGGATTACAGGCATGTGCCACCATGCCCAGCTAATTTTTGTGTTTTTAGTAGAGACAGGGTTTCAGCATCTTAGCCAGGCTAGTCTTGAACTCCTGACTTTGTGATCCACCTGTCTCGGCCTCCCAAAAGGCTGGGATTACAGGCTTGAGACACAGCACCCGGCCAATCCTAAATTAGTTAGTATACAACTACATTTAAGTGATAATCAATATATTTGCCTATTATGTATTTTCTGTCAAAACAGGAAACATGGATAAAATCTTTGACAATAAATTGGCAGTTAATTAATGATTTAAAATATTTATGGACAGCACAGTCTACTATGATAGGAATACATATGTACTATACTTACATGCATAATTTTTGTCTTTAAGGAATTTATAGTCCAAAGACAAATCCCATCATTTTAAAAAAAGTGCTTTTAAAGTGCTAATATTGCAACAATTTTATATTTAGCAATTTTCTATCTTTGTTTTCTCTTTTTTTTTTTAAATTTTTTTTGGAGTTGGAGTCTTACTCTTTTGCCCAGTCTGGAGTACAGTATTGGTACCACCACAGCTCACTGCAACTTTTGCTTCCTGGGTTCAAGCAATTCTCATACCTCAGGCTCCCAAGTAGCTGGGATTACAGGCGTCTCCCACCACACCCGGCTAATTTTTTGTATTTTTTGTAGAGATGGGGTTTTACCATGTTGGCCAGGCTGGTTTTGAACTCCCGACCTCAAGTGATCTGCCCTCTCAAAGTGCTGGGATTACAGGCATGAGCCACTGCACGGGGTGGGGACTATGTTTCTTTTGTTTATCACTGTGACTTAGCCCAGTACAATAGCTGATACACAGTATATATTTAATAAATACTTGTTAAGTGATTGAATGAAGATACTTAGAAACTGCTTCGAATGTAATAATATCTTTTGTATAATACTGAAATTCAAGTACCAGATTCTATGTATAAAGACACATTTATGGCATTCTTTTTTTTTTTTTTTTTTAGATGGAGTCTCGCTCTGTTGCCCAGTCTGGAGTGCAGTGGCATGATCTCGGCTCACTGCAACCTCCGCCTCCCAGGTTCAAGCAATTCTCCTGCCTCAGCCTCCCCAAAGCTGGGACTACAGGCGCGTGCCACCATGCCCGGCTAATTTTTTGTATTTTTAGTAGAGACGGGGTTTCACAGTGTTAGCCAGGATGGTCTCGATCTCCTGAGCTCGTGATCTGCCTGCCTCGGCCCCCTAAAATGGGATTACAGGCGTGAGCCACCGGGCCCGGCGACATTTGTGGCATTCTTATTTATCTGCCCTATAAATGATGGTTTGACAGACTAAGAGAACTGTGTTCTACTCTATCTGAGTCACAGATTTAGCTCTAAAATAAGTAGGCAATGTTATTAGATACAGATGACAGAAAGGAAGCCAGGGAAAAAAGTTCAAATTGTTCTCCAAACAAAAGCATACTCTATCAACTTTTAATTTTAACAAAACTCTAAATAACATTGTCTTTTCTCCTAGGCATAACATTGTCCTGATTGTTAACTCCAGTTGTAACAACTCTATTAATAAAAAGTAATTAAATTCTTTGGTTGCAAAAGTTCTCTCACACTTACATAAGCTGAAACTTTAAAGACAGAAGAGGTAATCTGTATTTTCTTGGTTTGAGGATTCTTTCGAACACTAAAAAAAGGAAGAAAAGGTGCTTTTAACATATAATAGGCATTGGCATATACATTTAAGTAATGATCCCTTTTAGTATTTAAGTGTTCTTATTCATATAGAACATGGAAATACATACTATCCAACTAAGTGGTTTGAAAAAATGGCATCTGAGGCTTCATTCAAGAATGGGCAAGGTCAACTGAATTGAAATAGCAGAAAATTGAATCTTACAGTTAGAAGGTTTAAGGTCAGTCTGAGACTCAGATGATGAAATTACCTTCCCAGGCTACAGAGACAATTATTGGATGAATAGGGATTTGTAAAAATCAGACTGAAGTGTAAACAGCCATACGGGGTAGATAAAAGCATGATAGACTGAAGACTTAAACAATGTAAATACAAATGCTAGTTCTTTCACTTTGAGTAGGATTAACCTTTCTGAGACTCAATTTTCTCATATGTAAATTGGGAATAATATGTTCCTTTTAGTATATGAAAATCAAATGAGATAATGTATATAAAAACTATTTGTGGGCCGGTCGCGGTGGCTCATGGCTGTAATCTCAGCACTTTGGGAGGCCTAGGCAGGCAGATCACCTGAGGTCGGGAGTTCGAGACCAGCCTGACCAACATGGAGAAACCCTGTCTCTACTAAAAATACAAAAACATAGCCTGTAATCCCAGGTACTCGGGAGGCTGAGGCAGAAGAATCGCTTGAACCTGGGAGGCGGAGGTTGCGATGAGCCAAGATTGCACCATTGCACTCCAGTCTGGGCAACAGGAGCGAAACTCCATCTCAAAAACAAACAAACAAACAAACAAATCCCAAAAAACCCCAAACAACTATTTGTTAAATTATATATTGCTAAGTTATATCATATTAAAAATAATTTTTTTCAGTAGTTTTCTTTCAGTTACTCTCCCCACAAAAGATTTCCTATGGCAATATGTAGTGAGAAAGCAAACTAAGGATTGAGAAAATAAGCTACAGACATATATTTATAATTTGTTACATATATATAAATAAATATACACACACTTTATATTTATAATGCCTTACAGTTTGTAAAACATTTTTTACACAATTTTTAACTTTTTATTATTTTTTATTTTTGTAGAGACAAAGTCTTGCTAT
Organism: Homo sapiens; assembly: GCF_000001405.40. Taxonomy (NCBI): domain Eukaryota; kingdom Metazoa; phylum Chordata; class Mammalia; order Primates; family Hominidae; genus Homo; species Homo sapiens. The sequence goes on along the minus strand of NC_000011.10, from coordinate 102,080,097 downwards.
ATTGCCCAAGCTGGTCTTGAAACCCTGGCCTCAAGAGATCCTTCTGCTTTGGCCTCCCAAAGTCCTGGGATTACAGGTGATGGCCACTGCACCCTGCCTCCAAAATACCCTTATATACATGACCTCATTTAAAGATCACACAACTCATTGAGGTAGGCATTATTTTGTCAATTTTATGGACAATATAACTAAAGAAGCTAAATGCTATAATTAAGATAAGCTAAATAAAAGTGGTATTTCTGGGAATAGAATACAGGTGACTCAGAGTCCAGTCATCTTTCTGTTACACCTCAGCTGCTCATCCCAGACCTATACACTCTATAAATATTTAATACATAGGTATCAAAGGTATTATTAATGTGTGACATGTATAGGTAAAATTTAAAGAAAGATACCCTCTTCTCTACTTTTTTAGGTGTAAGTATTGCTTCTCCATCTACTACATATGTAAAAGTAATTGGAAGAGGGAGAGAAGAAAGAAGAGGAGGAGGAAAAAGGAAGACTCAGTTTGAGCGGTGTGTGTGTATGTATGGTTGAGCTTGTGTACCTTTTGGGGATGACCAGCCATAGCCATTTCAGGGTTCAACAATCTTAGGTGGTTTTCATCTCTACTAGATATTTCATTTAGACTTAAACCCAGGATTAAATTGATTTCCAAATATTTCTATGACATAGGTCAAGTTCATTTTCTTTTGATTTCTCTATTGCTTAACATACTGCTTAAAAGTTGAATACTACTTTTAAGATTTTGTGCTTACCCAAGGGATGACTATAACCACTATATATAAAATACTTTGCATACACCTATATAATCACCTAGGTCAATATAAATAACATATCTATGGTTATATCTAATTCTAAGTATTGATCTGTGGGTGGTTATATGGTATAAACATACATAAAGATTCACCAAATTGTATGTATATTTATGATTTATTCATTTTACTATACATAAATTATTTCCGTTTAAAAATCTGAGGAAAGAAAAAACTTTGTAAAAGTGTTCATCAAATCAGTTTAGAGGAAAATTTAGTATTTGATATCAGAACAATCACTTAACACATATAAACATGTACCACAAGTATATCGGCCGGGCACGGTGGCTCACACCTGTAATCCCAGCACTTTGGGTAGCCGAGGTGGGCAGATTGCCTGAGGTTAGGAGTTCTAGACCAGCCTGGCCAACATGGTGAAACCCCGCCTCTACAAAAAATACAAAAATTAGCTGGGCCATGGTGGCATGCGCCTGTAGTCCCAGTTACTGGGGAAGCTGAGGCACGAGAATTGCTTGAACTCGGTAGGCGGAGGTTGCAGTGAGCCGAGATTGCACCACTGCATTCCAGCCTGGGCGATAGAGTGAGACTCCATCTCAAAAAAATAAAAAAAAACAAAACAAAAACAAGTAATTGTTTTAGAAAGAAACCACCATTTGTACATTATTAGACGTTAGTTTCTAATAGAAAGAAATCATATTATTCTGTTGCCTCTGATCCTACATTAGTATTACTTTAAAATATCTCTAAAATAATTTGTCTAATTTTTTATAGGCCTAGCAAGAAAGTACAGTTATCATCTGTCCTATATCTCTTAAGAAAAAAGGAAAAGGAAATATAAAGTGATATTGATTAGTGCTCTATGGTGTTCTACTAATAATTGCATTATATCAGATCTTTATCCATCACTAACTCCATCCTCTGATAACCATGGTTTTTAAGGATAAAGAAACATAATTTCCACATAATATTTTTTAAAAGTGTAATTATATTAATGGTTTGGACATAATATAGTTGTTTCTTGTCAATGTCATTTGCGATTATTTCTGAGGATCAGTCCCATATTGACTCTAAACTCTGGGGTGTCCAGACTATTCTAAGTAACTCTGCACATTTTAAAAAACAAGGACCTGACTGGGCGCGGCGGCTTACACCTGTAATCCCAGCACTTTGGGAGGCTGAGGCAGGTGAATCACCTGAGTCCAGAAGTTTGAGACCAGCCTGGGTAATATGGTGAAACCCTGTCTCTACAAAAAATATGAAAAACTTAGCCAGGTGTAGTGGTGTGTGCTTGTGATCCCAGCTATTCGGGAGGCTAAGGTGGGAGGACTACGTGAGCCCAGGAGGCAGACGTTGCAGTGAGTCGAGATTGTGCCACTGTACTTCAGCCTGGGCAACAGAGTGAGACCCTGTCTCAAAAAAAATAAAAAGATAAAAAATAAATAAAATAGGCCAGGTGCAGTGGCTCACGCCTGTGATCCCAGAACTTTGGGAGGCTGAGGCGGGCAGATCACCCGAGGTCAGGTGTTTGAGACCAGCCTGGCCAAAATGATAAAACCCCGTCTCTATGAAAAATAAAGAAATTAGCCAGGCATGGTGGCTTGTGCCTATAATCCCAGCTACTTGGGAGACTGAAGCAGGAGAATCCCTTGAACCCAGGAGGTGGAGGTTGCAGTGAGCTGAGATCGCGCCACTGCACTCCAGCCTGGCCTGGGTGACACGGTGAGACTCCGTCTCAAAAAATAAATGATTAAAATTTAAAAAATAAAAAAGGTGTGTTTTATAGGACCTGTTATAATGGATGAGGAAGAAAATATTTTAATAACATTTTTACCCTTTTGTTTGAGTTAGAGACTCCTAAAATCACACGCTGTAGTGTGCTCCCAACATGTACAAACATAAGGGATGGACTGTGCTAGAATGGATTAGCAATAATATTTATCTGCAAGGGCAGGTTAGACACTGTAAAGCAGTCATACTTTTTCTTAGCATCCAAAAATGTAGAAGAGAATCACAGGTGAGAATCTGGAGAAGGGAATGTTGGGAAAAATAGCAGTTTCTTCAATGTGTAGGTTCTAAACTTATTTCTACTTCAAATATCTCCAACACAATCTCCTCCTCCACAGCACACAGTAGTGAGGAATTCCACAGGTTCATGTGGCGGATGGGGTACAACGCGTTGTGGTAGTAGTGGTAGTAGTATGTGTGTACGTGCATGAGTGCGTGTGTGTGTGTGTGTATGTGTAGGGTATACAGAGAAGTATCTTCAGGGAGTGCTAGAAGCAGTCTAGCAGGTTTACATGAACTTCAAATAATTAGGACAGTATGTTTGATATATTAATAGGTATGTGTATGCTTTTTCTGAAATTCTGTTTCTAACATATCTTCTTCCAATAATCTGTATGTGTTGACAATAACTTGTTCATTAAAATCACAGAGAGATTATAGAAACATTTTTCTGTTTTTAAAACCATAAAATAAATTAATTGCATAACTAAATTATGCAGTTTGCTGTATAGCTATATGACACATGGAATGGATATGAGAATTAAGGTGTTGAGTATAAGTAAAGTAACAATTATGAGTCCAATGAGAAGCTAATTCTTGTTTTCTCCTATTAAAGTAAAATTATATAACTAACTTTTAAGATCTTTTGCTTTCTATTGTTTTGCCTATTAAGATGATCCAATATCTTCATAACTGAAAAACCCAACCAAAGAACATTCATTTCAGTTAAAAGAAAGGTACAAATAAGAAATTTGTAAGGTTTTAATTCTCATTTGATCTTCAAAAAGAAAAATGCTACTAGAATACTTCAAACTGCATAAGCACTGGGATTAATTTGAAAAGGTAAAGATTACACCTACGTGAAAATTCTTCCACTTCTTTGGAACAAAGGTAATAATTGTTTTTACTATTAGTTAAGCAAACTCAAACATCTGGAGGGATCTCTTGTGTTCCCTTCAGATTTAAAAGGAGGCTTGGTAAGAAAAAAAGAAGGCTTGGAAGATGGCAGTTTGTAACAGGTCTGAATGAGGAAAAAAGCAGAAGAGCTAGATGAAGAATGAGGGGACTGAGAACTAAATGAGAGAGAAATCCAGAAATCTTTCTATTCTGGAAGAGAGGGGGAAGGTTATGAGAGGGGGGTAAGGGTAGAGCTTTTTATATGCTTTGGTTGTTAATATAACCACTGAATGATGTTGTGTAATTCCATCAAGGTTAAGCAAATAATTTATTCTATTAACTAGAGATTTACATATTGTGATCTAGCAACATTACCTCACCAGATCCTTATAGATAAGCTTTGTTGTTTCCAGATATGGGCTAATCACATCCTCATATTGACAAAGGGCTCCACCAAGGCAAAGATGTTTGAAAAGACAAAACAGGAACTCTTCTCTATCTGGTTGGCTGAATATTTCATATTTTTCTGAGTCTTCCACTAGCAAAACCTAAGACGATAAAATTCATCTTAATGTAACATAACTCAAGATTTTTACTTTTGTTTTCAAAGGTTTCATTTTATAGACTTAAAAATAATCTTACACCTATTTTAAGAACCAATCTTGAGTCAACTGAAGAGAGTAACCTGTAATCTGCATTTATTTGCCTCTATTTTATCATTAGGAACTGACATTCAATGAAAAGAACAAATCAAAATTTAAAACACAGTGGCTAAGTCTTCCCTCCTTCCACTTTATTTCTTTTTTCTAGTTTATATTTTTAGTAATTGTTTTAGTGTTATGTCACCTCAAATCTTATTTGGAAATAAATAGGAGCATAAATAAATGAGGACACTTCTCCATCCCATAAGGCCTCCGTCTTGGCTTCTACCCAGAGACTAAACGGTCATTTTCTAAGCTCTCTCCTCTTATGGATTTTGGATCACGATTGTTCTTACTCCCACAAGTACTCCTTTTTGAACCATTCAGGTGCTGGAGCCTCATATCCAGCTCTCGCTTTCCTGCTCTCATCTAGTAAGATCACTTCACACATCACCTATTGACACTGACTCTTGCTCTTCTGAGGTCTTGCTACCTCATACAGAAAGCAGAAAACTAGATCCGATGTAGGGGATTTTCTTATGCCATTGGGAAATACAGACCACTGATTCATTTATCGATTGTAGTGGGTATAAAAAGGTGACCAATGTAAGATATAACATATATTTTTTCCACTGGATTGTTTATATCCTACCTACTTTATTTTTTCTTTTTTTAGAGATGGAGTCTCACTATGTTGCTCAGGCTGGTGTCAAACTCCTGGGCTCAAGTGACCTTCTTGCCTCAGCCTCCCTATTTTAAAAATAGAATGTGAAGGCTGGGCATGGTGGTTTGTGCCTATAATCTCAGCACTTTGGGAGGCCATGGCAGGAGGATCGCTTGAGGCCAGGAGCTTGAGGCCAGCCTGAGCAACACAGTGAGACCTCATCTCTACTAAAACCACCCCCCAAAATAAGCTGGACGTGGTGGTGAATGCCTGTAGCCCTAGTGAATCAGGAGGTTGAGGTGGGAGGATTGCTTGAGCTCAGAAGATGATTGAAGCTGCAGCGAACTGTGACTGCACCACTGCACTCCAGCCTGGGTGACAGAGGAAAAAAAAAAAAAGAATGTGAAATAACTAAAAGTAAAATATAGATATAATAAGACCCAAATAATAAAGGACAAAAAAACTATGGTCAAGAAATAAAGTGGAAAAAAAAATACATATAAACAACTTTACATGGGAGGGATGTCAAGATGGTTGACTAGAAGCATCTGGCACTCACTTCCTGAACAAAGTAGAACCAAAATAGCAAGTAGATAATCACACTTCAAAGAGGGCATCTAAGAGAGAATACTGGAATTCAACAGAGAGGTGACAGGAAACACACAAGCACAGAAGGAGCTGGGATTGGCTGGGAGTCTGGAGAGGCTTCCCAATGCAGGAAAATGGTAAGTGAAAGACCCCAGCAGTCTACATTTCTACTGTGGACTCCTGCAATCCTCACCATGGGAGAGCTCCTCAACCCTCATGGGCCCAGAGACTAGTAATAGGCAGCTGCCTGGAGACCACACAATGGCACTGCTCCAGAGAGGAACTCATGCTGGCTCCCACCACCCCTCCCCCACCTCCAAGTCCTAAGCAGCTGCAGGATGGCACCATTTTGAGAATCCAACTCCTACCGGACTGCATCCTTCCTTGGGGCCCAAAAGTCCCTGCATCTCCACATCCCTAGAGCCCCAATGACATCCCCAAATGTCCACATGGACTCTGCATGGTGTCTTGTACCCCAGGGAATGAGTGACGCAGTACACTGAGGAGGCTGCCCTTGAGACAAAGGGAGACAAAGTATGTGTTCCCCAGAGCCTGAAACCCACTTACCTGGGGCCGCTGTCACTGATAGCAACCTTGCCACCACCAGCAGGAGGTCTACCACGCACTTGCATGTTCCCTGAAGATGGGATCTCCCACCCACAGCTGAGGGGCTGAAACATATGCCACTGGCAGCAACCTTGTACCCCCCATTCCCTTGGTAGCAGGGCCACTACACACTTGCATGTGCCCTGAAGACTGGCTCTCCCTACTGTTGCTGCCACTACTGCCATGGCCACTGTTGCTGGGGGCTGAAATGTGTGCTCTCCAGAACCCAAGAGCCGCCTGCCAGTGGCTGCAGCCACTGACAGCAACCCCACCCCACCCCATGCAGCAGGGCCACAGCTCCCTTGCACATGCCCTCAGGATGAGCTTTCTCCACTCATTGCCCATGCTGCTTCCATCTGAGCACTTTGCTAGGGGGCTTGAGGATCACCCTGCCCAACTCACAAGAGGATCCGCCTGAATGTACCACTGGAGGACCTGAGGACAGCCCCTCTGGCCTGGCACTGTCCCCCATCCAGTGCCCAAGCACACCCAGGACTCTGGGGTTTGCCCCGTCCCCTCCACCACTGCTGACATCTGGGTGCTCCTCTTGGGGATCTGAGCACAGGCCTACTCAACTGGCTACCACCATAGCAGCTGGAACCCACCCATACTTGCTCCCTGGGGGCCTGGGGATTGGCCTGCCTAGCACATCACAGCCACCACTAATATAAGTGTGTATTGCTTGGGAACCCAAAAGTTGTCCCACCACTGCTACAGCCATCATCCATTTAATGCACACTGCCTGAGGACCCAAACACACATCCACACACCCAGCCCACCACTAACACTGCTGGCACATGAGCAAGCTGCGTGGAGGCCCAAGAATCAGCCTGCTTGGACCTGCTAACACCACTGCCTGCCTACACTGCTCAGGGGCCCAAGGACAGGTGTGCTTTGGCCAGCTGCTGCCACTACTGGGGCCCAAAAACTGGCCTACCTGTCCCCAGCAAAACCTCACCCCAGCCTCTACTAACAATTGCAACCTAAGCCACTGAGGAAAACACAGACACCAGTGATGCCAAGTACACCTGAATAAATCATATGGAGACTACACTACTGCATACACCCAGAATCAAAACCAAAATGCTCTACCCAACGAACACCGTAAGTACATCTTCGGGAAAAAGTCTTCTCCTAAAAAAGCCAATCCAATAAATTCAAAGAAGTGACTAGATGCACAGATATTAATATAAGGACACAAGAAATATGAAAAAGGAAGAAAAGATGACACCTCCAAAGGAACACAATAATTCTCTAGCAACAGATTTAATAAAAAATAAATTTATGAGCTATAAGAAAAAAATTCAAAATAATGATATGGCCAGGCATGGTACCTCACACCTGTAATCCCAAAACTTTGGGAGGCTGAGGTGGGTGGATCACTTGAGCCCAAGAGTTTGAGACCAGCCTGGGCAACATGGTGAAACCCTGTCTCTAGTCCTAAAAAAAAAAATTCTCTCAAAAAATTAATGATATTAAAGAAGCTCAGTGAGATACAAGAAAGCACAGATAAAGGATACAAAGAAATCAGAAAAACAATTCAGGATATGAATGAGAAATTCACCAAAAAGATGGATATCATTAAAAAGCACCAAACAGAAATCCTAGAACTGAATAATTCAATGAATGAAATAAAAGATTCAATTGAGAGTTTCAACAATAGACTACATAAAGCCAAAGAAAGAGTTTCAGAACTTGAAGACAGGTCTTTTGAAGTAACCCAGTCAGACAAAAAAAAAAGAGAAAAAGAATGAACAAAGCCTACATTACATATAGGATACCATAAAGCAAACACAGTTTTGAATTATGGGTGTTCCAGAAGGTGAAGAGAAGCCCAAAGGCATAAAAAAAATCTATTTAACAAAATAATAGCTGAAAACTTTTCAATTCTAACAAGAGATTTAGACGACCAGATACAGGAACCTTAAAGATCCCCAAATAAGTACAACCCAAAAAGGTCTTCTTGAAGGCACATTATCATCAAACCATCAAAAGTTAAAGAAAAAGAATTCTAAAAACAGCAAGAGAAAGAGAATTCTAAAAACAGCAAGAGAAAAGTGTCTAGCCACATATAAGGAAACCCTCAATAGACTCACAATGGATTTCTCAGAAGAAACCTTACAGGCCAGTAGAGGATGGGATGATTCAAAGTGCTGAGAGAGAAAACAAAGAAAAAAACTAGCAGCCAAAAATACTATACCCAGCAAAATTATCCTTCATAAATAAAAGAGAAAGTATTTCCTAGACAAGCCAAAATGGAAGGAATTCATCATCACTAGGCCTGCCCTGTAAGAAATGGTTAAGGGAGACCTATACCTGAAAGCAAAATTTGAAAACACAGAAAGGATTCAAATATTGCCACTAAAGAAAACCACCAAACCCCAAAGATAAACAAAAATAGAAAAAGGAACAAAAGATATACAAAATAACCAAAAAAATTAACAAAATGACAGAAGTATGTCCTCACATATCAATAATAACCTTGAATATAAACAGACTAAATTTTTCACTTAAAATGTGTAAACTGGCTGAGTGGATTAAAAAACAACAACAACACATGATCCAACTAACTATATGTTGCCCATAGCAAACTCACTTGACCTGTAAATAAAACAGTAAAAAGGGACTAAGAAACTCATTATATAATGCTAATGGGGTCAATTCAGGCAGAGGATATACTATTCTAAATATATATGCATCCAACACCAGCAGACATAAATATATAAAGCAAATATTATTAGAGCTAACAGAAGAGACAGACTCTAATACAGTAATAGTTGGGAAATTCAACACCCCACTCTCCACATTAGCCAGATCATCTAGACAGAAAATTAATAAAGAAACACTGGATTTAAACTGCACTCTAGACCAAATAGACATCTACAGAACATTTCATCCAACAGTTACAGAATATCTATTCTCATCAGCACATGGAACATTCTTCAGGATAGACCATATGCTGAGTCACAAAACAAGTCTCAACACACTTAAAAAATTGAAAACATACCAAGTATCTTCTCATACTGCAATGGAATAAAACTAGAAATCAATAACAAAAGAAATTTTGGAAACTATACAAATACATGAGAACCAACAACACGTATTCCTGAATGACCAGTGAGTAAATGAACAAATTCAGAAGAACAATTTAAACTTTCTTGAACAAATAAAAATGGAAATATAATATACCCATGCCTATGGAATATAGCAAAATTAGTGCTAAAAGAGAAGTTTACAGCAAAAAATGCCTACATCAAAAAAGTACTAAGACTTCAAATAATCTAATGATGCACCTCAAGAAACTAAAAAAGCAAGAACAAACCTAAGTTAGTATAAGGAAATAAATACCAGAGCACAAATAAACAAAATAGAGACAAAAATAAATAAATAAACAAACAAACAGGAACTCCAGATGGAGAAAGGCTATCAAAATTGTACATTACACTTAACACTACCATACAAGGGTAAAAGGAAAATACAATGAATTATACAACAATCACTGTCTAGTAGCAAGTGCACTTAATTATGAAAATTGATTAAGCTCATTCACAGTCTCTACAGAAAACTTACCAACAGGTCTTTGCATATAAGAAGTATTTAAAAAACTCAACTCTATGGTGTTGTCCATACACAGTTTATTTATAATGCCTTGATGAAAACCAAGGTTAGGTATGTCTAGGAAAATATAGGTAAGGGAAAGCAGTCCATACTTAATTGCTCTCTGGGTGTGCCACATGTAACACTTGCATATCTCCACTTCCTTCCTTCCTCCCTCTTTCCCTCCCTCTGTAAGAAAATGATGATGTGTTATTGAGGCCCATGTTTGCAACTATCTGAAGATCTGGCTTAAGAGAAAGGTGAATAAAGTACTTAGGAATGAATAGTTAACACATTTCTTACATGAATACTCTCATATATTGAACTGATTAGGCTGTGCAATTTTTGGGGGGTGGAGGAGACAGGGTCCCACTCTGTTACTCAGGCTGGAGTGCGATGGTGCCATCTTGGCTCACTGCAGCTTCAACTTCCTGAGTTCAGGCAATCCTCCCACCTCCGCCTTCCAAGTAGCTGAGACTACAGGTACACGCCACCATGACCAGCTAATTTTTTTTCTTTTTTTAGATGGAGTCTCGTTCTGTCACCCAGGCTGGAGTGCAGTGGCGCAATCTCAGCTTATTGCAACCTCCGCCTCCTGGGTTCAAGCGATTCTCCTGCCTCAGCCTCCCTAGTAGCTGGGATTACAGGCGCATGCCACCATGTCTGGCTAATTTTTGTATTTTTAATAGAGTCTGGTTTTCACCATGTTGGCCAGGCTAGTCTTATACTCCTGGTCTCAAGTGATCCACCCGCCTCTGCCTCCCAAAGTGCTGAGATTACAAGCATGAGCCACCATGCCCGGCTAGGCTGTGTAATTTAAAAAAATATAATAATTTTTAAAAATTTTTTGGAATGAATGTGAAAACATAATATTCTATGGCTTTTCTCCCTCTCCATTCACATACAGATCTCTTCAGCTACGTAGCTCTTAGAGGTCACACTTCTGAGCCACAGTCAGGAAAGTGGTTATTAGTACTTACTACATTACAGTGAGGCAATACAATCTGTAGTGCTGCACAATGGGGGACCCTTTTTAGTTCAGGCTGAAGCTGGATGTTAGTTTTATTTTTTATCAGCCAGAAAGCAACCAAGTTAAAAGCCTTTCCTCCCTATTGCCACAGAGTAGCAATGAACCCAAGAGCAAGCCATACAGGCAACTAGTAGAAAAACACTGAGCTCCAGCATTTCATGAATAAAGGTGCTATTCATGGCAATAAATAAGACAGACAGCAAGCAGTTTTGCAGAGTATTCTGTTGGAAAACTAATACTTCTTTTTTAAAAAAAATGTCCACTGATGATGCTCTTTCTGTAGAAGTGACAGTGAATTATCTAAAATTAGAGGTAAGGGTCTTTAGACCCTTATGCCAGAGAAGAAGTGTGAGAGAGAAGAGCTGACAGTAGTATCCAAAAGGAGGGAAACCCAGACCAAACATTTCCTGATTAGTAATTTCCAATCCTTGGTAAGGAGAAGTAGAAATTAATATGAGATCCCTACTGCATAGTATTTTTTGTTTTGTTTTGTTTAATTTCTTCTTTTGAGACGAAATCTTGCTCTTTCACCTAGGCTGGAATGCAGTGGTGTGATCTCAGCTCACCGCAATCTCTGCCTCCCGGGTTCAAGGAATTCTTGTGCCTCAGCCTCCCAAGTAGCTGAGATTAGAGGCACCCACCACCACACCTGGCTAATTTTTGTGTTTTTAGTAGAGACAGGGTTTTGCCATATTGGCTAGACTGGTCTCGAACTCCTGACCTCAGGTGATCTGCCCACCTTGGCTTCCCAAAGTGCTGGGATTACAGAAGTAAGCCACCACGCCCAGCCATGTATATTATTTATATTATCTCATGTTAGATATACTTCATTTACCTAAGAGCAAACTATATGTAGTCTCATTCAATTGTGTGTATTTGGGTATTCTCAGTAAGTTAATTTTATTTTCTTCTTTAACTAAGTTAATGAGTGCTTTTAGGTATTGCCTTAGTGTAGACTGGTTGGATACCTCCCTTTCTCCTACAGACAAGATTCCTGTGTCCGGAATGATGGATCAGTAGCTTCCCTAGTTCACTGCTATCTGGATTTGTAATACATCAGACTTGTACGTCTCCCTTCTCTCTTAATTAAGGATAATAATAACAGTAGTAATTAATAGTAGTTGTTAATATTTTGGAAAACTTACTAAGCTCCAGCCATTGTGCTAAGCAGAGTAAGTGCATTATCTCACATAATTCTCACATTATGCCTACTTTATAGATGAAGAAACTGAAGCTTAGAGAAGTTAAGGATCAGTTACTAAGTGACAAAGACTGGATTTGAACATATGGCTATTTGACATGAAAGCCCTCATTTTTAACTACTTTAATACTCTCAATAATTGTAACGATGATAATATCAATAATACATTTCTTTTTTCTGTTTTTTAGAGACAAGGTCTCACTCTGTTGCCCAGACTGGGGTGCAGTGGCACAATCATAGCTCACAGCAGCCTCAAACTCCTGGGCTCAAGCAATCCTCCCACCTCAGCTTCCCAAGTAGCTGGAACCACAGGTGCGCTCCACTGCACCTGGCCTATTTCTTCATATTTTTGTAGAGATGAGGGTCTTGCTCTGTTGTCCAAGCTGACATTTCATTTTAACAGCATTTGATATTTCTAAAAGGTACATGTAAATGCTTCAATTAATTTTCTCAATGATTTTAGGAAGAAGGTAGAATGGGCACTTTCATCTTCATGTTGTATAGATAAGATCTTGAGGCTCAAAAGATTGAGAAATTTGCCTAAGACTATTATCTTCTAAATAATAAATCAGGAATCAGGTAAATAATCTATATAATTTAATTCCAAGTTCAGTGTACTTTTCACTGAAACAAATTTGAATTTAGTTAATCCAATGGCTTTGTTGATATTAGCAATGAGATAAAAAGATTCTTTTACTCCTGGGATGTTTTTATTTATTTATCTAAGTTTATTTTTGAGACAAGGTCTTGCTCTGTCGCCCAGGTTGGAGTGCAGTGGCATGATCACAGCTCATTGCAGCCTTGACTTCCCAGACTCAATCTTCTCACTTCAGCCTTCCGAGCAGCTGGGACTTCAGCCTTCCAGGCAGCTGGGAATACAGGTGTGAGCCACCAGCCTTGGCTAACTTTCGTAGTTTTTGTGGACAGGGTTTTGCTATGTTGCCCAGGCTGGTCTTGAACTCCTGGGCTCAAACCACCCACCTGCCTCAGCCTCCCAAAGTGCTGGAATTACAAGCGAGAGCTACTGTGCCCAGCTCCGGGATGTTTTTAATATTCATTTGATAAGTTAAAAGGCCCACATTGAGCAAAAATGGCCTTATTAAATAGGCCAGGACTTTCCTGCTTCAGCACTATAGATAATTTGAGCCAGATAACTTTGTTGTGACTGTCCTGTGAGTTATATGACGTTTCGCAGCATCTCTACCCATCAGATGTTAGTAGCACCTATTTGAGAATTACTAAAATACACAAATAATTAAGTTGATGGTTAAAGTGCCATCTAAGTAGAAATCTACCAATGTTAGGATTATTACCGATCATTACTTATAAATAGGTGGTATTTTATGACAAGGTATTTTATGCTTTAAGCAGGCAAAGTTTTTGCCATTTTTGCATTTCCTGAAATAAAATTCCACTGCGAAATTTTAAAATTCTGTACTTACTCTTCGTAACTCATCAGAAATGAGAAATGGATCACAAAAAGAATCTAAACATTTAACAATATGTCCACTGTCTCGTACAATATCTTCATCATATAACCGATGAAAAAATGACATTGAAAGCTGTGTGCAAGGAACATTTATAGCTTCAATTTTTTTCACTTCAGTTCCTGAAAAAAGATATTTTATAAAGAATGGAGATAGAAAAATTAATTTAGTATTCTCAACTATTTCCAAAATAAATCGCTATGCAGAAATTCTAAGAAGTTAACAAATATGACATTTTTGATATATTTAAAATATATATTAGTTTATGAATTTTGTTAAATTCTTATTTTGTAGCTTCTTCATTTCTGTTAATCATTAAGAGTTTATAACAAGGTCAGGCATGGTGGCTCATGCCTGTAATCCCAGCACTTTTGGAAGCAAAGGAGGGTGGATCACTTGAGGTCAGGAGTTCGAGACTAGCCTGGCCAATATGGCGAAACCTCGTCTCTACTAAAAATACAAAAATTAGCCAGGCATGGCTAATTAGCCAGGATTACAGCACACACCTGTAATCCCAGCTACTAGGGAGGCTGAGGCAGGAGAACTGCTTGAACCTGGTGGGCAGAGGTTGCAGTGAGCCAAGATTGCGACACTGCACTCCAGCCTAGGCTGCGTCTCAAAAAAAAAAAAAAAAAGTTTATAACAAAATCTCACCATTTCTGGACTAGATGAATATAAATTAGAGGATACTTAAAAATGAAATACATTTTAAAAAAATGTAGTAGAGGATTCTTAATGCATATATTATCAGAATTGCCTATAAAAGCATAGGAATTGCTTCGTATGATTTTTTATTCCTATTATGCTTAATGCTTTATAACTCACTTTTTTTTTTCTTTGAGATGGAGTTTTGCTCTTGTTTCCCATGCTAGAGTGCAATGGCGTGATCTCGGCTCACCACAACCCCTGCCTCCCTGGTTCAAGCGATTCTCCTGCCTCAGCCTCCCGAGTATCTGGGATTACAGGCATGTGCCACCATGCCTGGCTAATTTTGTATTTTTTAGTAGAGATGGGGTTTCTCCATGTTGGTCAGGCTGGTCTTGAACTCTCGACCTTAGGTGATCCGCCCGCCTCGGCTTCCCAAAGTGCTGGAATTGCAGGCATGAGCAACCGCGCCTGGCCACAAAAATTTTAATTGATGAGCATTTGTAAAGTCCTTGAGTGTATCTTGAAAACATTTTCTCTTCATTTAAAAATTTCTTAGCTGGTGTGGTGGGTCATGCCTGTAATTCCAGCACTATGGACAGCCGAGGCAGGTGGATCACTTGAGGTCAGGAGTTTGAGACCAGCCAGGCCAGGAGTTCGAGACCAGCCTGGATAACATGGTGAAACCCCATCTCTACTAAAAATACAAAAATTAGCTGCATGTGGTGGCAGGCTCCTGTAATCCCAGCTATTCGGGAGGCTGGGAAGTGGAGTTTGCAGTAAGCCGAGATGACGCCACTGCACTCCAGCCTGGGTGACCAAATGAGACTCCATCTCAAACAAACAAACAAACAAAAAATTTCTCCCTTGGGATCTCATTTATAGTATTTACTATAAAAGACGGTTTCTAAGTGAAGGTAAATTTCAAATCAGGCCCTAATCAAATTATCACAAATTCAGAATTACAGAAAACTGAAATAACGGCATTTTGTCTATTTTTCTCTTGTAGACTTAGTTTTGCCCCATCCTCCATTCCCTATCCCACACTTATTTCCTGAATTTATCATTCAGGAATGGATTTTCTGCTACTAGAGGTCCCATTAAATTACAGAAAGTCATAAAGATTAAAATGAATATTTTTATTATTACCTCCATCGATCACTGAATCAGTCTCTATGTAGACACATATACACACACTCTCATTCTGATAGAACAGTGGTGGTGTTCTTTTGTTCAAAGCTCTAAGATTGTAGACCTAGGTGTGGTGGCCCTCGGTGTATCCCTACCCTGGATACATTTGCTGGATCTCTGACCTGAGAAGTAGCTTGTGCTTAAGAAGAGTAAGTAATGCTGGTGAATGTTTACACTAGCTCTTTTGGCTGTCCACTTGAGAGTCATGCTAGGACCTGTTATTCTATGTCCTGAGCTGGGCTCATGTGGAGGCATGAAGGATGCCTGGAGCCAGGAACTGTGTATGCCTCAGTAATTGCAAAAGCTATGCTGCTAAGAAGCTTCCTTTGTTTAGAGGTAAGATCCTCTGAGGGATTAGATAAAGAAAAAAGGAGACCATAGGAAATGATAAGAGGAGTTCTAGGTGATGTTGAAAGTCCAAAAAAACAAGACCAGTGTAGAGCCCGATAGTTTCTGAAGATTGGTCAGTGGACACAGGAGGAGGGACTGACATCGGGCATGCCATTTTAATTAGCCTACCCTAGGTCTGATTTGGGGAGTGGAAGGAGGGTTTGGATGGTGAAAAAATATGATTAAGTTCAAACCACTTAATAAGAGATATGAAAATAGCATTTGCTGTGGACTGAATTCTATCTCTTCAAAATTCATATATTGAGACATAAAAAATAGCATTTTCTATGGACTGAACTGTATGGCCAAATATTCATATATTGAAGCTCTAACCCTCAACGTGATGGTAGTTGGAGATGGGGCCTTTGGGAAATAATTGGGTTTCAATGAGGTAGAAGGAGGGATGGTCATGGGACTTCAAAATATGAATTAAGAAAGGCATAGTTCAGTCATTGAGTCTATAACATGTAACCACTAGGACCCCAAATTCATGTTCTTCTCACATGCAAAATACACTCATTCCATTCCAACAGCCCCACAAACTTTTTTTTTCTTTTTTTCTTCAACAAGGTCTCACTCTGTCACCCAGGCTGCAGTGTGGTGATGTGATCATGGCTCATTGTGGCCTCAACTTCCTGGGCTCAAGTGATTCTTCTGCCTCAGCCTTCTGAATAGCTGGGACTACAGGTGTGTGCCAACACAGCCAGATAGTTTTTTGTAGAGATAGGGTCTGCTGTGTTGCCCAGGCTAGTCTCAAATGCCTGGGCTCAAGTGATCCTCCCACCTTGGCCTCTTGAAGTGTTGGGATTACAGGGGTGAGCCACCTTGTCCTGCTCCCAAAATTTTCACTCATTCCAGTATCAACTCTAAAGTCCAAAGTTTCTTCTAAATATCATAAAAATTGGATATGGGTAGACTTGAGGTATGATTCATGCTAAGGCAAAATTCCTCTCCAGCTGTAAACCTGTGAAGAAGGACAAGGTATGTGTTTCCAAAATACATAGGTGGGACAGACATAGGCTAGTCATTTCCATTCCAAAAGGGAGAAACAGGAAATAAGAAAGGGGTGACAGGTGTCAAGCAAGCCCTTAACGTAGAAAGTCAAATTCCTTTAGATCTTAAATGCTCAAGGATAATCTTCTTTGGTTTGATACTCTGCCTCTGGACCCACCGAGGTGGCAGTCTTGCTTCTACCCTGGTGGCGGTAGAGCCCTGAAGGCTCCGGGTGGCCCAATCTCCAAGGTTCCACAGGGCCAATTTAGCCCGTATGTTCTGCAGGGTGGCCCTGCCTCCAAGGCTTTGGTTGGAGGCCATCTGGCCTGTTGAAATGGAGGCAGTGGCCCTGATGGCCCTGAAGATCTCTGAATTGCTTCGGGGTCTTTCTAACCTTTTCTTGAAGAATAGCGCATGTTCACAGCCCAATAGCTCTATGGTCCAGTCTTGCAGGATCTAAGAAGGCCAACAGCCTTCCTTCATCTCATCTCATTGTTCAAACTAGCAGAGTCTTTGCTGCTGATATAATTCCATCTCTATTCCTGACTTCTGTTGAAATGGCTCATTAAGTCCATAAGTCATACCCATGATCTCTTTATCAAATGGCTGTTCAGTGTTCTGAACAGTGTTCTCTTCAGAACAAACCTTCTCATTTTTTACAATAAGGATAGGTTGAAAACTTTCCAAATCTTCAAATGTTTGTTCATTTTTGGTTAACAATTCCTTCTGCAATTCATCTCTCTTCTTTCATACTTTACTATAAGCAAGACATTACTTTAAGACTTTGCTTAGAAATCTCGTCAGCTAAATCTCCAATTTCATCACTTATAAGTTCTACCTTCCATAAAACAATAGAAAACAGTTCATCCAAGTTATTTGCCACTTTATAACAAAGATCACCTTTACCCCAGTTTCCAATAACATATCCCTTATTTCCTTGGGCGCTATCACCAGAATTGCCCATAGTGTCCGTATACATGCACCTCAAGCTTCCATCCATCATTCAGTTCCAAAGCCACTTCCACATTCTTAGGTATTTGTTACAGCAGCTCCTCACTTCTCAGTACCAAGATCCATCTTAGTCACCTTGGGCTGCTATAACAAAATGCCATAGTCTGGGTGGCTTAAACAATAGACATGTATTTCTCAAAGTTTTAGAGGCTAGAAAGTCCAAGGTCAAGGTCCAGATGATTCAGTTGCTGGTGAAGGCACTCTTCTTGGCTTGCAGAAAATTGTCTTCTTTCTGTGTACTTAGATGGCTCTAGTGCTTTTACTTCTTATTATAAAGGCATTAATCCCACCATGAGGGCCCCACCCTAGTGCCCTCATCTAAACCTAATTTATTTTCCAAAGGCCCCATCTCCAAAAACCATCACATTGAAGGGTTAGGGGTTAAACATATGAATTTAGGGGTGGGGACACAACTCACTCCATAACACATGCTATTTTTTATGTAGGAATTTCATTAAATTATGTCCCCAGCATTTATAAGACATGTAATGCATCACTATGATCACATACAGAAAGAACACAGTTTTTCCCTAGTACTAGCATTATAAAACACTGGGTGCCTCCTTATCATTCGGTGTCTTAAGTTAGTACTTTTCTGGCAACCCCATCAACGTGGAAGTGACAGAGGCAGGAGAGTGAAGTGGTGAATGTCTTCAATTCTGGATCCTCTGCTCACTCAGTCGAGTAAAACTGCACACATTACTTAGCTTATGCCTCTGACTATTCATTTGTAAAATAGTGATATATAATACTACCTTTCTTGCATTGTTTCATGAATGAAAGGAGTTAATGTGTATGATGCCCTTAGCTGAGCACATAGGAAGCATCCATTATATGTTATCAAAAAAAGACAAAGTGTATCTAAACATAGGAGCTATGGCGGCTGGCTGAGAGGATAAAACAGCACCGACAACTGGCAATCTCCAGGGAGTGCAGCACAGTGAAGGAGGTTCCATCATCACTTTCTTTAGAACTGGTTCACTTCCCAAAAGAATGTCTCTTCACCTATTTTAAAAAGCTGCTTCTTTTGCTTTAAAAGGGCCCCAGAGGAAAATAAGAGGGGGGTATTTCAGAAAAAGAAATATAGCAGAAAAAGAAAAAGTAAAAGGAGATAAAAATGAGCTAGTGGAAGAGTACTAACATTCCACTAGAACTTCTGCTTCTGAAATAGTGTTATTATTCTTCTGTCCTATTTTTCAGAGTATCTATAATTCATCAAGTCAGGCACATGAGACATTTGAGAACCTCTTTTTGCAATGATTTTTTCAAAAATTAGTATAAAGTTAATGCTATTTTGTGTATGTACTAACATGGGGAGAGGGTTGAGCACTTATTTCAGTGAGCCTTATTTTTTCAAATAGATTGACTGAAGTTACTGTAAACATGTTTTCTAAACACTGTGATACATGGCTCTGATTATTTCCTTTTGAAAATTTTGAGTTGGGTAAATATATTCTCTCAGATACTCAGTTTAATTTTGTAAGTAGTCTGTACCAGCTTTTCGCTCTATAAATTTTGCAGTAGTCTTTAGCCAAAAGCAATAAAATCTGACCTACTAAGTCTAACATCATGAACTGTTTGTAATCTTGTTCTTGACTAATACTTTAAGTTACTTTTGTGTAATTTACCAAAATACACCCCTAAACAAAAAAAATCTAATTTAAAATGCATTTTATTGAGTATAAATCCATATCACCAATCAGATTCTCCTTCTAAATGGAACGTTGCTTTTATTCATTCTGTTGCTAAGATAATCTCAACCTAAAATTTAAAATATAGCTTTCATTTTTTTTTCCCCAAAATAGTCTTATATTAACTCTGCTTTCTTCCTTGTCCCAAGAGTTATTGAAGGGACTTAAGTGAGTGCTACTAAGTGTTTAAGTGTTTGGGTAATTTTCTTAAAAAAAATTTCTGGCTCTTTCAATGTATTATGAAATAATACATTATGAAAATATAATCTAGCTGGGCGCGGTGGCTCACACCCATAATCCCAGCACTTTGGGAGGCCAAGGCAGGTGGATCACTTGAGGCCAGGAGTTTGAGACCAGCCTGGCCAACATGGCGAAACCCTATCACTACTTAAAAAAAAAAAAAAAAAAATTTAGGCTGAGCGTGGTGGTTCACGCCTGTAATCTCAGCACTTTGGGAGGCCAAGGTTGGCAGATTTACTTGCAGTCAGGAGTTCAAGACCAGCCTGGCCAACATGGCGAAACCCCGTCTCTACTAAAAACACAAAAATTAGCCAGGTGTGGTGGCACACACCTGTAATCCCAGCTACCTGGGAGGCTGAGGCAGGAGAATCGTTTGAACCTGGGAGACGAAGGTTGCAGTGAGCTGAGATCACACCACTGCACTCCAGTCTGGGTGACAGTGAGACACTGTCTCAAAAAACAAGTAAGCAAAAAACCAAAAATTAGCCAGGAATTAGCCGGGTGTGGGGGCCCATGACTGTAATCCCAGTTACTGGGGAGGCTGAGGCATGAGAATTGCTTGAACCCAGGAGGCACCACTGCACTCCAGCCTGGGTGACAGAGTGAGACACTGTCTCAAAAAAAAAAAAAAAAGTCCTGTGGTTGGCTGATTCCTCTGTGAGAAATCCATGTACCCATGTACTCATCTCAATTTAGATTTTGCCCAAATATCCCAATATCAGTGGACTCTTTCCTGATCTTTTCCCTCTGGGCAGAACTGACCATTCTTGCCCACACTTTTACATTTTTTTTAGTTTTTGAGGCATTCTTGCTCTCTCACCCAGGGTGGAGGGCAGTGACACAATCTCAGCTCACGGCAACCCTCCACCTCCCAGGTCCAATCAATTCTCCTTCCTCAGCCACCAAGTAGCTAGTATTACAGGTGCTCGCCACCACGCCTGGCTAATTTTTGTATTTTTAGTAGAGATGGGGTTTCACCATGCTGGCCAGGCTGGTCTTGAACTCCTGTACTCAAGTGATCCGCCCGCCTCAGCCTCCCAAAGTGCTGGGATTACAGACGTGAGCCACCATGCCTGGCCCTTGGCTACACTTCTATGGTAGCACCTTTGACATATTAGTACATACACACACACACACACACACACACACACACACACACACACATTTTAACATATCAAGTTCATTTAGTACAGGTTTTCTTATTTACCTTAATGTTCCCTATATCTAGCAGAGTACATGGAAAATACACAATAAATACTTTTATATGAATAAAAAGAGAGAAAAATTGCTCTTATGTGTTAAGCCAGCATAGTAGCAGTAGACTCCCAGGAAAGAGATGCAGGGCAGGTCTGGCACAGCTGGTCATATTTGATCTTGATGTATCAAACAGATGAGTCATTCCCAATTTATATTTTAATAATGAAAATTCCTGAGGCAAAATTTTCTTATAATAGTAAAATAGTATCTGAAAAGATGAAAATTTTATTTACCTAATATGATCCATTGTCCAGAAGAATCTGAAAGTAACTTCAAATTGGGAATAACATTTGGGTCTTTGAAAAAAGCCTAAAATACAAATTTGAGGGGAATAAGTTAGATATTTTATTATAAATGATAGTAAAAATTAACATAAAATAACTATAATCTCCTTTAATTCAAATAGAAAGGACAATTTTAAATTGGTAAAATGTCTGAGTAATAAAGAGTTTATAAATAAATGAAGTTTTATTACATCCAACTTGGAACAGTATGAACATTGTGTGTCCAAGTACAGATGTCTTTGGAACTTAATTTAGAAAATAATGATATAGAGTAAACATTAGGAGGTTATATAATATTTGAAAACTTTGTTTTCCTTCAATCTTGCTTATTGAATTGCCTTCGTAACAACTGACATACTAGATCTAAATCCAAAAGTAACTGTCAATTTAATTCTTTCCAAAAGGCATGTAAAAAAGTGAAAAATCTAACTTCCTAAAAATGAAACGTTTTCTGTATGGCAAAAGACAACAAAGCAGGTAAGAGTTTTAGTTCCAGATCCTTTTGTAGTTTATGAGCATGATGACTGGGTTTTCACAGGTATGTGTGAGATGTGCCATCCTCGAACCTTGTTATGATGTCGGCATATTGTCAGTCTGACATGAAATAAGAAAAAAATATATAAAATAAAAAAGAGCTTTAGTTCTTGGCACCAGCAGCTGACTCAAGCTGAAAAGGCAGAAGAAAATTTATTAGAAGCATCTCAGGGAGTCCACAAAATGTTCCGGGGGTGGAGGGCATCAGGCTGAAGGCTGGACCCAGGAACAATCCAAAATCATATGCAGAACTGCCCTCATGAGGAAACTGTCACCCTTGCTGCAGCCCCACGAAGCACTACAGTTGATCTTAGCCAAAAGGCTGAGAAGCGATAGCCCCATCAAGCACTAGAGGAAGCCACCATCACCCCTTTCTCCTATTCAAGTACTAACCAGGCCCAACCTTACTTAGCTTTCAATATCAGGTACATCGAGGATGGTATGGCCATAAACATCAAGTACTAACCAGGCCCAATCCTGCTTAGCTTCCAGCATTCAGGGTGGTATGGCTGTAGACATCACCATCACTCCCTTCTAACCTAGGCCATTGCTGTGCCAGGTCTGTCTGGCCTGAAAGTGGTCTCTGCCACTACCTTTGCCAAAGAAATGAATTCTGTGTGTGCCTCCTTCCTTAAGTTGCTCACTTCAAAATTCCAGTCTTGCACTGATGAGTCTGTTTGTAAACCTAGGTCCCACGCTTACTATCTGGATGCAAGGGAGTTCCTTGCATTTTGGGAGGTTTCACTTGGACTTCCCAAAAGTTACTCCCAAATTGCATGGTTGTTTACAAGGTGCTGGACAGCCAGAAAACATAATGTCTGTGAAGAGCAATAAACAAAAGAAAAATAATAGACTGAGAGAAAATATTTGCAACACATATGTTAAAACGGAGAAACTGACATCCTAGTGATTAAAAAAAAAAACTAACTGTAAGAAAAACTGACAAACCTAAATTTTCTTCTGCCTTTTCAGCTTGAGTCAGCTGCTGGTGCATGGAACGAAAGTTTTCTTTTTTTCTTTTTTTTTTTTTTGAGATGGAGTTTCGCTCTTGTTGCCCAGGATGGAGTGCAGTGGTGCGATCTCGGCTTACTGCAACCTCTGCCTCCCGGGTTCAAGCGATTTTCCTGTCTCAGTCTCCTGAGTAGCTGGGATTACAGGTGTGTGCCACCATGCCCGGCTAATTTTTTGTATTTTTAGTAGACAAGGGGTTTCACCATGTTGGCTAGGCTAGTCTTGAACTCCTGACCTTGGGTGATCTGACTGCCTTGGCCTCCCAAAGTGCTGGGATTACAGGCGTGAGTCACCGCACCCAGGCTAGCTCTTTTTTATTTTATAATTATTTTTCTTTTCTCATGTCAGAAGGGTAATGTGCTGACATCATCACAAGGTTTGAGGGTGGCACATGTCAGCAAAGGATAAAAATAGGCATATAAAAAATAAAAATAGGGCCAGGTGCGGTGGCTCAGGCCTGTAATCCCAGGACTTTGGGAGGCCAAGGTGGGTGGATCACTTGAGGCCAGGAGTTCAAGATCAGCCTGGCTAACATGGCGAACCCCGTCTGTACTGAAAAAATACAAAAATTAGCTGGGCATGGTGGCACACTCCTGTAATTCCAGCTACCCGGGAGGCTGAGGAATGAGAATTGCTTGAACCTGGGAGGTGGAGGTTGTAGTGAGCTGAGATTGTGTCACTGCACTCCAGCCTAGGTAACAGAGTGAGACTATCTTAAAACAAACAAACAAACAAAAAACCCAAAAAACAAACAAACAAACAAAAAACCCCACAAATAGCCAATAAACTTTAGGAAAAGATGCTCAATTTCAAGAGCAGTGAAAGAAATGAAAATAAAATCCAGAAGATACCACTTTTATCCATTACATTGCCAAGATTTAAAAAGACTGGTAACTTTTGGTGAAAGCACCAGAAGACATGCACTTTCACAAGCTGCTGGCAGAAGTGTGAATCTTTATAACCCTCTGGGAAAGTAATTTGCTATTATCTTGAACAATAAAAACATGCATATCTCATCCAACAAACTCTACTTTTGGATTCTGAAACCACCAGTGGATAAGATTTAGGTATAAGGAGTTTTTTGTTTTAATATAGTATGGTTTGTAGTGTCAAAACTTGGAAACAATTTCAATGTCTATCAGTAAAAAAACAGTTGAATAAAACATAGTCCATCTATATCAGACAGAATGCAGCTATTGGAAAGAAAGTATTAGAATAGAATGTAAGCTCCCTAAGAGGAGGGGTCCTGTTTTTCTTATTCACTGCTATCTCCCAGGACTTAGAACAGGGCCTAACATATAGCACTTACTAAATAAACATCCCCTGAACAGACTATGTATTGATTTTGAGGAAAAACCATAAATACTTTCAGTTAAAAAAGGGTAGTTTAGGGCCGGGCGCGGTGGCTCATGCCTGTAATCCCAGCACTTTGGGAGGCCGAGGCGGGCGGATCACAGGGTCAGGAGATTGAGACCATCCTGACTAACACGGTGAAACTCTGTCTCTAAAAATACAAAAAATTATCTGGGCGTGGTGGCGGGCGCCTGTAGTCCCAGCTACTCGGGAGGCTGAGGCAGGAGAATGGAGTGAACCCGGGAGGCAGAGCTTGCAGTGAGCCAAGATCGTGCCACTGCACTCCAGCCTGGGCGACAGAGCGAGACTCCGTCTCAAAAAAAAAAAAAAAAAAAGGGTAGTTTAGGAGTAATGTATATGGCCAGGTGTGGTGCCTCACGCCTATGGTCCCAGCACTTTGGGAGGCTGAGGCTTGAGCTCAGGAGTTCGAGACCAGCCTGAGCAACCTGGTGAAACCCCATCTCTACTAAAAATACAAAAAATTAGCTTGGCACAGTGCTGTGCACCTGTGGCCCCAGCTACTCGGGAGGCTGAGTTAGGAGGGCTGCTAAAGCCCAGGGGAGTGGAGGTTGCAGTGAGCTGAGATCGCACCATTGCACTCCAGCCTGGGTGACACAGTGAGACCCTATCTCAAAAAAAAAAAAAGAGTAACGCATGTGGTAAAACAAAATAAAACTTTTATACATTTATATGAGCATAAAGAAAAGTATGTAAGAATATGTATCATAGGCCGGGTGCGGTGACTCACACCTGTAATCCCAGCACTTTGGGAGGCCAAGGCAGGCAGATCGCGAGGTCAGGAGTTCAAGACTAACCTGACCAACATGTTGAAACCCTGTCTCTACTAAAAATACAAAAATTAGCTGGGCGTGGTGGCACGTGCCTGTAATCCCAGCTACTCAGGAGGCTAAGGCAGGAGAATCGCTTGAATCCCGGAGGCAGAGGTTGCAGTGAGCTGAGATCGCACCACTGCACCCCAGCCTGGGCGACAGAGAGAGACTCTGTCTTCAAAAAAAAAAAAAAGAATATCAAACTACTTGCTTCAGAAGTGGTGGTTACACACTCGTGAGGAGGGTTGAGAGGGTAGGGAGTAGGAGTAGATTGGGATAAGACTGACTTTTTCTATGAATTATTCTTTGTTGTTCAAATTGTTACTATAAATAGTTTCATTTTTTCAACATTCCCTTCAAGTGATCACTCACTTTTCCCTCTTGAGAGAGGAATACCTTCTTCAGAGAGGAATCTAAACTGTCTCACTTTTTTTTTTTTTTTTTTTTTGAGACCAAGTCTTGCTCTGTCATTCAGGCTGGAGTGCAATGGTTCGATCTCAGCTCACTGCAGCCTCCACCTCCTGGGTTCAATAGATTCTCCTGCCTCAGTCTCCCAAGTAGCTGGGACTACAGAAGTGCGCCAACACACCCAGCTAATTTTTGTATTTTTAATAGAGACAGGTTTGCCATGTTGGCCAGGCTGGTCTTGAACTCCTGACCTGAGGATCCATCCATCTCAGGCTCCCAAAGTGTTGGGATTACAGGCGTGCACCACCGAGCCCAGCCTCACTTCTCTTATCTACTTCTCATTCCTCTCTATCTGGTTCCTGCTCCTATCACTTAATGAATAGTACCTTTGACTTCCTAATACTAAAATCCAATGGACAGTGCTTGCCCTCATGGGCAGGCAGATAGTAAGAGAGGAGATAGTAACATGCCATGTATACTACAAAAAAGCGCAGGTGCTATCAAAGTACAAAATGGGCAGACATAATCTAACGGCATTGGGAAAAAATGTTCATATAGAAAGAACATTTAGGTTTAGATCAGAAAGTTGAGTAGGAGTTAGCTGGGCAAAGGGGTATACTGGTAAATGTTTAACAACTGGCCACTCTTCCTCCCCTAAAAAGCCCTGATTGTGGCGTTTGCCTGTTTCCATGGTGGATTTCAAGTTGCCAACAGTGTAACAACCAGCAAACAAAGATTCCTGAAAGTCTAGCAATCAGGCTCTCCTAAACTGGTTCCAGTATGCAACTGGAATTACCATTTTTTAAGGGAGAGAAAATGGTAAGTATGAAGGCTGTAAGGTGAGAAAGGATGATACATTCCATTCAAGGAAAGTGAAGAGGTTTGGTGTGACCCAGAAGCAGCAATGGTCAGATAAGGCTGGGGAGTTAAATTGACCTTGCAGTCAAGTGAAGAATTTTAATCTTGATCTAAAATCGATCTAGATCTTGATCAGTATTTTGATCTAAGGGCAGTGGCAAAACACTGAAGTTCTTTTTCTTTTATAATTTTATAATACGGACAGAGTCTCACTTTGTTGCCAAGCTGGTCTCAGACTCCTGGCTTCAAGTGATCCTCTTGCCTTAGCTTCCCAAAGAGCTGGGATTATAGGCATGAGCCACGACACCAGCCACACTGAAGGTTTTTGTTTGTTTGTTTGTTTGTTTGTTTGTTTGTTTTTGATGGAGTTTTGCTCTTGTTGCCCAGGCTGGAGTGCAATGGTATGATCTTGCCTCACCGCAGCCTCCGCCTCCTGGGTTCAAGCGATTCTCCTGCCTCAGCTTCCCAAGTAGCTGGGATTATAGGCACCCGCCACCATGCCCAGCTAATTTTGTATTTTTAGTAGAGATTGGGTTTCTCCATGTTTGTCAGGCTGGTCTTGAACTCCCGACTTCAGGTGATCTGTCCACCTCAGCCTCCCAAAGTGCTGGGATTATAGGCGTGAGAGCCACTGTGCCCAGCCTTTTTTTAAATTTTATTTTTTAATTAATTATTTTTTTTTGAGAAGGAGTTTCACTCTGTCGCCCAGGCTGGAGTGCAATGGCGCAATCTCAGCTCACTGCAACCTCCACCTCCCAGGTTCAAGTGATTCTCCTGCCTCAGCCTCCTGAGTAGCTGTGATTACAGGCACCTGCCACCATGGCCACCTAATTTTTGTGTTTTTTAGTAGAGACAGGGTTTCACCATGTTGGTCAGGCTGGTCTTGAACTCGTGACCTCAGGTGATCCACCCGCCTCAGGCTCCCAAAGTGCTGGGATTACAGGCTTGAGCCAGTGCGCCTGGCCAGACTGAAGATTTTTAAGCAGAGGAAAGAGTTATCAGAATCATCTATTTTTCTTTAAAGTTCATTCTGGCTGCAGCGTGGAGAATGAATTGAAGGGCTGGAAAAAGACTAGCTAGGAGGAAGGCTACTGTTGTAATCATGGAAGAGCTGATGTCCTCATCAGTCAAGGAGATACCAAGTGGGGAGGTAGAGAAGTAGATGGATTTAATGTTATTTAGGAGGAAGAAACAAATGGAGAAGGAAGATGACTCCTTGGATTCCTCTTCATGAAAAACCATTTAATAAATGCTATTTAACAAGAAAGAGAACAGAGAAGAGATGTGAGCTGAGGATTATTTACAAATGTCTACATTATGCCAAGCCAGACACAGTCCCTGTTCTTATGGAATTTACATTCTAGTGGTGAAGAACTAAAGGTAAACACATTTTTTTCAAAAAGGTATCATATATGCTTAATTATAAAAAGACAAATTTTCCCCAAAGTTATTTCTAGACAAAAAGCAAGTTGCCTTATGACATTTTAGTCTTTCAAATAAAAGAATATTCACGCGAGTATTTTAATTTATATAATGGTACATTTTGAAAAAGATACATAAACTGGAATTAACCTCAATTAATATTGGTTTTGAATGCATTTTATGCCTTCTGAAAGAATCTCTTAAAAAAAGAAAATTTAATTCAGATTTAGTAATTATTCCTGGAGGTTATTAACTTAACAGTTACATGTTAGATGTCATTATAAATGGAGCAGCAGGTCAACTGGCCTGCAGTGAATTGAACTAGAACCAAAGGAAATGAGTCTTTATAAGGGACCCTCAAATAAGGCAATGCAAGTTACATTATTGAGATTACAATTATATGTCTAATAAGTGAATTTTTAAAAAATGTCCTAATACATGTAAATTGCATTTCTGGCTTGTTATGGAATTTCCAGTAAGGCATTAGAAGAGATTTTCTGTATATCAACTTTAGGAAAGCTGACTGTGCTTTGGAAAAATATAAGATGATTCCTAAACTAGTTACAGTAATAACAAAGATACTGATGTCAAAATGCATGTGAAAATGTTAAATAAACTTGTTTCATAAAATGTGAAAGTGGGCTGGGTGTGATAACTCACACCTGTAATCCCAGCACTTTGGGAGGCTGAGGCAGGAGAATTGCTTGAGCCTGGGAGTTTGAGACCAGCCCGGGCAACATAGTGAGACCCTGTCTCTATTAAAAATAAACAAATAAATAAATAAAAATGTGTAAGGGGAAAAAAGATAAGTTTCTCTATTTTTAATTTTCTTATTATTTTAATTTTTACATCCAGCATGCATACTGGACAGACAATATTTCTAAATTATTTAAGTATATATTTGACTATATTATCTATCTGGCAGACTGATGGTTTCTAGTCCAATATCAATTCTTTCTTCCTTAAGGAATCCCATTTTTATTTGGGACAGCAATATGCTTAGCTTAGTCTGCATTTCCAGCCTCCCTGGGATGTGGGAGGCCTAAATTCTGGTCACATGCCTAAGTTCTGGTCATGAGATGTAAGCAGAAGCGTTGCGCAGGCTTCCAGGAAAGCTCTGTAAATTAAGGCGCTTCCTTGAAGTTGTTTATGTGGAAAATTCTCCTCATCATCCCCAGTCCCATGGTGAAGATGTCAACACTATATACTGGGCCCAGAGCTTTCTTGAAATTCAAAGTTAAATGTTATATTCAACTATCTAGAATACTGCCACTTGTATGTACCTCGAATTCAGCATGCCTGAAACTGAACTCATTTTCCTTGTAATTCTTCCATGTTTTCTACACATTTAATGACATCATCAGCCACTCGAGTCAACCAAGCCAGAAACTTGGGAGTCATCCTACATGTCCCCCTCTCCTTTACTCTCAATATCTTACCATTCCTTAAGCCTTTCTCCTAAATCTGGGCCATACTGGTACTTGACATTATCATGTAACTGTCTAGAGGACAACAGTTTCCAATTTGGTGTCATTACTTCCTGACTCAGTCCTAACAACCCACCCTCCACACTTCTGCCAAGGTGATCTCAATATTTTAACATTTAAAGTCTGTCTTAAAAACTTCTCCTTCTTAGCCAGATAAAGTCCAAATTTCTTTGCATGGCACAAAAGGTCTTCTAAAATATTATCCCACCCATCTCTCCAACATTATCCTTGCCACTTCATCTACCTGATGAATTCCTACTCATCTTTCAGGCCCCGCCTTAAGAGTCCTGTCTTTTATAAATGCTCTTCTGACCACCTCAGTCAAAAATGATCACTTTCTCTTTTGTGTCACCAAAGTACCTTATGCCTCAGGTATGTATTTTATCACTTCTCTCTCTGCAATGCAATTTTTGGTATTTCCCTCCCTTTAATTGTGTCTATTCATCTATATAGACCTAGGAACTAAAGAGATGTTTGCCAGATAAATGTTTCCTTCCATCCATTTATCATCTCAGAAATACATTTTTGGAACATAATTTGTTTTTAAATTGAAAGGGAAAATTCAAAATCTGGAATTCTAGTTTAAACAATACCCTCTGTTCAGTAGTGAGTTTTTGTTGTAGAAACAGCATGGTTTCTAGAGTCAAAATGCCTGGGTTCTGCCCTTTGTTGAATGTTTTTGCATAAATTATGTAACCTTTCTGAATTTTAAGCTATAAAATGGGAGTCAGAACACCAAACCTGGCAGATTGTTGTAAAGATTAATGATAAACATAATATAAAAAGTGCTGACAGCTGAATCTGTGCACACTGGAGTCACTACTGCTATAGAAAAATACTTCATAAAGTAATAGAGAAATTATTTTTTTTTTGAGACAGGGTCTTACTTTGTCACCCAGGCTATGGTGCAGAGGTGCGATCATAGCTCAAGTAATCCTCCCACCTCAGCCCCGCAAGTAGCTAGGACTACAGGTGTGTGCCACCACACCCAGCTAATTAAAAAATTTTTAAAAAATAGCCACAGGATCTCACTATGTTGCCCAGGCTGGTCTCAAACTCCTGGGCTCAAGTGATCCTCCTGCCTCAGCCTCCCAAAGTGCTGGGATTACAGTTGTGAGCCACCATGCCCTGCCTCAGACTTTTTTTTTTTCTTAACATTTCTAGCTCCCCAAACTATACATGCCTTGTAAGCTGGGATCAGGTCTCTTCATCTTTTTATACCCTCTAGAGGGACACAGTAAATATTCAACAAATATTTATTGAATAAATGAATTATACTAAAATTTTTACAGTATTCTAAAATTCAGTGTCCTCAAATCCTGATCTTTAAAAAAAATTATAGACAGCCAGTACTGGTATAAATAAAAAATATAAAAAACTACATAATAATCTAACCATGAGTATTTGAGAAATGTTATTAATGTCATTATCAGTAGCATTATAATATAATGGCACTATAACACCATCTTAGGGAAAGGGAGGTAGACATTTAACCAATTTACTCTCTGTTATGGGTTGATAGTGTCCCCCCAAAATTTACATCCTTCCTGAAATATCACAAAGTGACCTTAGTTGGAATTAGCGTTGTTGCTGATGTAATTAATTAAGATGAGGTTATGCGGGGCCCTTAATTCAATATGACTGGTGTCTCTATAAGAAGAAGAGATGCAGACATATGAAGGGAAAAGGCTATGGGACTGACAGGAAGAGAAGAAAGTTCTGCAGCTGCAAACTAAAGGACGCCAAGGGAGGGTGGCAACCGCCAGAAGGCAGGAAGAGGCAAGGATGGATTCTCCCCTACAGGTTTCAGAGGAATGATGGCCCTGCCAGCACCTTGATTTAAGACTTCTAGCCTCCAGAACTATGACACAATCCTACCTAATGTTCTCCTTTCTCCATTTCCTCCTATTTTCTTTACTGCCCTTATCACTATATGAAATAATCAGATTGTTTTTTCATTTATTGTAGTCTTGCCAAGGCCCGTACAATCTTTGACAGCTGGGCTCTTGTCTTGTTCCTCCTCGTATCCCCAGCACTGGAAGGAATTCCTAGCACATGATAGGCCCTCAGGAAGTGTTTGTTATGCCAAACTATAAACTACAGTCAATGCATGAAGGACATGAATGGCAGAGAATGAAGATAACTTCATAAACTGTAACAGTATTTTCCATTTGATTGAGGAGAAAAAAAAAACAGGATTGAAAATAATGGACTAAATTTTAACAAACACACCAAAACTTAAACTTTCAAGTGAGTTTTACCTCTCTCAAAGTAGTCACCTCTAGTAGTCAAAAGACTTATTCAAATCACTGTGCTACGGCTTCATACTTTTTTGGGGGAATTCCTCATTTGGAACTGTTGGTAGAGCCTGAAGCCCAGTTCTCAGAGTGGGTGTGATGTTGAGAAAAAAATCGAAAGTAATTTGGAGCTAGTAAATAAAGCGGCGATAAAGCTGTGTGATAATATTTAAAATATTTTAAAATGAGATGTGCCTATTGAAAAAGAGAGGCTGGGGGTGGTGGCTCGCCTGTACTCCCCAGCACTTTGGGAGCCCGGGGATTCAAGACTAGCCTGGGTAACATAGTGAGACTCTGCCTCTAAAAAAATTTTTTTTAATTAGCTGGACGTGGTGGCCTGCACCTGTAGTCCCAGCTATTCAGGAAGCTTGAGCCCGGGAGGTCCAGGCTGCAGTGAGCTGAGATGGTGCTACTGCACTTTATTCAGCCTGGGTGACAGAGAAAGACCCTGTTTCAAAAAATAAGTAAATAAAATAAAATAAAACAAAATAAAATGAAACAAAAATAAACAAAGGGAGAAACTAATCTTCTAGAGAGCGCGCGATCTTCCAGAACTGCAAAGTTCCCCGAGGCAAGATACAAGATGCTGAAAGTAGAGAAAGAATGAACTAAATGGCAAACAAATTTATGATGACTGATTCGAAACGTAAAAGTTCCTTTAAAAAAATCATTTGCACCTTTTATTACTCCCAAACGCCAAGAAAACGACGTCAGTAAGGAATAGCGTGTTCACAAGAATCTATGCCAACTTGGGGGGAAGTTTAAAAATCCGCAGAGACCCAGGGAACTCTCCGACCCCCATACTAACCATAACGAAATCATCCTTCCGATAGGACTGAAAGGTCTGGTCAAAGCCGAACGCCTGCGCCTTGATTCTGCCCAGCATGGACC
Source organism: Homo sapiens (assembly GCF_000001405.40). Classification (NCBI taxonomy): domain Eukaryota; kingdom Metazoa; phylum Chordata; class Mammalia; order Primates; family Hominidae; genus Homo; species Homo sapiens. The sequence continues at coordinate 102,047,813 of NC_000011.10, read as the reverse complement.
TGGGGCAGAGGAGGAAAAAGAAATCATCTGGGGGCTGGCACCCTCTCAGAGCGCACCGATAACCGATCCCACCCACAGCATCCGCCCTTCCCGGGTGGTTCGGGGTTCACTCAGGAAGCCTCAGGGTTCACTCAGAATGGCGCCGACCCGCGCGGGCCCCTCGACGCCCGGCCTGCGCCTCCACAGCCGCGAAGACCAAGGGCCTCTTCTCTCCCTGTGCCTCGGTTCCTCACCACTGGCGGAGCCGGCTGGTGATCTCCTTAGAGCTCAGAGACTGGAAGGTTTTCTGAGGCAAGAACCTGAAGTAGTAGCCACCCAAGTCCCCGAGCTCCCCAGTAGCCATCGTGCTCTCGGCTGGGTGGATGCCTGGGCCGTTTCCATGGAGACGCGGCGGCCGTCGTGTCGGAGCGACGCTGCGGGGGCGGGGCCACACGTCTCTAGGGACCCAGGAGTTCCGGCCTTGCCGCCGCGGGTGCAGGGAGGGAGGTTAGCCTGTCTTTCCCAGGAGCTTGTGCCACTCCACTCCCCAACCCCGGGCTTGGCGGTTAGGGAAACTAGGGGTCGGGGATGGAGACAAATTGCCAATCGATACTTGTTGACATTAACTTTTAATAATAATTACTCAGCATGGGTTAATATTCTAGTCTCAAGAGCTATAACCTCAGATTTACAGTTATCTACGTTTGATGACTCAAACGTTTCTGAAGAAAAGATTATTCTGAATTAATTAGGTTTATCTATTTTGGAAGACAAATGTCTATGTGACTACTTAGGAAACTATTCTGTTTTACCATCTGTTTTTTTTTTTTTTTCCTTAAAATGTACACTTGAAGGCCAAAAAAAAAAAAAAAATGTTTCCATACACAGTACATTACAACATGCTGTTTATTTATTTTTGTTTTTTAGACCACTTTTGTTCTGGTATGCGTGCTGTTTAATAGAAAACACACTTTTCTTATTTTCTATTGAAAATTATCTTCGTTTCTACTTTTTTTTTTTTTTGAGATGGAGTCTCGCTCTGTTGCTCAGGCTGGAGTGCAGTGGCGCGATCTCGGCTCACTGCAACCTCCGCCTCCCGGATTCAAGTGATTCTCCTGCTTCAGCATCCTGAGTACCTGGGATTACAGGCTAAGTTTTTGTATTTTTAGTAGAGACAGGGTTTCCCCATGTTGGCCAGGCTGGTCTCGAACTCCTGACCTCGAGTGATCCGCCCGCCTCGGCCTCCCAAGGTGTTGGGATTACAGGCTTGAGCCACCGCACCCGGCCTGTTTCTATGGTTTTTATTTTTGCCTTATAGCAGTGCATTTGGACTTCAGAATGGAGGGATAGTTCTTTTCCATCTCGTTGCTTTCTCTCCTTTTCCCCTAGCCCTTAAGAACTTGATTATTTTTTAACAGCATTAGCAGAAGAAGAGACAGGGAACAAAGACAAAAAAGAGAAACAGAGGGAGAGAGAGATAGATTATTCCTTTTCATTGATGTTTAGTATTCTGTTACTTGACTATACTACAGTTTATCCTTTTGGGCTGTTTCCTCTTTGAGGTTGTTATGAAAGCAGCTATGAACATTCCTGTGTATGCCTTTAGATGGACTTATGCACCATTTCTGTTGGAAATACATCCAGGATTGGAATTGCTCAGTTACATGGCATAAGTATGTCTAGCTTTACTACATACTGTCAAAAAGTTTTCTAAAGATCAGTTTACATCCCAACCAGCAATGAATGAGATTTCCCGTTGTTCAACATCCTTGCCAACACATAGTATTGCCAGTCTTTTAAAATTTTAGCCATTCTAGGGAGTTTGTATTAATTTTTTATTGTGATTTCAGTTTGCATTTCCTTGATAGTTAATGTTGCTGAGCAACTTTGCAATATGCTGGGTCATTTGGATATCTTCTTTAGTGAAATGCCTATTTGAGTGTTTTGTCCATTAGGAGGAAGAAGGGTTGTCAGTCTTTTTCTTACTAATGTTTAGGAAGTTTTTATATAATATGGATATGAGCCCATTGCCAGATATACATATTGCGAACATTCTCTTTGCTTGTAGCTTGCCTGTAGCTTTGATGCTCAGAAATTCTTAATTTTAATGAAGTTGAATTTATCAACTTTCTTTTTTATGTGTCAGGTTTGATTTCTGCCTAAACAAAGTCAAGAAGATAGTCTCGCATTTATGTCCATAATCCATCTCAAAATAATTTTTTGAAGCTGAAGATTAGTTCTTTCCCTGTGGTTTTTCAGTAGACGCAGCTCTATATATTGGTAAGACTATTTCTAATCCAGTGAATTGCTGTGGCACTTAAAAAAAAAATCAAGTGAGTGTTTTTGTTCTTTCTATTCAGTTTATTGGACTGTCCTTACACAAATGCCACATTGTGTTAATTACTGTAGGATTATATAAAGATGTGATATCTGATGGTATAAGTTGTCTAACTTTGTTATTCTTTTTCTTCAAGATTGCATAGGCTGTTGCTGTTTCATTTCTGTATAAATTTTAAATTGGGTTTATCATTTTCCATCAAAGAAACCTGATGGGATTTTTTTTTTTTTTTTTTTTTGAGACAAGAGTTTCACTCTTGTCACCCAGGCTGGAGTGCAATGGCGTGATCTCGGCTCATGGCAACCTCCGCCTCCCAGGTTCAAGTGATTCTCCTGCCTCAGCCTCTGGAGTAGCTGGGATTATAGGTGCCCGCCACCACGCCTGGCTAATTTTTGTATTTTTAGTACAGACGGTGTTTCACCACATTGACCAGGCTGGTCTTGAACTCCTGACCTCCGGTGATCCACCTGCCTCAGCCTCCCAAAGTGCTGGGATTACAGGCGTGAGCCACTGTGCCCTGCCCATCTGATGGGATTTTAATTGGAATTGCATTGACTATCTACATGAATTTAAGGAGAATTAACCTTGTAACAATATTGTCTTCTAAACTATAATAAATATCTATTTATTTAGATCTTTAATTTCTGTCAACAATATTTTATAGTATTGAGTGGAAGAGTATTGATATCTTTCATTAGATCAATGATTCTCAATCAAGGTTAATTTTGCTTCCCTCAGGGACACTCAACAATGTTGAGATATGTCCCAACTGAGGTGAGAAGTGCTGTTGGCATCTAGTGGGTAAAGATCAACTATCCTGCTAAACATCCTGCAATGTACGGGATAGGCCCCCACAACAAAGACTGATCTGGCTCAAAATGTTGATAGTACCAAGGTTGAAAAACCCTATTTTAGTCCGGAAGTGGTAGCTTATGCCTGTAATCCCAGCATGTTGGGAGGCTGTGGCAGGCAGATCACTTGAGACCAGGAATCAAGACCAGCCTGGGCAACATGGTGAAACCCTGTCTCTACTGGAAATACAAAAACATTAGCTGAGTGTGATGGCACATGCCTGTAATCCCAGATACTAGGCTGAGGCATGAGAATCACTTGAACCCGGAGGTGCAGGTTCCAGTGAGCCGAGATCACACCACTGCACTCTAGTCTGGGTGACGAAGTGAGAATCTGTCTCAAAAAAAAAAAAAATTGCATTTTTTTGGTGCTATTATAAGTGACACTTTAAAATGCTTATTTTCTTCCTGTTTGTTGTATTATATAGTTATACAATTTATTTTGTATATTGATGTTGTATCCAGACACCTTGCTAAATTATCTTTTTATTTCTCATGGATTGTTAGTTTTTTTTGGAGTTTCTCTATACACAATTGTGGTATCTGGTTATAAGAAGAGCTTTACTTCATTTTGTTTAATATTTGTGCCACCCCCCCAGCTGCCCCCAATTACTTTAGTGCACTGGCTATGATGTCCAGGATAATGTTAAAAAAGAAGTGGTAGTAGAGGACATTCTTGCTTTGTTTACAACATCATAGCAAAAATGTTCGGTTTTGGGTTATTTATTTTTGTGTTTATGTTTATGTTTATTTTTTGATTAAATTTTTTTTTACCATTACATAGGGTATAAACTGTAGGTGTTTTAGTTGATACCTGTTATCAAATTGAGAAAATTTCCATCAATTTTTTTTGAGATTTAAAAAATTATGTAAAAGCGTTAATTTTTTTCACATTTACCAAATTGACCATATGTTTTTTCTTCTTTATTCTGTTAATGTAGTAAACTAATTTGTTTTGTTACTGTGAAGCCAACTTTGCATTTATATAATAAGCCCCAGTTTGTTATACTTTTCTTAAAAGCACATTATTAAATGTGATAATACCATGTTTAAGATGTTTGATTCTATGTTCATGAGAGATATTGGTTTGTGATCTTCCTGACCGTTATATGCTTGTTAAGTTTTACTACTATTAATGTTTTCCTGACCTTCTACAAGGAGTTGAAAAGTTTTGTCTAATTTTCTATTGCTAAACTTTTTTTTTTTTTTTGAGATGAAGTTTTCCTCTGTCGCCCAGGCTGGAGTGCAGTGGCACGATTTTGGCTCACTGCAACCTCCGCCTCCCAGGTTCAAGAGATTCTCCTACCTCAGCCTCCTGAGTAGCTGGGATTACAGGTGTACATTACCATGCCTGACTAATTTTTGTATTTTTAGTAGAGACTGGGTTTCTCCATGTTGACCAGGCTGGTCTTGAACTCATGACCTCAAGTGATCCTCCTGCCTCGGCCTCCCAAAGTGCTGGGATTACAGGCGTGAACCACCGTGCCCAGCCTAAACTTTCTATAATATTGGTAATATGTATTTCTTAAATGCTTTTTAAAATTGTGCCAAAAAGAAAACTCCATCTATGACTGTTATAGTTTTTAAGGAATTTGAACACCTCATCTAGATTTTCAATTTTATTAGCATAATATTATTTCTTACATTTAAAAACTTATCTTTTAAATGTTTGTGGAATCTATAATGGCGTTATTTTTTAGTTTTAATATTGATGATTTATTTATTTTCTTTTTTTCTTGACCACCCTTGCCAGTGGTTTATCGATGTTATTCTTTTTTTTTTTTTCAGATGGAGCTTTGCTCTGGTTGCCCAGGCTGGAGTGCAATGGGGTGACCTTGGCTCACCACAACCTCTGCCTCCTAGGTTCAAGTGATTCTCCTGCCTCAGCCTCCCGAGTAGCTGGGATTACAGGCATGCGCCACCACGACGGCTAATTTTTGTATTTTTAGTAGACACACGGTTTCACCATGTTGGTCAGGCTGGTCTCGAACTCCTGGCCCCAGGTGATCCACCCGCCTTGGACTCCCAAAGTGCTGGGATAACAGGCATGAGCCACTGCGCCTGGCCGTGGCCTTGATGTTATTCTTGACAACCAACCAACTTTGGCTTTGTTGAATTTCTATATTGCATGTTTGCTTTCTACTTAGTTGATTTCAGTTCTTATCTTTATTGTTTTATTCTTCTGTTGAGTTTAATTTGCTGACCTTTTTCTAGGTTATTAATTTCTAAGCTGGGATCATTAATTTTTGACTTTTTTTTTTTTTTTTGAGACAGTCTCACTCTATTGCCCAGGCTGGCATGCAGTGGTGTGATCTCGGCTCACTGCAACCTCCACCTCCTGAGTTCAAGCACTTCTCCTGCCTCAGCCTCCCAAGTACCTGGGATTACAGGTGCGTGCCACCATGCCTGGCTAATTTTTGTATTTTTAGTAGAGATAAAATTTCACCATGTTGGTCAGGTTGGTCTCGAACTCCTGACCTCAAGTGATCCATCCGTCTCAGCCTCCCAAAGTGCTGGGATTACAGGCGTGAGCCACCATGCCTGGCCAATTTTTGACATTTTAAATGATATATGCTTTTAAAGATATAAATAGGCTGGGTGAGGTGGCATAGACCTGTAATCTCAGCACTTTGGGAGGCCGAGGCAGGTGGATCTCTTGAGCCCAGGAGTTGGAGACCAGCCTGTGTAAAATGGTGAGATCCCGACTCTACTAAAATGTCAAAAAAGTAGCCGGGTGTGCTGGTGTGCACCTGTAGTCCCAGCTACTGGGGTGGCTGAGGTAGGAGGATTGCTTGAGCCATGGGAAGTCAAGATTGCAGTGAGCCATGATCATGCCACTGCACTCCAGCCTGGGCAACCAGAGTGAGACCCTGTCTCAAAAAAAAAAAAAAAAAGAAAGAAAAAAGATATAAATAAATAGCTTACACTATTTTAGTTACATCCTGCATGTTTTGACATGACATATTTTCTTCATCATTCAGTTCAAAATATTTTCTACTTTCCAATAGAGTTTCTTATTTGATGAGTTATTTAAAATATGTTTAATCTTAAGCATTTAGAGATTTCTATTTTTCATTTTGTTACTTATTTCTAGTTTAATTGTACTGTGGTCAGGAAACATAAAACATAATCTGTATGATTTCAGTTCTTTCAAATTTATTGAGACTTATGGTTTTACATATGCTTTATTTTGATGACAAGTCTATGTACACTTGAAAAAGATATATATTCTGTAGTTAAATTTGGTGTCATATATATGGTAATTGTTCTGTTCAAATATTTTATGTTTTCACAGATATTAAGTTTGCTTTTCTTAACAGTTACTGAGAGAGGAAGTTTAAAATCTGTAGTGGTTGTTGCGGATTTGTGTACTTCACCTTTTTGTTTACAAAAATTTATAAATAGGCCAGGTGTGAGGCTTACCCCTGTAATCCCAGCTCTTTTTGAGGCCGAGGTAAGAGCATCTCTTGAGCTCAGAAGTTGGAGACCAGCCTAGGTAACATGGCGAAACCCTGTCTCTACAAAACATAAAAAATTAGCTGGGGATGGTGGTGCATACCTGTAGTCCCAGCTATTCTGGAGACTGAGGTGGGAGGATTGCTTGAGCCCAGGAAGTCAAGGCTGCACTGAGTTGCAGTCACACCACTACACTCCAGCTTAGGTGTGTGTCTCATCAGTCAATCAATAAAAATGTTAGTCATTTCTTTCTATTGCAATTAACCTTTTATCAATATGAAATACCCCTCTTTTTCTATTGTAACAGTTGTGCTTGAAAACCTACCTGTATTAATATAGTTACTATAGCCTTTTTTGGTTAGTATTTTCATGATATGTCCTTCCATCCTTTAACTTTCAGCCTTTCTGTGTCTTTATATTTATAGAGTCTTTCTTCTAAATGGCACATATTTGGGGCTTATTATTCTTTAGCAAGCATTTGTCTTTTAAGTAGATTGTTTAGTCCATTTATGTTACTGACATGGTTAGGTTTAAGCTTATCATTTTGCTCATTGTTTTCTAATTCTTTTCTTTTCCCCTTTTATCCAAAAGTAGGCAAAATCGAAGGAATAATAGAGTACTTTTATTATGCCATTTTTCTCCTTTTAGGTTTTTACTTAACATTTTATTGTAACTTTTTATGGTTACCCTAGAGATTACAGTATGCCTCCTTGATTTATTATAGTCCATCTTAAATTAGCATACTTACCATATTTCAAGTAAACAAGTATTTTTTTTTTGAGATGGAGTTTCACTGTTGTTGCCCAGGCTGGAGCGCAATGGCATGATCTCGGCTCACTGCAACTTCTGCCTCCTGGGTTCAAGCGATTCTCCTGCCTCAGCCTCCCGAGTAGCTGGGATTACAGGCATGTGCCACCACACCCGGCTAATTTTGTATTTTTAGTGGAGATGGGGTTTCACCATGTTGGCCAGGCTGGTCTTGAACTCCTGACCTCGTGATCCACCCACCTTGGCCTCCCAAAGTGCTGGATTATAGGTGTGAGCCACTGTGCCTGGCCTAATTTTTGTGTTTTTAGTAGAGATGGGGTTTTGCCATGTTGGCCAGGCTGGTCTCAAACTCCTGACCTTGTGATCCGCCCGCCTCAGCCTCCCAAAGTGTTGGGATTACAGGTGTGAGCCACAGCACCCAGCCAAGAATCTTGCAATCTGAAAAGTCTACCCACATCTTACTGTTGTTTTGGTCAACATTATATTTCTACGTATCTCCAAAATACATTATTTTATTGTTATTGTTTTAAATAGTAATTATTATTTTATATTTGTTAGTACGTTTTTTTCTTTACAGTTTTCTTATTCTTTCCAGTGGTTCTGAATTTACAACTAGGATTATTTTCATTCAGCGTGAACATCTTTCTGTATTTTTTTTCTGAGACAGGATCTCACTCTGTCACCCATGCTGGCATGCAGTGGCAGGATCTCGGCTCACTCCAACCTCAGCTTCCCAGGCTCAAGTGATCTTCCAGCCTCAGCCTCCCAAGCAGCTGGGACTACAGGCTCAAGTCATACACCCAGCTAATTTTTGTATTTTTATTTTTTAGAGATAGGGTTTTGTCATTTTGCCCAGGCTGGTTGTGAACTTCTCAGCTCAAAGTGATTGGCCTGACCTAGCCTCCCAAAGTACTGGGATTATAGGCATAAGCCACTACGCCCAGCATGAACATCTTTCTTTAGTATTTCTTATAATTGAGGCCTCCTGATGATTAGTTCTCTCACAGTTTGTTGTCTGAAAATGTCTTTATTTCACCTTTATTTTTATTTTATTATTAAAAATATTGAGACAGGGTCTCACTGTGTTTCCCAGGGTGGTCTCCTGGGCTGAAGCAGTCCTCCCTTCTTGGCTTCCCAAAGTGTTGGGAATACAGGAGTGAGCCACCATGCCTGGCATTATTTTACCTTTATTTTTGAAGGAAATTTTTAGGCTACATAGAATTCTAAGTTGGCAGTTGGCAGTTATCTTTGTTTTGTTTTAGAGACAGGGTCCTGCTTTGTCATCCAGGCTGGAGTACAGTGGCATGATCACAGATCACTGTTAACCTCAACTCCTGACTCAAGTGATCCTCCCACCTCAGCCTCCTGAGTAGCAGGGACTACAGGTGTGCATCACCACACCCAAGTAACTTTTTTATTTTGTGTAAAGATGAGGTCTTGTTGTGTTGCCCAGGCTGGTCTCCAACTCCTGGCCTCAAGCAATCCTCCCATCTCAGCCTCCCAAAATGCTGGGATTACAGGCATGAGCCACCACTCCTGGCTGACATTTTGTTTTTCAGCACTTTAAAAATATTATTCCATTAAGGATTCCATAGTTTCAGATGAAAAGTCAACTGTTGCAAAGTAATGTGTCTCTTTTCTTTGACTGCGGTGAAATTTTTTCTTTGCCTTTGTTTTCAGCAGACTTGCTCTTCTCTCCCTCCCTCTCTTTTTCCCTCTCTCTGGTATGTGTGTGCTTGTGTATCTTATGTATTCAGATTCATCCTGTTGGGGGTTTTCTGAACTTTCAGATTCTTTGGTTGATGTATTTTATCAATTTTGAAAATCTAGCCATTACCTCTTCAAAGATTATTCCTGCCTTGTTTTCACTCTCTTTTTCTTTGTTTTTAGTTACATATATATTAGAACTTTTCACTGTGTCCCATATTTCTTAGGCACTGTTATACCTTTTTCAATCCTTTGTTTCTCCTTGTACTTCAGTTTTTCTCTTCTCTATTGACCTGACAATAGTAAATTCTATTGAAATTTACTAATTCTATTTTCTGCTCAATTTTAGGTATTTTATTTTTAAGCCCTAGAAATGCCCATCTTAATCTTGTTTAATAGATTCTGTTCCATTTAAACTTTCAAGTTTTTCATTTACTGCATGTTCTTTTTTTTTTCTTTTTCTTTTTTTTTTTTTTTGAGATGGAGTCTCGCTCTGTCGCCCAGGCTGGAGTGCAGTGGCGGGATCTCGGCTCACTGCAAGCTCCGCCTCCCGGGTTCACGCCATTCTCCTGCCTCAGCCTCCCAAGTAGCTGGGACTACAGGCGCCCGCCACTACGCCCGGCTAATTTTCTGTATTTTTAGTAGAGACGGGGTTTCACCGTTTTAGCAGGGATGGTCTCGATCTCCTGACCTCGTGATCCGCCCGCCTCGGCCTCCCAAAGTGCTGGGATTAGGCGTGAGCCACCGCGCCCGGCCTTTTTTTTCTTTAACACAGTAATCAGAGTTATTTTAAAATCAGGATTATTTAATGGTCTGCTTCTTTTGCCTATGTTGTCTCTTGTTTATAAATCATGTTGCTCTGCCTTCTCACATGTTTAACAACCTTTTAATGTAAGATATTGTGTATTTAAAAAGCATAAGATATTCAGGAAATACTATCTTCTACCAGAAAGTATTTATTATTTGCTCTGTTAAGCAAATAGGGTGAATAACAACTGTAATTCGGGATTTGACAGGATCAGGGCTTGGTTGTAGTTTTAGTATGATTGAAATGCAGTTTGTCTCTTTTGTGTCTAAAACTTGGGTATTCCCCCTCCCCTTCCACCCCACCACCACCTGGGGCTTTTGATTGAGAAACTAAAAGATCTCTGCCTTCTCATCCCCCAAAGATAAGAAGAGTCAGTTCTGCCTTTCAGAGGTGTTGAGCTCGCTCTTTGGCTTGCCATGCTCTTCAGCACTGAAATGTCTTCAGGGGCCAGGTGTGGTTGCTCACACATGTAATCCCAGCACTTTGGGAAGCTGAGGCGGGTGGATCACTTCAGGCCAGGAGTTCGAGACCAGCCTGGCCAACATGGCAAAACCCTGTCTCTATTAAAAATTAAAAAAATTTGCCAGGTGTGGTGGCATGCATCTGTAATTCCAGCTACTCAGCAGACAGGCATGAAAATCGCTTGAACCCAGGAGGCGGAAGATGCAGTGAGGCATGTTTGATGCATGTTTTCTAGACTATTCAATGAAAAAACAGTCCCGTACTTTCTTTAAAATTTATGTTAAATCTCATTGCATGAAGGAATTTACTCCAGTGCTTCTGTCTGAATTCATATAGATTGGGATCTTGCCAGATGATCAAATATTTGCAGATACTATTTTGTACTTTTATCTTTCTAATATTTTGTGAACATCTTTGCAAATAGATTATATGCCACTCGGCATGGAGGAATTTGCTTAATACTTTAAAAAAAACTTCCTTCCTTCCTTCCTTCCTTCCCTCTTTCCTTCCTTCCTTCTTCCCTCCCTCCCTTTCTCTCTCTTCTCTTCCCTCCTCTCCCCTCCCCTCCCCTCCCCTCCCCTCCCCTTCTCTTCTCTTCTCTTCTCTTTTCTTCTTTCTTATGTTTTTTTGAGATGGGATTTCACTCTGTTGCCCAGGCTGGAGTGCAGTGGCACAATCAAGGCCCACTGCAGACTCAACCTCCCCAGGCTCAGATGATCGTCCCACTTTAGCCTTCTGAGTAGCTGGGACTACAGGTGAGTACCACCATGCCTGGCTAATTTTTGTATTTTTTTGTAGATACATGGTTTTGCCATGTTGCCCAGGCTGGTCTCCAACTCCTAGGCTCAAGTGATCCTTTTGCCCTGGCAACCCAAAGTGCTAGGATTACTGGTGTGAGCCACTGCGCCTGGCCTAAAAAAACGATTTTCCATAGAACCTAAGCACATAGTATTTTAGTTAATTTTTCTCTAAAATTTTCCAACTTTTATTGAAATGTAATTGACATATAATTAACTGTACACATTTAAAGTGTACAGTGTGATGAAGTTTGACATATGTCATCTTTGTATTTTTAAAAAACAAAAACAAAAACATAGAATTATTTTCATTTTGGGTGTCAGATTCTAATTTAAATTTAGTTTAGGAATTTTTTGCTGCTTTTCGCATTACTCAGAAATAACTTTTGGCTGGGCACGGTGACTCACATTTGTAATCCCAGCACTTTGGGAGACTGAAGTGAGCAGATCACTTGAGGTTAGGAGTTCAAGACCAGCCTGGCCAACATGGTGAAACCTCGTCTTTACTAAAACTACAAAAATTAGCCTGGCATGGTGGCACCTGTAATCCCAGTTACTCAGGAGGCTGAGGCAGGAGAATTGTTTGAATCTGGGAGGTGGAAGTTGCAGTGAGCTGAGGTGGCACCACTGCACTCCTGCCTAGGTAACAAAGTGAGACTCCATCTTTAAAAAAAAAAGGAGAACTTCCCCAACCTAGCAAGGCAGGCCAACATTCAAATTCAGGAAATACAGAGAACACCACAAAGATACTCCTTGAGAAGAGCAACCCAAAGACACATAATCTTCAGATTCACCAAGGTTGAAATGAAGGTCACGTTGCCCACAAAGGGAAGCCCATCAGACTAACAGGGGATCTCTCGGCAGAAAACCTGCAAGCCAGAAGAGACTGGGGGCCAATATTCAACATTCTTAAATAAAAGAATTTTCAACCCAGAATTTCACATCCAGCCAAACTAAGGTTCAGAAGTGAAGGAGAAATAAAATCCTTTACAGACAAGCAAATGCTGAGAGATTTTGTCACCACCAGGCCTGCCTTACAAGAGCTCCTGAAGGAAGCACTAAACATGGAAAGGAACAATTGGTACCAACCACTGCAAAAACATGCCAAATTGTAAAGACCATCGATGCTAGGAAGAAACTGTATCAATTAATGGGCAAAATAACCAGCTAACATCATAATAACAGGATCAAATTCACACATAACAATATTAACCTTAAATGTAAATGGGCTAAATTCCCCAAATAAAAGACACAGACTGGCAGATTGGATAAAGAGTCAAGACACATCAGTGTGCTGTATTCAGGAGACCCATCTCATGTGCAGAAACACACATAGGCTCAAAATAAAGGGATGGAGGAAGATCTACCAAGCAAATGGAAAACAAAATAACACAAAAAAGCAGGGGTTGCAATCCTAGTCTCTGATAAAACAGACTTTAAAACAACAAAGATCAAAAGAGACAAAGAAGGCCATTACATAATGGCAAAGAGATCAATTCAACGAGAAGAGCTAACTGTCCTAAATATATACGCACCCAATACAGGAGCACCCAGATTCATAAAGCAAGTCCTTATACACCTACAAAGAGACTTAGACTCCCACACAATAATAATTGGAGACTTTAACACCCCACTGTCAATTTTAGACAGATCAGTGACACAGAAGGTTAACAAGGATATCCAGGAATTGAACTCAGCTCTGCACCAAGCGGACCTGATAGACATCTACAGAACTCTCCACCCCAAATCAACAGAATATACATTCTTCTCAGCACCACATGACACTTATTCCAAAATCAACCACATAGTTGGAAGTAAAGCTCTCCTCAGCAAATGTAAAAGAACAGAAATCACAACAAACTGTCTCTCAGACCACAGTGCAATCAAACTAGAACTCAGGATTAAGAAACTCACTCAAAACTGCTCAACTACATGGAAACTGAACAACTTGCTCCTGAATGACTACTGGGTACATAACGAAATGAAGGCAGAAATAAAGATGTTCTTTGAAACCAATGGGAACAAAGACACAACATACCAGAATCTCTGGGACACATTTAAAGCAGTGTGTAGAGGGAAATTTATAGCACTAAATGCCCACAAGAGAAAGCAGGAAAGATCTAAAATTGACACCCTAACATCACAATTAAAAGAACTAGAGAAGCAAGAGCAAACACATTCAAAAGCTAGCAGAAGGCAAGAAATAACTAAGATCAGAGCAGAACTGAAGAAGATAGAGACACAAAGAACCCTTAAAAAAATCAATGAATCCAGGAGCTGGTTTTTTGAAAAGATCAACAAAATTGATATACCACTAGCAAGACTAATAAAGAAGAAAAGAGAGAAGAATCAAATAGATGCAATAAAAAATGATAAAGGGGATATCACCACTGATCCCACAGAAATACAAACTACCATCAGAGAATACTATAAACACCTCTACGCAAATAAACTAGAAAATCTAGAAGAAATAGATAAATTCCTGGACACATACACCCTCCCAAGACTAAACCAGGAAGAAGTTGAATCCCTAAATAGACCAATAACAGGCTCTGAAATTGAGGTAATCATTAATAGCCTACCAACCAAAAAAAGGTCCAGGACCAGACAGATTCATAGCCGAATTCTACCAGAGGTACAAAGAGGAGCTGGTACCATTCCTTCTGAAACTATTCCAATCAATAGAAAAAGAGGGAATGCTCCCTAACTCATTTTATGAGGCCAGCATCATCCTGATACCAAAGCCTGGCAGAGACACAACAAAAAAAGAGAATTTTATACCAATATCCCTGAAGAACATCAATGCAAAAATCCTCAATAAAATACTGGCAAACTGAATCCAGCAGCACAACAAAAAACTTATCCACCAAGATCAAGTTGGCTTCATCCCTGGGATGCAAGGCTGGTTCAACATACCTAAATCAATAAACGTAATCCATCACATAAACAGAACCAAAGACGAAAAACACATGATTATCTCAATAGATGCAGAAAAGGCCTTCGACAAAATTCAATAGTGCTTCAAGTTAAAAACTCTCAATAAACTATTGATGGAACATATCTAAAAATAATAAGAGCTATTTATGACAAACCCACAGCCAATATCATACTGAATGGGCAAAAACTGGAAGCATTCCCTTTAAAAACTGGCACAAGACGGGGATACCCTCTCTTACAACTCCTATTCAACATAGTGTTGGAAGTTCTGGCCAGGGCAATCAGGCAAGAGAAAGAAAGAAAGGGTATTCCATTAGGAAAAGAGGAAGTCAAATTGTCCCTGTTTGCAGATGAAATTATTGTATATTTAGAAAACCCCATCGTCTCAGCCCAAAATCCCCTTAAGTTGATAAGCAAATTCGGCAAAGTCTCAGGATACAAAATTAATGTGCAAAAATCACAAGCATTCCTACACACCAATAACAGACAAACAGAGAGCCAAATCATGAAGGAACTCCCATTCACTATGGCTACAAAGAGAATAAAATACCTAGGAATCCAACTTACAAGGGATGTGAAGGACCTCTTCAAAGTGAACTACAAACCACTGCTCAACGAAATAAAAGAGGACACAAATAAATGGAAGAACATTCCATGCTCATGGACAGGAAAAATCGATATTGTGAAAATGGCCATACTGCCAAAGGTAATTTATAGATTCAATGCCATCCCCATCAAGCTACCAATGACTTTCTTCACAGAATTGGAAAAAACTACTTTCAAGTTCACACGGAAGCAAAAAAGAGCCCACTTTGCGAAGCCAATCCTAGGCAAAAAGAACAAAGCTGGAGGCATCACGCTACCTGATTTCAAACTACACTACAAGGCTACAGTCACGAAAACAGCATGCTACTGGTACCAAAACAGAGATATAGACCAATGGAATGGAACAGAGGCCTCAGAAACAACACCACACATCTACAACCATCTGATCTTTGACAAACCTGACAAAAACAAGAAATGGGGAAAGGATTCCCTATTTAATAAATCATGCTGGGAAAACTGGCTAGCCATATGTAGAAAGCTGAAACTGGATCCCTTCCTTACACCTTATACAAAAATTAATTCAAGGTGGATTAAAGACTTAAATCTTAGACCTAAAACCATAAAAACCCTAGAAGAAAACCTAGGCAATACCATTCAGGACATAGGCATGAACAAAGACTTCATGACTAAAACACCAAAAGCAATGGCAACAAAAGCCAAAATTGACAAATGGGATCTAATTAAACTAAAGAGCTTCTGCACAGCAAAAGAAACTACCATCAGAGTGAACAGGCAACCTACAGAATGGGAGAAAATTTTTGCAATCTACTCATCTGACAAAGGGCTAATATCCAGAATCTACAAAGGACTTAAACAAATTTATAAGAAAAAAATCAAACAACGCCATCAAAAAGTGGGCAAAGGATATGAACAGACACTTCTCAAAAGAAGACATTTATGTAGCCAACAGACACATGAAAAAATGCTCATCATCACTGGTCATCAGAAAAATGCAAATCAAATCCACAATGAGATACCATCTCACACCAGTTAGAATGGCGATCATTAAAAAGTCAGGAAACAACAGGTGCTGAAGAGGATGTGGAGAAATAGGAACACTTTTATACTGTTGGTGGGACTGTAAACTAGTTCAACCATTGTGGAAGACAGTGTGGCGATTCCTCAAGGATCTAGAACTAGAAATACCATTTGACCCAGCCATCCCATTACTGGATATATACCCAAAGGATTATAAATCATGCTACTATAAAGACACATGCACACGTATGTTTATTGTGGCACTATTCACAATAACGAAGACTTGGAATCAACCCAAATGTCCATCAATGATAGACTGGATTAAGAAAATGTGGCACATATACACCATGGAATACTATGCAGCCATAAAAAAGGATGAGTTCATGTCCTTTGTAGGTACATGGGTGAAGCTGGAAACCATCATTCTGAGCAAACTATCGCAAGGACAGAAAACCAGACACCACATGTTCTCACTCATAGGTGGGAATTGAACAATGAGAACACTTGGACACAGGGTGGGGAACATCACACACAGGGGCCTGTCGTGGGGTGGAGGGAGGCAGGAGGGACAGCATTAGGAGAAATACCTAATGTAAATGACGAGTTAATGGGTGCCGCAAACCAACATGGCACATGTATACATATGTAACAAACCTGCATGTTGTGCACATGTACCCTAGAACTTAAAGTATAATAAAAAAATTTGAATAACTTTTGTTATGTTGTTGGTCAAATTATCATCTTTTTTCAATCCTATAATCAGTGATTAGGCTTTGAGTGTATAGTTTTAAGTGCAGTATTTACTGGAAATGGATAGTTTTCTAAGTGTTGGTTCTCACTCAAATGTGCATGACTGGTATATGTTCTATGTAACCTTCATTAATTCAGTCTTGACAGTGTATTTTTATTTTTTAGTACCTTCCAATCATCTTTATGGTTTAAAAAAAAGCTTGTATAAGTAACACATGTTTAATATAGAAAACAAGCAAAAGAGTAAAAATTACCTATCATCCCAGACGTAGAATTTTACATTCTATGTGTATGGCATTTTTATAAAGTGTATTTTCTTCTAGGCTATGCGCAGTGGCTCACACCTGTAATCCCAGCACTTTGGGAGCCTGAGGTGGGTGGATCACGAGGTCAGGAGTTCAAGATTAGCCTGACCAACATGGTGAAAACCTATCTCTACTAAAAATACAAAAATTAGCCGCGCATGGTGGCTTGTGCCTGTAATCCCAGCTACTCGGGAAGCTGAGGCAGGAGGATCGCTTGAACCTGGAAGGCGGAAGGTTGTAGTGAGCCGAGATCACACCACTGAACTCCAGCCTGGGCAACAGAGTGAGACTCTGTCTCAAAAATAAATAAATAAATAAATAGTGTGTTTTCTTCTATTCTATTTGTTGCTCAGCCAGAACTCATTTTCTTATTTTTCCACCTTAACCCAACCTCTGTGTTGTTCATACAGCCATGTGTCTTTGGCACATAAGGTAAAATTTCACATCATCTGCGGCCAAATGAGGTAAATAATAAAAAGGTAAGGTAATACGTGTTCTGATAAATCTATTCTATTAAGCAACCTTCTTTATTTTGAAATTGTGTAATTTTTAAAAATAATTATAATATTCTATCTTTTATAAAATTATAATGATTAAATTAAAACGTTATTCTTGGCAAGGCAAGGTGGCTCATACCTGTAATCCCAGCACTTTGGGAGGCCAAGGCAGGAGAATCACTTGAACCCAGGAGTTTGAGACCAGCCTGGTCACATAGCAAGACCTTATCTCTACAAAAAATTTAAAAAATTAGCCAGGTGTGGTGGTGCCTGCTTGTAGTCCCAGCTATTTGGGAGGCTAGGGTAGGAGGACTGCTTGAACCTTGGAGGTCAAGGCTACAGTGAGCCATGATCACACCACTGTACTGCAGCTTGGATGACAGAGCAAGATCCTGTCTCAAAAAAATATATTTTTTTTTGTTGAAAAGTTTGTAATCCTATGTGTATGGTGTTTCTATAATAGAGCCTTGCCACTCAACATGTGGTCTGTGGACTAGCATCATTGACATCATATGGGAACTGGTAAAAACACAGAACCTCTGGCCCAACCCCAGACCTCATGTCATGAAGCAGAATCTATACTTTAACAAGCCTCTTTAGGTAATTCACATACACATTAAATGAGAAGTGCTGGTCTAGACACTATCCATCCACTGTATATATTAGCCCCTTTGACTTTTTTTTTTGAGACCGAGTCTTGCTCTGTCTCCCAAGCTGGAGTTGGAGTGCAGTGGTGCGATCTTGGCTCACTACAACCTCCGCCTCCCGGGTTCAAGCGATTCTCCTGTCTCGCCCTCCCGAGTAGCTGTGACTACAGGCCCTTGCCACCACATCCGGCTGATTTTTTTAATTTTTACTAGAGATGGGGTTTTACCATGTTAGCCAGGATGGTCTTGATCTCCTGACCTTGTGATATGCCCGCCTCGGCCTCCCAAAGTGCTGGGATTACAGGCATGAACCACCACGCCTGGCCGCTTTGACTCTTACTGTAAGCTATTCTACACTTCCATCTACCCAATTGCTCAATTCAGAAACCTGGGACTTCTCTTTGACCCCAGCTTGTCCCACCCCTTCGCTATCTTTCCCCATACCAAATTAGTCACTAAATCTTATTATAATCTCAATGTATATACAATCTATCCACTTCTCTCCAGGTTCCACTTCTCTCCACTGTTGCCACTTTAGTCAAAGCTACCATCATCTTTTTGCTTGGATGATTGTAACTAAAACTTCCTAACTGTTCTCCCTTTTCTACTCTTTCTCTCCTGACATTCATTATGAATTCATCAGCCAGATTGAGCTTTAAAAAATGGTAAATTAGATTGTAAAATGACACTGAGATGGGACAGTTCCTTTGACCTCCTCTCAGGACTTTAGATGGGTGTGGTTCGTTCACTTGGTTACTGAGCTCAGCTCAAATCCCCTGCAAAAGGGGGAGCATGCAGGTGAGCGGGTGCAGGAGCTGGTGCAACTACGTTTGGATGCTGGCAGGAACAAACTCTGTACCGGCCTGCGGCAGCGTCTAGGGGCTGCCCATGACCTCTGGAGCCCTAGAGGGCATGTGTTACAAACAATGCTCTTTTAGCTTTGCCATCTGTGGACGGCAGAAGTGTTAAACAGCTCAGTGAAGAATCAATGTGACAGCCTTTTTGGGTTCCCACACCCAGTGCATGCTGAATCCTTGTCCGGTGTGGAGGAAGAATTGGATCACACGAACGGACTGAAGGGTGGTGTATGTGGAGGGTTCTATTGAGCGATGAAAGTGGCTCTTAGTGGCCATTTTCTTGCTGCAAGAAATGTTAAGGAAATGTCTGTATGTGCTTATCACAGTGCCTGGTATGTGCTGACTAAATGAATATCATTATTATTTCTTTAGTGGGATGGGGAGCTAAAGGGGATGGAGTGGGAAGATAATCTTCTCTTGGAGTTTGGCCATCCCAACTGAACTCCTCTCCGACTGTAGTCTCCGATGTCCAGCTGCCTCTTCTCCTCTCGACATTCAGATGCTTCTTCCCTTCTCTCCTTCTCTGCTGCGCCGCTCTGCTCCTCTGCCAGTGGAGCTTGGGGTTTTTATGGGTACGGGGTGGGGGGCGTGGCAGGCCAGGGTGGTTTTGGAATAGGCAACATTCAGGTGGAAAAACAGGAATGCATATTCTCATTTATGGCCACGGGTCCAGGCTTGAGGGTGTAGCCCTCGCCAGGGACCACCTTTCTCTACTCAGTGTTTCCCTGCCTCCTGTCTGTATCAACACTATTGAGAATTCTTCAGTGAATTTTCATTTGCACATAAGGTAAAAATACAAAATCTATACGGCTTACATTGTCTTTCTTTCCAATCTAATTTCCTATCTCTTTCCCTGGTTCCATACTTAAGGATCACTAGCTTGGAAAAAGCCAAGCTCTTTTCTTGCTCAGGGCCTTGGCACAAGGTTTGTCCCCTGCCTGGAACACCTCCCTTCCTCTCACTCTTAGCCTAACTACTTCCTATGCATCTTCAAGTTTCAAGTGACAAGTCGTTTACCTACAGGGACTTTTCTGACCCCCAATCAATATTAGTCTTTCTGGTCATTCTCTCATAACAATGTACTTGTTCCCAATAGCACTTATAACAGCTTGCAATTATTTAAATATTTGTATGCTTCCGTATTTAATGTTTGTCTCTCTCATTAGCCAGTAATCTAAGAGGTCAGAGATCGAGTATTCTGTTCAACATTGTATCCTAAGTAGCTGGCACACAGGAGGGGATTCCAAAAAATTTATTGAGTAAATGAATCAATGATTCCAATTTTACTGATCTATATTATATTACAGGTGTGAAAAATACAACTGATTTGACTAAGTTGATTGGTTATATTTTTGTTGTAAGCATTAAGATTAGTTATAGGCACACTTGCTCCCCGGATATATTTAATTTAAAACAATACAAGCTTTAAGGATTACCTTTAAATAAATAACATTTTATAAAATTAATTTATAGGTAATTTATTTATAAATAAATTTATAAATTATAGCAAATTAATTTTAATTTAAATAAATTTATAGAGACGTTATGTATAAATTTAATTTACAGGTTTTCGCTATAGTTAAAACTTAGATTTTATGGGGAAGCAGATCTGCTCTTTACCTTGTCACTTACTGGTTGTATAAAGGTAATTGGCCAGTTACCTTCTTTGTCACAGTTTCCTCATCTGATTGTTGTAAGAAGTGTTGAGGAAACTTCTGTATGTGCTCATCACAGTGCCTGGTATGTGCTGACTAAATAAATATCATTATTATTTCCTTATTAACTTTTACTTTGTTTAGCTCAGCAGCAGCTTGTGGTTCATGATGCAATTAATATATCTGCTGGCAGTTAAAAGGACCTGTAGTAAAGGAAAGGGTTAAACTGTACTGTCTTTTGTTTCTGGAAGACAGCTAGTGTGGGGGTGCAGTTACGGCCCCAGGAAGATATAAACAAGTAGGGGCTGGAACGTGTCTTTCTGTTCTGTGACAGGACTCCTGTCTTTGACATTAATTTAAAGCTTTCTAGGGCTGTCAAGAAAAGCAGTTTCTTTGCCTTCCTAATGGCTGGGTACAACTTATGTTAGTCTTTGTTTGGTTTCTATAAAAATACTTTTTATTGCAAAATCCTGTTTTTGGTTTACTCTTGTTTAAACAAAGTTTATGAAATGTTACAAAGCAATGTACCCCAACTTACTGCTCAAATCAATCTGCCACGCCTCCAGCACCAAGGGGTTGGGGTGGACATTGGTGGGCGGCTAAGACCCAGTGAGGGGCTGTAACTATTGCCTGAGATGGAGGAAAATGCTAAAGAGACAAAGTAGGGGGTCTAGTTAGAGAAATTGATAAGCAGAACTACTACTCTAATGGGAAGGGGATAGCTCCTGATTATTATTTACATGTTTTTTCAAATCATGGGTAAACCTATAGATAAATGTATGCTTACTTAGTCCAAGAACTGGGAGTGCTTGGAGAAAAGGACCATTAAGCTGTTTCCCACTCATGTAATAAAATGGAATTCTGATCAAAGTTCCATATTAACAGGAACGAGCGAGCACATCGTGTCCTTACACCTTTATCTGCCTTTCCTCATCTAAAATGCCACAGCTCATTATGTTGCGTCTCATTTGGAACTATGAACATACTTGTAAGGCTCAGTCAGTGACTGTTCCTTAGTGCCTCTTTTAAGTGTGATGTTTATCTAGCTTCTCATTCAGGGAGGCACAGCCACTTTGAGTCTGCAGGTGAGTCCTTTTTCATTTGTGTGTTGCAATATCAGGGGGCTGGGTGTGGGGAGTGTCCCTCAATCAGACAGATCTCTTTGGAGATCCCAGATAACACATTCCCAAGGTTTTTTTGTTTTTAATTTTTTCAGAGAGAGAGAGATGGGGTATTGTTGATGCCTTAAGAGATTATTATAAACAGTTCCTCAGAAAGCCCAGTGATTTTGCTAAATCGGCTCACCATGTTCTTTAGGCATATGTTTTAATAATTATAATGATAGGATAAGGGCTTTAGAGACATGAAAATGTGTACACCAGTCTTTTTTGGGCAATAGGATCACGCAGTTTTCCTGTCCAAGTATTTCTTAGCTTTGCAGCTAACTGTGAATGTTTTTTAAAAAATTGGTTTGAATAAGATGCAAAGGCATATGGAGCTGTGTATGTGGCATTTTGATTTTTTTTCTCACCTACTGCTTACTCCCTCCCCCCTACTGCACACATAGTCTCTATCTGTAGACTATCTAGTGTGTCCAGGTTCCTATGCTCCAAATAAACATACCTCCTTACATTTGGCCAGCCAACTGACATGGTGGGTTGTAAGGATTAATGAGTTGATACATGGAACATGCTTAGACCAGTCTCCAGCACACAGAAAACACTCAAATGTTAGTCATTGTTATTATTTATTGGGTGTCCATTATTTGCAAAGGGACCTTATGTTCTGAAAGGCATATTAGGTAAAGAGCAATCTTCTAATAGCTAGAAATACAGAAGGGGAGACAGGACAGGTACACTACAGCCAGAGAGGTTGTTGAAAAAACAATCTAATCATGTCTATGGCATTAAAATCCTTAAATCCTGACCAGGCCATTAGTGGTCTGGCCTCTACCTACCCATTCAGCCCCATCTTGCACCACCCTCTCTTTTATTCTCTAAATTCTAGTTATATTAAGTTCATTTATTTCCTAGGATGGAAGCTCTAAGGAGGAAGGACTTTTCTTCTGCTTTTGTTTAGTAATGGAGCCCTTGCACCTGAGATGGTGTCTGCCATATAGGAAGAGATCAACATATGTCAGGTTTAGCATTTGCTGCTCTCTCTTACTTTTTTTTTTTTTTTTTTTTTTGAGACAGAGTCTCACTCTGTCGCCCAGGCTGGAGTGCAGTAGCATGATCCCGGCTCACTGCAACCTCTGCCTTCCAGGTTCAAGCAAGTCCCCTCCTCAGCCACCTGAGTAGTTGGCATTACACGTGCGTGCCACAATGCCCAGCTAATTTTTGTATTTTTAGTAGAGATGGGAATTTCACCATGTTGGCCAGGCTGGTCTCGAACTCCCGACCTCAAGTGATCTGCCTGCCTCAGCCTCCCAAAGTGCTGGGATTACAGGCGTGAGCCACCGTGCCTGGCCTTGCTCGCTCTTACTTGCACACACCCCACTCCTTATCCGTACCACCACCCTTCACTGAGCTGCTCTCTACTACTGGGTTTCATATCACTTCTTTAGAGAATCATTTCCCGACACCTTCATTTGAATTAAATTTCCATCCTATGTACTCTTTTACTACTGTGAACTTTTTAACTTCTATTTGTTTAAAGTATGAAGAGGATCATATCTGTTTTGATCACTTTATATCCTCGGGTCCTAGTTTATTGCCTGAGTAACTGAAAGTTCTCAATTTATTGAAGTAAAAAATAGCTCTTATGGAAGGTAGAATAAGATAAGTGTTGTAATGCCACGAGAGGAATATAAAGTGCTCAAAATTTAAAGGAGAAAAATACTATTTACAATGACAAGAGTCAAGGAATGTTTAATGGAGGATACAGCATTTGAGCTGGGCTTAATCGGAGGCGGTAGGAATTGGAGGTGGTAGGAAATGTCCTTGAGAAAAATCAATAGCCTGAGCAAATTCAAAGAAGTGGTATAGGTGCTGTGGTGTGCCACCAGGAACCCTCTTCAGAGCTAAGGCACTCATTTGCTCAACTGATGGAATCCTGGTCTGTGGATGGCTTAAGGTTAAGTCCCTTTCCAGGAACTGTGCACAAACAAAGCGAGCTCCTTCACCCAAATTGATGCTACTACCTCCCCAGGGCAATCAGAATACATTGACTGGACAGCAGGGCCCCCTTGCCTCAATGTGGGGCATGTAGGATTGACCAGAATCTCTGTTGTAACTGCTTCATAGTTCCAACATCTCCCTCTATGTAACTCTACTTCCTTCCTTTCTTTACAGGAGAGTGTGCCTCCATAAACTTCTTGTGCACAGATCTCTGTCTCAAAGTCTGTTTCCTATGGAACCCAATCAATGACAAGTAGGCATTGTAAAACTTGCACAAGAGGATCATTTAGCCTAGAGAAGAGGGTTTTTGTTTGTTTGTTTGTTTTCTAAAGCAACTGAGTCTAGCCAGGCGAGGTGGCTTATGCCTGTAATCCCAGCACTTTGGGAGGTGGAGGCGGGCAGATCACTTGAGGTCAGGAGTTCGAGACCAGCCTGGCCAACATGATGAAACCCCGTCTCTACTAAAAATACAAAAAAAAAAATTAGCCGGAAGTGGTGGCACATGCCTGTAATCCCAGCTACTTGGGAGGCTGAGGCAGGAGAATCACTTGAACCTGGGAGGCAGAGGTTGCAGTGAACTGAGACTGTGCCACTGCACTCCAGCCTGGGTGACAAAGCCAGACTCTGTCTCAATAAATAAATAAATAAATAAATAAATAAGCAACTGAATCTCTTCAAAAAAATTCCTTTTTTAAGACTCTGGCTCTGTTGCCCAGGCTGGAGTGCAGTGGCACAGTCTCGGCTCACTGCAACCTCTGCCTCCCAGGTTCAAGTGATTCTCCTGCCTCAGCCTCCCCAGTAGCTGGGATTACAGGCGCCCACCACCACGCGGGGCTAACTTTTGTATTTTTAGTAGAGATGGAGTTTTACCATGTTGGACCAGGCTGGTCTCGAACTCCTGACTTTAAGTGATCCGCCCACCCCGGCCTCCCAAAATGCTGGGATTACAGACATGAGCCACCGCACGTGGCCTCTTCAGTAAAATTCTCATTTGGAGGCATCAACATGTAAATCAGGTGAAGGGAGAGTTCTAGTGTTTGAAGTGGGATGAGTGGCAGGATCCTTGCCTGTTTGCTCCGTTATCTCACGCCAAGATGGCTCTGAGAGGGCTTTACACAGCCCCTAGGGCTTATTCACAATTTGAAAACCAGTAGGAAAATCATAACGTCAGTGAAATAGATCAGGAAAAAAAGTAAGACCAGGCAATTGAGTGCTTTGAATGTCAGAACAGGAAATCTGGACATTATTCTGGAGGTCGGGGGTAGTAGGATAAGGAGAGTACTGATAGTATTGAATTAATGGAATAATGTAAGGATTGCACTGAGGCAGTTATTTTTCCCATTTGGAAAAAACAAAATCTCTACCACATATTGTATTACAATTTCCGGTGGATTAAAGACATACATATAAGTAAACCCTACAATTACTACAGAAATGTAAATATCATCTACATGCCAATTTAAAAAATCTCTGGCTTTAGGCCAGGGGCAGTGGCTCACACTTGTAATCCCAGCATTTTGAGAGGCTGAGGTGGGAGGATTGTTTGAGCTTAGGAGCTTGAGATCAGCCTCGGCAACATAGCGAAACCTCGTCTCCACTAAAAATAAAAATAAAAATAAAAAAATTAGCCAGGTTTGGTGGCATGTGCTTGTAGTCCCAGCTACTCAGGAAGGTGAGATGGGAAGATCATTTGAGCCCAGGAGTTTGAGGCTGCAGTGAGCTGGGATTGCGCTCACTGCAGCCTAGGGGACAGCGTGAGACCTTGTCTCCAAAACATAAAATAAAATCCCTGGCTTTGACCCCTTTCTGAATTTCCAAACGTGTATTTCCAAATGCCTCCTTAACATCTTGCATGGTTGTCTAACCAGCACCCACTTAACATGGCCAAAACAGGCTCTCACTTCTGTTTCTTCCATCACTTTCTAGTCTTTTCTATCTTAGTCATTAGTTCTCCATTTTATTTAGGTACTTATGTATTCATTATTTTTAAATAAAGAATAGAGATGAGGTCTTACTATGTTGCCCATACTGGTCTTAACCTCTTGGGCTCAAGCAATCCTTCGGCCTTGGCCTTCCAAAGTATTAGGATTACAGGCATGAGCCACCTCACCCGACCTCTCCATTTTATTTACAGTTTAAGGTCAAAATAGAATTACTGTTACTGGCCGGGTGCAGTGGCTCACGCCTGTAATCCCAGCACTCTGTGGGGCCGAGGCAGGCGGATTACCTGAGGTCAGGAGTTTGAGATCAGCCTGACCAACATGGTGAAACCCCATCTCTACTAAAAATACAAAAAAAAAAAAATTAGCTGGGCGTGGTGGTGGGCGCCTGTAATCCCAGCTACTCAGGAGGCTGAGGCAGGAGAATCGCTTGAACTCAGGAGGTGGAGGTTGCAGTGAGCTGAGATGGCATCACTGCACTACAGCCTGGGTGCAACAGAGCAAGACTCCATCTCAAAAAAAAAATTAAAAATAAAATAAAATAAAATAAGAATTACTGTTACTGGGCAATGAGGGAGACGCCATTTATCTTTCTCTCCAACATACGAGCATTGTCTTCCCATAAAACAACAACAACAAAGACAACAACTGGATATTGATTAGGTTTTTAATTTCTGTGGAATTCACTAACTCTATGATGTTCTTAGTCCATGACTTGCTGTAACAGAATATCACCATCTGGATAATTTATAAAGAAAAGAAATGTATTTCTCACAGTTCTGGTGGCTGGGAAGTCTAATATCAAGGCACTGGAATCTGGTAAAGGCCTTCTTGCTGCATTATCTCATAGTAGAAGGGAGGAAGATCTAAAAAGCAGGTGTGGAAGAGAAAGGGGGAAAGGGGCCAAACACATCCTTTTAACAGGATCTTGCTCCTGAGATAACAGCATTAATCCACTCATGAGGGCAAAGCCATCATCACCTAATCACATCTTTTTTTTTCTTTTTTTTTGAGACAGAGTCTTTCTCTGTCACTCAGGCTGGAGTGCCTAGGTGGGATCTCAGCTCACTGCAAGCTCCACTTCTTTGGTTCAAACGATTCCCCTGTCTCAGCCTCCCAAGTAGCTGGGGCCACAGGTGCCTGCCACCACACCCAGCTAATTTTTTTGTATTTTTAGTAGAGAAAGGGTTTCATCATGTTGGCCAGGCTGGTCTGGAACTCCTGACGTCAGGTAATCTGCCTGCCTCGGCCTCCCAAAGTGTTGGGATAACCATCGTGAGCCAACGCTCTGGGCCCACGACCTAATCACCTCTTAAAGATCCCACCGCCTCAGTACTGTTGCACTGGGGGTTAAGTTACAACACATGAACTTTAGGGGGCACATTCAAACCATAGCATATTTCCACTATGGTTACTCTCTTCCACGGCTATCTCCCCATCTTCCACC